>NC_000012.12:88085128-88710128 GCF_000001405.40 Homo sapiens
TTAGAATTATACATGTATGGTGGTACTAGATTTAGGAAGAATATGTAATAAATTATTTCTTTTATTTTGGTCCATTGACTAGCAGAGCATTAGGAGACTAATCTATAAGTCAGTTAAGTACAAAACTGGAATTTTAGAGGCCCAACTCAATAAATTACGAATATAAAATCCGCAGCTTATTAAAACAAAGAGAAAAAAACAGAAAAATTTTTACTCTTCAAGAGGATTAAGGTGAGTATTTTAAATTAAGTAATTCAATGGCAATTCACATAAATGACAAATCTTAAAATTACTGAAGAAAATCTACGTTTCCTGAAATGATTAAAAATGTACAGTTTTACTTGAAAAACTTCTTTATGTATATTTTAAATGTATTTGCAGTTTATTTAGATGAAAACTAAAATGAAAACACATTCAGTTTACATTATTTTCTGAATAATTTAATGAAGATGACAGATTTGATCACCTACTAATCAAATTCAAGATCTAGGTTAAAACAGAAAGTAATTTCTAATTTACCTTCAACCCTTTAACCATGCATTAAAGGCAATGAACTGAAAATTGATTCATAGATTATGTAACATGCACTTCAAAATAAAACCAAAAAAGTAAGAATAAAGAGATCATATAAGAGAATATATTGCTCATAGAACTACAATTAAATGCTTTTTATTTCCTTTCATATTCAGTGTACCGAAAGGTACCAACTAATAATTAAATAGTGAATTCAAATTAACTATATCTGCTGTTCATTATTGGCTATTAGAAACATTATAGGAGAATAGAAAAATAGTGAAATTAGCAATAGATTCATCATTCTATGCATTGCCCTCATAAAGAAATATTATTTAGAAAGCCCCCCAAACATACCAAATAATACACTAATCAAAATGCAAATTCTTCTAATTACCTCTTCTAGTGATTTGCAAGTTGCCCGTGTTTCTAGAATTATTCGAATGTTCTCCTTAATTTTCCTTAGAGCGATCTCAAGTTGATTTGGAAGGGGCAAACTAGGGTCAGGGATTGATCCTGTAGCTTCTTCAAACTATTAAGAAATAGTATGTTTTTTAAAAAAGCAGTTGCAGCATTGAGAGTAACTATTAATTTTTACAGCTGTATGATAAAACATAGATTAAACCCCTCTTATATTTTAAATATACAATATAACATCAATTAAAATTACATCTGATACAGGAAATATTTCTGTGAGTTAACACTCTAGACTATGCTACAGAGTAACAAACAAGATTAATCATTCATACCTTTTGTGCCGCATTTAGTATTTCATTTTGCTGACGGTCAAAAATGTCTAGTTGGCGTTCCAGGTCAACTTCTCTTTGATCCCAGGCCATTTGTCTTTCTTCATGAAACTAAAAAAAGGACAATTTGTGTCAGACACATACACGAAGACATCAGGCACATAACAGGCATTTTATATATATTTTCTTATCTAATCCTCACAACACATTGAAGAAACTGTAATTATTTTCCTTTTATGGAAAAAAATACAAACTCAGAGAGGTGAAGTAACTTGTGTAAGATCACAAAGGCAGATGTGAAGTAAGGATTTCAGTCTATCCATCCATCCATCCATCCATCCATCCATCCGTTCAGCTATACGAAAGATATTTGATGACATATATTATGTGCCAAGCATCATTCTAGGAAATACAAACATGGCAGTAAACAAAACCAAGTCCGTGTCACCACGGAACTTGCATTCTGGCGAAGGAAAGACAGTCAATAATAAACCAGTAAGTATGTAATACGTCAGAAGGTTACAAGCACTTTGGAGAAAAATTAAGTTAATTAATCTCTATTTAGGAATCTGGATAGTAGGATTTACTGTTGTATATTAGGTGGCTGGTGAAGGATACACTGATAAGGTAAGACATTTGAGCTAAGACCTGCAGGCACTGACAGTGTAAATACCAAAGGTATCTAGGGTAAGAACAATTTAAGCAGGGGGAACAATCTCTGAGACAGTCATATGTTTGACGAATTTCATCTGTCTCTGAAGTATATACTTTATTCTATAAGAAGCTGACTTCTTACTCTATCAGTGAGAGCCAGTAGAAACGTGGAACTGTGAAAAGTCAAATAACCAATATCAAAATAAAAATTAACTTACCAAATGAGGTTGCTTATGTATTGCCGTTTTTAAGATTAAGACTACTGTTATAAAAGCTAAATAAATATGAATTTTTAGAATAGTTTAGAAAATAAAAAACAAATTATTATATAATCAATTAGTAATGGAAGGTGCACTTAATTAGAAGGATAACATAGTCATTTGTGCAATATTCTTGTTTAAAATCTTAGGGGCTCACGCCTGTAATCCCAGCACTTTGGGAGGCCGAGGCGGGCGGATCATGAGGTCAGGAGATCAAGACCATCCTGGCTAATATGGTGAAACCCCGTCTCTACTAAAAATACAAAAAATTAGCCAGGCACGGTGGCGGGTGCCTGTAGTCCCAGCTACTTGGGAGGCTGAGGCAGGAGAATGGCATGAACCCGGGAGGCAGAGCTTGCAGTGAGCCGAGATCACGCCACTGCACTCCAGTCTGGGCGACAGAGTGAGACTCCATCTCAAAAAAAAAAAAAAAAAAAAAAAACTTAGGGAAAAAAATGAAATAAATATAAAATAAAACCTTGTTCTGTTGCACAATTTCTTCTTCAAGACTGCTGATTGTACGTTCATATTCAGAAATTATGTTATTCAAATATTTTATTTCTTCTTTATCCTTGACTAATTCCCGATTTAGTTTAAGTTCTTGAAGACGAAGTTCTTCTATTTTCATATGCCAGTTGATTACCTAAGATTTACAATTTATATACACAAATATAAATGCTATATTAACAAATAACATTCCTCCATTGATGATAATGATTTTAATTGAAAGTAATGGCCATTCTAAAATAAAATAAGACACAATGTTATCTTTTGTCAAACTACATGACAAAATCTTATTTAGGATTTCCATAGACTTTTCTACAAATATGTGGGATTTTACAATAAAAATCTTCAAATTATGTTGGAATGGACATCACTAATATTCACTTTCATTTGTTATACGTTTATTGAACACTGACTATAAGCAGGTCATTGGAACTTTGGTATTACTTTCAAAAACAGAAATCCTAAATGTTTCTAGCCTAGAGAACAGGATGTAGTTGCAAGATAATTATTTTTCATTTAATTCTTTCTAAATGAAGATTAAACCATATTAAAAGTAAATGTGGGCCCACTACTTGTAGATCAAAGATAATTATGAACAGTAGAAATCAACTGATAACTACTACAATGTTTAAATATAATAATTAGTGTTTAATTAATATAAATTTTCCTATAGTAATTAAAATTCTTTGCTATTATACAATCTGAACATTCCCACTAAAATCTTTGGTTAGAAAAGCCTAATTTTATTTTTACGTATAATAGACATTCAAATAGCCAACACTGCTAAGTTATAAAATCTAAATTAATGAATCATAATTGGAATTTGTATCTTAAGCATTTTTCATATAGGCATATATTAAGAAATTATCATGTAACTCTTTTGAAGATAATGAATTTAAAATTGGCTGGGCACAGTGGCTCATGCCTGTAATCTCAGCACTTTTGAGAGACCAAAGCAGGAGGATTACTTGAAGCCAGGAGTTCAAGGCCAGCCTGGGTGACAAAGTGAGACCTTGTCTCTACAAAAAAATTTAAAAATTTTAAAAAATTAGGTAGGTATGGTGGTGTGCACCTGTACTGCCAGCTACAACTACTCAGGAGGCTGAGGCTAGAGAGTCCCTTGAGCCCAGGAGTTCCAGCTATGTTTGCACCACTGAACTCCAGCCTGGGAAACAGATCAAGATACTGTCTCTTAAAAAAAAAAATCAAGTTTAAATGTTTACCTTTTGGGCTCCTTTGGTATCCTTTAAAGTGCTTATTAACTCTTCCAGGCCCTTTAATTTTAATTCCATCTCCAATGTTTTGTTCTCCATATTTCTATGTTCTTGTTGAGAATTTTTCATTTCTTGCATTATCTTAAGTTTGTCATTTTGTAGTTGAATCATTGTTTTGGAGAACTTTTCCTGTTGTGCCAAGGGTAAAGCTCCACTAAACTGTCGTCGTAGAGACTGAATTGTTTGGCGCAGATGTTTTGCTCTGTTTCTTCCCTCCAAACGAGCATAATAGAGAGCCTGTTCTTTTTCATCAAGTTTCTGCTCTAAGCGCAAGTTGTAGGCCTCCATCTTCTGCAGTTTAGATGTAATTGACTCCAACTTACCAAGAGCAGTAGCCTCACTCAGTTGAAGAGAGACATTATGTTGGTGCAACTTGGCAATGAGCGACTTTTCATCAGACTGTGCCTGATATTAAAAAAAATATATATTTGTAGTAAGTTTCAAATTTTTCCAGTGAAAGTTATCACAGATTTAAAATTCACAATTTACTAAGCAAAGTTTTAACACAGTGGCACATGAGATCTACAAAAATGTAACTTTGCTTTAATACAAATAATTACCAAAGAACTGTAAAAGAAAAAACCTAGAATCAAACAAACTTAAAATCCAAATGTAACTGAATAACAGTGGGTATGTTACTGGTGTTTTTTTTTTTTTTTTTTGAGACAGAGTTTCACTCTGTCACCCAAGCTGGAGTGCAATGGCGTGATTTTGGCTCACTGCAACCTCCACCTCCCGGGTTCAAGCAATTCTCCTGCCTCAGCCTCCTGGGTAGCTGGGATTACAGGCACATGCCACCACGCCTGGCTAACTTTTGTATTTTTAGTAGGGACGGGGTTTCACCATATTGGTCAGGCTGGTCTCGAACTCCTGACCTCGTGATCCGCCTGCCTCGGCCTCCCAGAGTGCTGGGATTACAGGCGTGAGCCACCATGCCTGACTGTTACAGTTTTTTTTTAACCTCCATTGCAAGTAACATAATACTGATCAGGACAATGTGTATGTTTTTATAATTCCCAACATATATAACGTAAGAATATGTAAAAAGTTACATATAAATACAAGAGAAAATATTGTTATTAAAGATTTACTAACTACAATTCTCAGTGTCCTAATTTTGATCAGCAGCATAATTCATCTATAGGCATTTAAATGCTGTACTGGATTACTGAACAATATTTCAAATTAAAGAGCTTTCTAATCAGGTTCCAACTAACAAGAATAACAGCCTCTGGTTGGTATATCTTTTGATTAAAAATGTAACAATGGCCCAGCATGGTGGCTCATACCTGTAATCCCAGCATTCTGGGAAGTCAAGGTGGGCAGATCATTTTAACCCAGGAGTTTGGGACCAGCCTAGGCAACATGGTGAAACCCTGTCTCTACAAAAAATGCAAAAAAATTAGGTGTGGTGGCACGTGCCTGTAGTCCCAGCTGTCTAAGAGGCTGAGGTGGGAGGATCACCTGAACCCAGGTGGTGAAGGCTGCAATGAGCCTTGAATGTACCACTGCACTCCACCCTGGGCAACAGAATGAGACCCTATCTCGAAACAAACAAAAAGTATAACATATCCCACTCCCAACATCTAATGTAAATTTAGGGAAAAAAGTGGATTCTATGTAGAAGAGCCAATACTGCACATACCTGATAGTCTAGCAGTTGCATTCTGAGGGACTCTACTTCCTTGTCCCTAGATTGTTGTTGTGCATTCAAAATTTCAACTTGTCTTCTGGCAATATCAGAAATCTCTCTCAGTCTAGGAAATGATAAGGTATTTCAGGAACAATTAAGTACACTTTCTAAGTAAATGCCAAAATTCAAAATTTCTAGACCCTTTTTCAAAAAGCCATTCGTTTTCAGCATCTATCTCTTCTTTGTATGAAATATTAAAACAGGATTTCCTAAACTGTTTCATGAAACATAATTCCATCAGAGGTTATCATGTTTGCTATATAAAAAAAACTTCATTCTCAACATCCCTCCTCCCTCTTGAATATTCCTAACATATATTCAGTGCTCCCAGAGGTTCTATCATATATAATTATCTCAAATCATACTTACTATATAGTATTTTCCAAATGTATATAGCCAAAGAACTTCTGTTCCCATACTTTTTTCCATAAAACATTTATTGTCATAATTTGGAATATGCTAGGATAAGGTATTTAGTACATTTATCTAAGACCATCACACAGTTAAGAACACAGAAATGTAAAATTTCTAGGATCCTTAGATGGATTAATGCATGTTTTGATTTGTTTTAATCTACAAGTTATCAGTAATGTGAAAAGAAACAAAACATGCATTTAATAAAATTACAAAAAAAAAAAAAAAGAGATAGCCTAATGGTAATAAGTCCTTCAAATTCCCTCATGAATACTGTGATAAGCTAATACAGGCAAAGCAAAATGTAAAGTTTCTTTGCTTTGGGTTAGAATAATTTTAGTTCAGTATTATAGATAAGGCAGGTTTCCTCATACTGATGAGAGGCTCTCATTGCCAGTTGCATGATTAACAAAATATGATTAAAATGAACTATTATAAGTTAGTTTATATCAAAAGAGGTCCATGAGAAGAAAGGATCAATTTTTTTAAAAAAAAGGGTCTTTCATAGTGAAAAAGATGTCAAAAACTGATATTCCCAAGAGAACTATCAAGGCTCCAAAGGAATGGTTATATTTTTATGAGTAGGCCATAAAATATTTTTACTATTTATGCTTGACAGATTAACTAAGTGCTCCTTATACTTTTCTACTGAAATATCACCTAATTACAAAAGAGAATGAAAATACAGCATATAGCTGGCACACGGTTTTTTTGTTTTGTTTTTCTTTGTTTGTTTGTTTGTTTGACAGAGTCTCGCTCTGTCACCAGGCAGGAGTGCAGTGGCGCGATCTCGGCTCACTGCAACCTCCACCTCCCGGGATCAAGCGATTCTCCTGCCTCTGCCTCCCGAGTAGCTGGGGCTACAGGCACATGTCACCACGCCCAGCCAGCACGCAGTATTTACTCCTTATATATATTTTGTGTTCTAAACTAGCTGGGCATATTTCTTCATGTAAAATGAAAACAAAAATATAACCTCAAGGTTAAGTATAATTGTACAAGTCAATATATGTTTAATACCTTGCACCGTGACTAGTACATAGTAGATGCCCGATAAATGTAAACTAAATCAAAATCTGAATTTTTTATTATATTCTTACAGCAACCTTATGAAACAGGTAGAAGAGGTACTATTACTCCCTTATTAAAATGAAGAAACTTAAGTTTAAATACAATAAACAACCATTCCTCCTCCATCACCCCTTCCCCAAAAAATCAATATGTGGAGGAACTGGACCTTTCTGCAATAATATTCCTGAACTCTAAAAAATGCAAATCTTGAGAGGTCACTTCCTCTTTAACAATATTATTCTCGTCAATATTATTATTTAACCCTGTTAAAACCGATCTTAATATTACTTAATCCTGTTCTTATAAAAAGAAATCAGTATCAATTACTACTAAGAATTGTATACCTGTAATTGGGTTTCTTAAAGACAAATTAAAGAAGATACATCTAGTCAAATGGCTAAAATGCTTATATGCACTTACTTTGACACTTCAACTTTTAGTTCCATTTCATTCTTCTCTAATTCTAGAATCCGTTGCCTATCAGCATCACTTACTGCCTTGCTCACACTATCAGCTAATTCATCTCTTAACATCTGTTCCACCTTCTGTGCATCCAAATTGATTTTGGTAAGCTAAGGAAATGTAACAAAAAATGTTCAGATACATCAATTTTTGGTGAGGTTTTCTTTGTAATTTAGCTTTTAAAGTACTGCAATCCTCTTTACTTGGCCTTAGTTCACATATTATATTAAGTGTGAAGTGTTAAGAACAGACTGAAGGAGGGTAAAAAATATGAAAGAATCAGAAACAAACTATGGAAACTCTGGTTATATTCCAATCCACCAAAAGTCATTTTTATTAGGCAACTCATTATCTAATAATATCTGAACTTGCAATATTCTTACTTTGCTTAGAATGCAATCTGCTCATTATATTTTACTTCAATTGTATCATCTATAAATAAATCCAAATGAGTTAATAAAATCTTACTCATATAGATTTAGTGACATAGTTAAAACAAAAATGATATAAATGCTTTGAAAATATATTAAATCTCAAGGTAAGCAAACACTGTAAGAGTTGTGTTTAATCATAAATTGTTAAATACTTGCAAACTATATTTACTGCCACACAGTTTAATGATTCTGACCACATCAAAAATATATAAAACCACCAATTAGAATGTAAAGTCCCTGAAAGTAGAGATTATTGTCTATTTTGTTTCTTGCTATACTGCCAGTCCCAACACAGGGTCTGACATGTAATAGGCAATGAATAAATATTTGTTAAATGAAGGGATGGTGGTGAAAGGCAATTCCATTGTTTAGTAAATAACATTTCATAAATTAAATCTAATAATATAACATTGGTGAGAAAAACTTACAGAAATATCTGCTTTCCTTTTAAACAATTCAGATTTAAATCTTTTATTTATTTATTACACAAAACATAGGCACTATATTAATAAGATATTTCAGAGATCCAGACAAACCACTTAACAATAATACAATGTCTACCAAAACTAATTCTTTATTCTATAATTGTATGATAAAACTTATAATATCAAACCTCAGCAAATTTGGTTTCCAATTCAAAATTACGTTCCTCCATTTGCTTTAACGAAGTCCGTAAGTGTTCATACATTTTTTGACAATGTTCAGCCCGCTGCCTTTCATTTAATTCCTTCATTTCCAGCATAGTTATTTTTTTTGAAATGGAAACAATGTCACTGTTGGTTATTGATTTCTTTGCCTTATCCATGCTAGATTCATTACCTACATGCAATAATATTTAAGTCAATCTCATGCTGTTTATATTAAAATTACCTCAGATATTTTAGATGCTGTATATTAGAAAGCATTATAGTTCCATGGAAAGCACATTAGCTTTCTGAATTCCATCAGACCTGGACTCTAATCTTAGCTCTGTTACTTCCTGCCTGTGTGATGCCTGTACCATTTAATCTCTGTGGAACTTAATGTTCTTCATCAATCAAATGATTAAAAAAAAAAACCTATTCCTCACAGAATTGTGGAACTAACAACATAAAGGACTTAGTGTAGAAGTGTCACATATAAGAAATTTTAAAAATGGCAAGTAAACATTTTACTGAAAGGAGATAAACTGTATGAGAAGCAATGCAGTAAAGCAATGTGACTTTGTGAATATAAGTGCAATGACTTGATTTTTAAAGTCTCACAAAGCCAAGCTGAAAAGTAAAATCTGAAGCCATATGATGGATAGATTCTACCAAATATAATCTTGTCTAATCATGAGTATTATTTGGTCTTTGTACAGACCTAATATCAAATATTTTACATTCTTTTATTAGTAGTTATGCCTTAACCTTATATATGCAGTTACGCAGCTTGTCTTTGGACACAAAAGTCTGTGGCTAAATGGAAAGAGAACTAAAAGCCTCAATTTACCATAAAAAGGCATCGCATAGGAGTGTCATTAGTCATTTTTTGAGGGGGGGGGAAGAAAACATACTTTTGCTTTGTAAACATGGTCTAGAAAAAAAACAAAATTTGGTAGAGTGTTTTGCTTTTCAGCAACTTAAAACTGATGTGTTTAGGGTAGCCAATTACTTAAAGGAACTAAGCAGCAACTCACTTTGTAAACAGCCTTTTACAATACCAATAATGCCCCCTCCTGTTTTTCCAGCTTCATAAGTTCAAGTTTTATAACTGAGTTTTCTCAAAGTAATATACATTTCCTGAAAAAAAAATTGGTCTCTATCTCAGTTTTAAAAAGTACTTCATTATGTTCTGTATTTATCTTTAAAATGTATTATTTTAGAATAGCTGTGGCAAGCAGTAATCAAGTAACTAACAATAATGGATCACTAACAGGTGCTAAAAGCATTAGTAAATCAGTTCATTATGGAATAAAGACTCATTCAAGTAACCTTAGGCACCATGTAGAAAAATACTGCAATAAATACCAATATATAAAGGAGTCCTTCTCCATTCTGTATTGTGCTAAACTCTGATTAGAAGAGAAAAGCACATCACAAAGGCTGAAGCAGACTAGCCATCTTGTATGTTTTTGGGTTTGGAGTTTTCTTAAAGAGAGGGTAGAGCACAACAGCCCAACACTAACAAATTCCTAGATGAAAAAAAGCTAATGATGTGACATTTTTAAACAAAGATATAAGGGCAACAGGGAATAGGGAAACACTCTTAAAACTTCGGTGATATAAATCCATATATGAAAGAGATCAAGATATGTAAAAATTAAAGAATTTCTGTAGGGAATTCAGCATTTATTAAAAATAAAGATGATAAAATAAAAAGAACCTACTAAAATTGTACGTAATACTCTCATGTCTTCATTTAAATGGTACCTTCTTCCATGCAAATACTACACAAAAGTCAATTCATATTTAATCTCTTATTGAGCTAAAAATTACATTTCTAAAAGTAGCTTATGTAAGATTTCCCAGTGTTAGGCTTCTCTAAACCAAGTATCTCATTACCAATTTAAGAGAACAGCTCTATTTAGTAATAAAAACCTTGAATAGCTCTAACGTCTAGGAAACAAATACATGAAAATACATTATCGAAAGCAGCAAATTTATTTGAAAATTATGAAGCACAATATATGAGATAAAATTATGAAAATCTTATAAACTATATAACTGTTTGAAAAATTAATATGGAAAACTCTAATGAGAGCAACAAAGATTTCAATACCTTCTGAGACAGTAATATCTCTGTTAGATATACATGAAAATGTTCACTGTGGCACTATAAGCAATAGCAAAAATATAAAAAGCTAGTGATTTAATCACTCAAACACATTAGGCTATTGTATAAGTATTTATAAGTATGATGAATAAAACAAATTTTTTTTTTTTTTTGAGACGGAGTCTCACTCTTATCGCCTAGGCTGGAGTGCTGTGGTATGATCTTGGCTCACTGCAACCTCTGACTCCTAGGTTCAAGCAATTCTCCTGCCTCAGCCTCCTGAGTAGATGGAATTACAGGCAACTGCCACCACGCCTGGCTAATTTTTGTACTTTTAGTAGAGATGGGGTTTTGCCATGTTGGCCAGGCTGGTCTCGAACTCCTGACCCCAGGGGATCTGCTCTCCTCAGCCTCCCAAGTGCTGGAATTACAGGTGTGAGCCACTGCGCCGGCCATAAAAATATTTTTGATATTACTATCTAAATACAGTATAAAACCATGTTTATAATAATTTAAAATATATAAAATATGTAAGCATATAGGAGCAAAAATATACAGTAATATAGTAGTAAAACTATGAGAAATACAACTTCTTTTCACATTTTCTTTGCTGTTTCCTGGTATCTTTTAATTTAAAAATATCAAGTGATATATAACTAATATAACTTGCACTCAGTGAAAGAACTCATAATACCATTAATAAAATATCATCAGTTTTAATTGTTAAACGGTTCAAAGTAGCTAATACTTAGTCATAAATTTTTAACATATATGATTTCATTAGAAACAAATCTAACTTAAGGACTGAAAACTAAACTTTGGTGGGGTTAAGTACAGGATTATTCATCTGCCTAAGTTAAATTATTAGGCAGAAAGTTCTTTCTTTTTTTAGTCAAAATACTTCCTTTTAATCTAGCATAAAAAAGGAACTTTAAATAAGAAATATTCATTATTAGATGTTAATCATTTTATATTATCAGAGTCATAAAACTTACCTAATTTAGTTTCCTGTTCCCAGGCTTGTTCAATAGTGTGAAGTTTTTCCTTGGTAATCTCCAGTTCTTTATTTATAGACTCCACTTGTTCTTTTAAGGAGATGTTTTCACACTGAATAAAGGAAAAATATCACTAAGAAACTACATTGTAATTCAGACCAATACCACAAAATGACATTGTCTTAACTTTATATAACATCTCCTTAAAACTCACAATCCAGTTTTTTACAAAATTAGAATTTCCTCCATATATAATACATGTATGCATACAAACACATACATATATATATAATACTTGTATACATATACATACTGATATGGTTTGGCTGTGTCCCTACCCAAATCTCATCTTGAATCATAGTTCCCATAATCCTCATATGTCATGGGAGGGATTTGGTGGGAGGTAATTGAATCGTGGGGGTGGTTTCCCCCACGCTATTCTCATAATAGTAAGTTCTCACGATGTCTGATGGTTTTATAAGGGGCTTTCCCCTTTGCTCGGCTCACATTCTTCTAATTCCGGCCACCATGTGAAGAAAAATGTGTTTGCTTCCCCTTCTGCCATAACTGTTAAGTTTTCTGAGGCCTCCCCAGCTCTGTGGAACTGTGAGTCAATTAAACCTCTTTCCTTTATAAATTACCCAGTCTCAGGTATTTCTTCATAGCAGCATGAGAACGGACTAATACACATACATACATATATATATACACACACACACACATACACACACACACACACACACACACACACATATATACAATGTAAAATATTATTTTAAAATAATCATCCAAATCCTGTGTTATCCAATATACGGCCTCAATTTCTGAGTATTAGCTTCTGCCACTAAAGCTGTACATTCATTTTGGCCAAAACTCTTAGAATACTCAAGAGTTTTGCAGCCTTCACAAACTAGTGCTTACTTCCTTCATGCACACAGTTGCTGAGCATCCTAGTGTGCCATCAGTGACAGATGATGATGTTTACAGTGAAAAGAAATATAAAATTCTGGCCTTCAGAGTTCTGCCCATTCAGTGCCTATGTGTGTGTGGGTGGGTGGCAGGATTTCGCCAGAGTGTGGAAGGCAGCAGATAATAAGCAAGTAAACAAACAAAAAGTCTACTAAAAATGTCAATGTTGGCCGATTACGGTGGCTCACACCTGTAATCCCAGCACTTTGGGAGGCTGAGGTGGGTGGATCACTTGAGGTCAGGAGTTCGAGACAAGCCTGGCCAACACAGTACTAAACATAGTGCTAAAAATACAAAAATTAGCCAGTCATGATGGCACTTGCCTGTAATCCCAGCTACTCAGGAGACTGAGGCAGAAGAATCCCTTTAACCTGGGAGGTGGAGGTTGCAGTGAGCTGAGATCACACCACTGCGCTCTAGCCTGGGCAACAGAGCAAAACTCCATCTCAAAAAAAAAAAAAAGTCAGTATCGACCAGGTGCAGTGGCTCACACCTGTAACCCCAGCACTTTGGGAGGCTGAGGTGGGAGAATCACTTGAGTCCAGGAGTTTGAGACCAGCCTGGGCAACAAAGTGAGACCTCATCTCTACAAAAAAACACAAAAAATTAGCTGAGCATGGTGATGCATACCTGTAATCCCAGCTATTTTGGAGGCTGAGGTGGGAGAATTACTTGATCCCAGGAGGGCAAGGCTGCAATGAGCTATGATTGTGCAACTGCACTCGAGCCTGGGCAACAGTGAGACCCTGACTCAAAAAAAAAAAAGTTGACATTTAGAAAGAAAATAAAAACAGAGTACTGAGCCAGTGAATAATAGAAAGGAACATTTAGATAGAGCGGTTGAAGGATGTCTTAACCACCAAATAATTGATATTTAAGCTGAACTGTGAGGTACGAAGTATTTATTAGTAAACCCAGATGCTCCAAAGGAAGAAAGCATTTGGAATACTATAAGATCTGAGAGGAAAAAATGATTGAAATGATTGGAGCAGGAAATGATTTGGAGGACTGGAGCACCCAAGCAGAGTAAGCAAAAATAAGAGTCAATAGTAGTAAAACATGAAGTTGGAGAGACCATCAGGGGCCACACCAGGCAGGGCATGGCATGCCAAGACAAGGAACTGGAATTTAACTTAACGTATAAAAGAAAACAATTTAAAGATTTTAAGGAGGAAGTTTTAAACAATCATTCTGGCTGCACTGTGGAGAATAAAGGGGTCAATAGAGAAATCAGGGAAACTAGCCAGAAAGACATTGTGGAACTCCAGATGAGTGATGATGCTGGTTTGGACAAGGGTTAGAGCTGCGAGGATGAAGAAGACACACATAAATTACATTTGGAAAACAAAAATGGTAGGGAAAAAGAATGACTACAGAATAACTCTAAAGTATCTGCCTTGACTAGCTGGTTAGGTAACTGAACATATATTGAAATAAGAATGACTAGGAGAGAAACAGAAATCAGGAGTTCATTGTGGACACGTTAAATTTGAGATCCCCTTGAAACACAGGAATTGTAAAGTAGGTAATTCTGTACAACAGAATAGAGCTGTGAGGAAAAAGGCTGGCGATATAACATAAATATATATCTTAAGTTCCTTTATTTTTTATTTGAAAAAACAGAATGCCTATTTACTACATGCCAGGTACTCTAAGCAATGGATTTCAGTGATAAATAAATTATATCCTAGAACTTATATTTGAGTGGAGTACCTGGAAAATAAGCCAATATATAATACAATGTCAGGTATTAAGTGTTATGAAGAATAATACAAACAGGGTAATGAGACTAAAAAGAGGACATGCTATGATTAAATAAGCACGATAAGGTAATAATAATATATTTTTTAAGTAAAGTACATAATTATAGTTTTATATACTATGAATACACAGGAGGGAAAACAGGAGGCTGAGGGTGTTTTAAATATCTTTCTATCCATTTTTTTCTTCCTTTCATCCTTTTTCACAGGATAATCCTATTGTTTGTTACAAATCTCTTTTTCTCCCACCTACCCTGATATTTTGCTATTTCCCTTATTACCACTTTCATCTCTTATCTTCATCACTCTCTCCCTAGTAACTCTAAATTTTCTTTCCCTCCTCCTGAAACTTCACTGGTCTCCTTTAAAAAAAAAAAAACAGGCTGGGCACAGTGGCTCATGCCTGTAATCCCAGCACTTTGGGAAGTTGAGGCTGGCGGATTACCTGAGATCCAAAGTTTGAGACCAGCCCGGCCAACATGGCAAAACCCTGTCTCTACTAAATTAGCCGGCCGTGCTGGTGGGCACCTGTAATTCCAGCTACTCGGGAGACTGAAGCAGAAGAATCGCTTGAACCTGGGAGGCAGAGGTTGCAGTAAGCCAAGATCACTCCACTGCACTCCAGCCTGGGCAACACAGTGAGACTCTGTTTCAAAAAAAAAAACAACAAAAAAAGAATCCTCTTCTTGATTCTACCTCAATCTACATCTATTTCTTTTTTCTTCTACTATCAAATTTCAAGTTTTTCTTTTGCTTTATTACCCATCCAGTTTTTGTATTTCCTTATTATCTATTCCATTCTTCACACATGAAATCTGATTTTCGTGACCTCTAGTCTCATGAACCTTTACCTCTCAAAAAGCAACAATAATTTCCTAAGCACCATATTTGACACCACATGCACTGTGGCTCTCCACCACTAATCACTCTCATGTATTAGCTTGAACTCTGTGCCAAACAGGAGATACTCAACACACAGAAACAAATTAAATAGTTCCTTATATCAAAAGACTTATATTCCATTAAGGAAGACAGATATGTAAACACATATAATTTGATGTGATATAAATATGTACTATGTACAAAACCTATGTATAAGATGCAGAACTAGTGTAGACAGGAGTGACTTTGTTCCATTAAAAAAAGTATGCTTAAGAAAAAAAAGGTAATGCCTGAACAAGTTTTGAAACAGGAATAGAAATTCACTGAGCAAAACAACTGGAAGAGAGAAATGGTTCCCTATATATAGAAAAGAGCACGTACAAAAGAACATACATAAGAAAGAACACTGTGGTCAGAAAACTCAGCTAGTTCATCTCTTGCTCTAGATGACATGAGGTAAGTAGGGGACTTGACTTTTACCCTTCAGGTAACCGGTAGCTTTTGACAGTTTTTAAGGCGGGGAGTCACATGGGAGTCACAGGGTAGGATTCATGTTTAGAATGATCATTCTTGTGGCAGTAAGGAGGATGTAAGACTGGAGATAGAGACAGGAATAATGGCTGCCACAATAAAGATAATAAAAAATAAAACTAAGACACTGCCAATAGGGATAGGTATGAGATATTCACAATTACAACTGGGGCCAGGTGCGGTGGCTCACATCTGTAATCCCAGCACTTTAGGAGGCCGAGGCGGGTGGATCACGAGTTCAGGAGATCGACACCATCCTGGCTAACAAGGTGAAACCCCATCTCTACTAAAAATACAAAAAATTAGCCGGGCATGATGGTGGGTGCCTGTGGTACCAGCTACTCAGGAGGCTGAGGCAGGAGAACGGCCTGAACCCGGGAGGTGGAGCTTGCAGTGAGCCAAGATGGCGCCACTGCACTCCAGCCTGGGTGACAGAGCGAGACTCTGCCTCAAAAAAAAAAAAAAAAAAAAAAAAATTAGCTGGTGTGGTGGTGCACACCTGTAATCCCAGCTACTCAGAGGCTGAGGCAGGAGAACTGCTTGAATCTGGGAGGCAGAGGATGCAGTAAGCGTTAAGCCGAGATCGTGCCACTGCACTCAGCCTGGGTGACAGAATGAAACTCCATCTCAAAAAAAAAAAAAAAAAATCTTTAGGAAAGATGAAAAATACTCTTTGGGAAAATGATAACGTTAAACATCACTCATTGATACATTATCCACAAGATGTCTCTTGCCTAGGACTTTCTAATGCTGGAGAGGATAGGACAGAGGACATGGAGAATGGAAAAAAATAAATTATCACCACACTAAATAGGCATAATTTTCTATAAAAAGTAACATAATCACCTCTCTTTGGCAAAAGCAGCAGAAAGCAAACTGATTATGATTACTTCTAAATAATATTGATAAACATGACTCATAATTTAGTAGGAATCCTGAAAGCTACTCAGAACAACGTTTTCATTTACTGAATGTGTCTCTATGAGCCAGCAAAAGCTTTTGAGCTAATAGAATTAGATCTTATTCTACTCCTGTGAAAGGATCTTAGATAAGAATAATCCAAAATCCATAAGCCTCTATTTCTGATGAGGAAGATGAACAAATCAGGAGCTTGTTCTGTCCTCAGTAAAAGGTATAGAGTTCAAGTGGCTGTAAGATAACTACAAAGGGTCTGGTCCATATTCACAGATTGTAACTTATGATATTCTACTCTAGTTTTTTTATTTTTTATTCTACATTAAATAAATTTATTCTACATTAAAATTCTACATTTATTCTACAATAAAAAATGATGAGAATTTACAGAGTGCATCCATGGTCCAGGAAGAGCCCTTAATATTTCAGCTACTGTTGGCTACATCCATTCCAAGGAACAAAAGCCAGGGACCATGGGAGAATAGTTTGTTCTGGGTACAGGGGTAAGAGAAAGGGATGGGCACTTAATGAGTGCTTCCCTCCTTTGATTACAATATTCTACCTGTTTCATGCTCCTTTTTCTCTTAGATGTCTGGTTAAAAGAGGTTTGATTCAGCTAAATCATGCAAGTGACCTAAGGAGAATGATCTAGATAATCATTCAGAAGTCATTCAGCCACTATAAATAGATAATATATTGTGTGTGTGTGTGTGTGTTATGTGGGAACAAAATATTTATAACTAAACTGAATGAATAATATGGATAATTATATCTCTGTTAAATTTATATAAATGCAGGCAAACTTTAATTAAAATCTGCCAAATCCCCCCAAACACAAAAATATTGAAGAAAAATGGCTAATTTCACAAGGTTCAAGAATCACACAAACTTACCTCCAGGTGTTCCAAGTTACTTGTTCTTTGAACAAGCATATTATCTTTTTGCAAGATGTCCCTGTACTTAGCAGTCAGTTCATTGTACTGTTTATTAGCCAGTTCTAGTTCAGACAAAGAAACACTATTATCTACAACTTTTTGGAGAGCTGCAATCTTGAAAATGGCCATTTCCTATGTAAATAAAGATACACTGAGTTATGCTGGTGTCTTTTTTTCTGGTCAAGCACTAGCCACTTTTGAGAAAGATAATACAACTTAAAGTAAAACGAATTTTAAAATCATTTTTAAAATATATGATTTCCCATGTAAGAAAAACATGCATTAACATAATTTCTTTCATATAAGAAATGTTACTTTGAAAATCTTAATCATAATAAAAATAAAATACTTTAATAACTCCTGTCATTGTAAAATAAAACTCAATTAATTTGAGAAAACATAACAAACAGCAGGAATATATCACTCGGAATTTATCTTTGGATGGCTTTTCTAAATTTCTTATGATCGGAAAACAACTTGCCTTTTAATAAATGGGAAAATTAGCATTATCACAGGTAACTTTCACAGCTTAGCTATTTATGCTTATTGTAAGTTAAACGGACTAGCTTTAATAACAAGAAAACTTTTTGTACACATGATGGAAACATTAGCGGGAGAGCTTCTATTATAGTTCTCTGTAATAAATAACATCAAGGACTTTAAGTTACTTGGTTCATGGTTCTACTCATCAACTATAGAACTATTCAAAGATATTCTATTATCAACACCAAAATGAAATGTCCAAACTTACAGTTCTCTTAAGTTGCTGTATAATAGGCAAACATTACATAGAAAAGTACAATAAAGAATGATGAAAGCTGAGAAGTGGTATAAGGAATAATCAAATTTATGAATGAGGAAGTAAAAAAACTTACGGTTGTAATTCATTCTGAAGTACAGTAACGATGGAAATATTTGTAATAGCGCTTCAGATCTCATTTTGGCAGCCTTTCTTCTCCATCTAAGTTAAGTACACACTATTCTATCTTACCCTTAAGATTCAGTTTCACTGTTCTGGGGGAAACAGGGGTAGATGAGATTCTATTTCCCATCTCTTAAGAATCTCCCTTTTTCTTGGCTCTTCAATTGTTGGGAGAAAAAAATCAAGTTCATGAGCAGGTAGAAGAGGAAGAAAACTAATTCTTTTCTCTTTCTATCTCAAACACTAACTGTATTTATAAAACTCTAACAAAAGTAGATTCTAAAAAAATCTAACACAAAAATAAGACATGAACATTTCCTTATTACATGTCTGAATAAATATCACTTATATTTATTAAAGAATTTCTTGATGCTCAGTATTAAGCTTTAGATCAAGCTGAAAATAGGTTTATTAGCCTGACATCACCCATTACAACCTTTAAAGTGGAAAGTAAAGAACCCAAGCCCATTTTAATTTCACTTTGAATTCTGTGTTCCTATGATCCTGTCCAAATTTAGTCATGAACATTGAACATTTACATGCTTAAAAATAAACTACAAGGTAAGGTATAAAACTAGGTGCAGAAGGGTATACATGTCATGTAACCTGTCTTGTCTTTGTTTATGTTTCCAAAAAGGAAACATGAGAAAGATAATAAGTTACCTACAGAGGGTGGAGCAGAATAATATGAAAGGCGTAAGACCAGAATTAAGATTTCTCTGATTAAATATTTTGCATATATAAATATTGTATATATTAAAATTCAATAAAGGAAAAAAATCCCTAAAATAAAAAAAATGAAAAACAAATGAGCCTAACTATATATCAAATGTATAACATAACCGCATGAAGACAATTATTTCAAGTAAGTGTAGAATACTTTGCCTATACATTCTCAGCAAGATATATTCTGAAGAAAATAAGACCTGAAATAAAACTTTAAACTATGTTTGGCAGCAGTGCTGTTGTTGTTACTATTAATATCAATTCAAGTATTATTTTTCAAATTATTGTATGTATATTGTAGGATAAAACAAATATTTTAATGTTAATAATAAAGGTTTTCTATGTAAGAAAAAAATACAAGTGCAAAATCAAAGAAGCTTAGTAAAAATCCGATACTATTTACTTACCCCATAATGTTATAATTAAACTGGAAATAACAATATGAACTCATGGTTTAAATATATACATATTTTTCTAACTTGTCTACTGAGAGACTAGTGGCAATGATACTCTGAGAGCAATGATGCCCAGTGGCCAGTTTTTGGTATCTAAATGCCTTCCCCACTAAAAGGAACCTGGGCTCTTTAAAGAAATGGTTTATTCCAAGTATGGGCATGAAGTATGTAGGTAAGTCTAAGACATCTTATGCTAGAAAACAAGTCAAGCTTTGAGGCTTCGTTCAAAAGACTAATGAATTTTTGTCAAGACAATATAAGAGTCAACTTTAAAGGACTCTCTTTGGCTAAAGTTGAGACAAAAGAATATGACTCCAACTAAAACACATGGAATATTTAAAAATCTGTGAGTCTAATCTGATACTTAAAAAAGAGAAAGCGGAGGGGACAAAAAAAGCAGGTAGTGCAGAGTACACCAAGTGTGTATTCTGAAAACTGGTAATTAAAGAGAAAAGCATTTATCTTGCCTTTGTAGTAGGAGCTAAACTTCAAGATAAACAAATAGCCTGGGCTAATGAGGAAACGCTATTTATTTTACAAAAGCATGTCTGTTAATAAATGTAAGTGCATAATATAACTAGAAAATTATGATGTTTGCAACTTTTAATAATTGGGTTAGGCAACAATCATCAGCAGATGCTAAAATCATTAGGACTGACAAATAATTTGTTATTTGTATGGTACCAAAATATCACCAGTTAGCTAAATTGCTTAATAATGGAGGTATATGGTTATCTTTTCTTCTTCTTCTTCTTCTTTTTTTCTTTTAAGAGAGAGACTCGCTCTGTTATACAGGCACATAGGCTGGAGATCAGTGGCACATGATCACAGCTCACTGCAGCCCCCAACTTCCTGGGCTCAAGCGATCCTCCCACCTCAATGTCCCAGGTAGCTGGGATTACAAGCATGTGCCACTACACCAAGCTAATTAAAAACAAACAAACAAAAAAAAAAACATTTTTTGTAGAGACGGAGTCTCACTATATTGCCTAGGCTGGTCTGGGCTCAGGAAATTTTCCTGCCTGGGCCTTCCAAAATGTTGGAATTATAGGCATGAGCCACCATACTTGGTCTGCTTGTCTTTTCCTTAACAGAGTAATCAATTACAAAACATGGAACAACCAGATACTCTTGAAGTGATGCAATATAAAGTATAGAACACTACTTATGAAGTATTCTTGCCAAAAATGTTTAAACCTGAATGTAACTTAGGGTTCTGACCTAACTTTTAGTAATACAAGGGACACAGGAACAAGTAAAATGACACACACACAAAAGTTAGATACATCTTCAAACATTTTTTGGAGAAAAAGAAAACCAAGGGGATTCTATATTAAAAAGATTTATGAGATGTAACATCCAAATGCTTATTCTTTGATCAAAAAATGTAAAAAATGTGACTATAATCAGGGTATTAGGCGATATTAGAAAATTACTGTCATTTTGTTAGGTATAATAAAGTTACTATGGTTAGTTAAAGAAAAAAGCCTTTTTCAAAAGGGTACATTAAATATTTAGGGGAGGAATGTCTGCAATTCAAACATCCCACAAAAATCAGAAGAAGCAATTATGACAAAATGTTAATAAATGTTAACTATTAATTCAGGTGATGAGCATTATTGATACCATCCTATCTTCTGCATATTTGAAATTTTTCATAGTCAGAAAAAGCAAAATAAGAATCAGATGTACCTTAAATCTTTGCAAACACCCAATTTTTTCACAAACTTCAGCCTCCATTGACAACAATTCATTCTTTTGCTTCTCATTTTCTTTTCTAAGTTGTCGCTCCAATTCTACTAAGGTTGTATATTGCCTTATAAGTGATTTTTCATTCACTTGCAAAACAGTAATTTTCCTACTATTTTCTGCAAGTATTTTTTTCATTTCATCCGAATCCATCTGAAGAGCATTGAGCAAATTCTGCACAAAGACACATCCATATTACTTGTTGAATCTAGCTATCCTACTTTGTACAATATTGCATACTAATGTTAAAAATGTTTTACTTACATTATATTCTTTTACTTTTATAGCATCTTGTTGGACTTGATCCTCAAGTTTTCTCTTTTCCTCTTTTATTGTTTTAGATTCTGTTTTCCAGGTCTCCTTTTCACTAAAAACAAAACAAAACAAAAAGACAATACTGTAAACCTAATAAAATGTTTATAAGAAAAGATAACTTCAGATTATGCAAATTTAAAGTTTTCTCAACACAAGAGGTATCATAGCTATTCAGTATCTGAAAACACAAGAAGTTAAACTTTCATTTAAAAAGGGTTTAGCCTAGAATTAAAAATTTTTTAAATAAATGCAAGGCAACAAAGTTATCAAATTATTTTCATTCTTCCCTGATTCACCACTAAATGGGTTATAATATAATTGAAGCTGAATCTTATAAACATTTTATTGAACACAGAAAAAAAGTAGGAAAATAATACCCTATACTAATTCTAGAAATCAAATTCCAACATTCTGACCCCACTCTCAAATTTGGGTGTTAAATGCTTACAAAATAATTTGAATACAAACACATCTTAAGTCTAATTAAAATAGTGACCAAAGTTAATAACAGTATATTATATACTTTAAAATTGCTAAGAGAGTAAATTTTAAGTGTTCTTAGTGCAAAAAAAAAAAAAAATAAGAAGAAGTATGCTGTAATCCCAGCACTTTGGGAGGCCAAGGTGGGCAGATTGCTTGAGGCTAGGAATTTTGAGACTAGCGTGGACAATATGGCAAAACTCCGTCTTTACCAAAAATACAAAAATTAGCCAGGCGTGGTGGCACATGCCTGTAATCTCAGCTACTTGGGAGGCTGAGGCAAGAAAATAACTTGGACCCAGGAGGCAGAGGTTGCAGTGAGCCAAGATAGCGCCACTGCACTCCAGCCTGGGTGACAGAGCAAGACTCTGTCTCAAGGAAAAAAAAAAAAAAGTATGCGAGGTAATACATATGTTAAGTAGCTTGATTTAGCCATTCCACAGTATATACATATATAGAACACCATGTTGTATAGCATAGTATATACATATATAGAACACCATGTTGTATAGCATAGTATATACATATATAGAACACCATGTTGTATACCATAAATTCTTGTGAATTTAAAAAGTAATTTAAAACATATTTATATATAAATTATTTTTTTGAAGTTGTGTAAGACACTGTTGTCTACACATGAGCATTCCACAAACATGTGTAATGTTCTTGGCATAAACCCAGTATAGCGGTATCATTCTCTTTGCAACTGAATGGTTCAGACTTGGACATGTGATCCAATTCTAGCAAATGAGATCGGAGTCAATGTCTGCCAGGTATCACCAGAAAAAAATGTTTATTTAAAAATAAAAGCTATGTAGAAAAAAATGCTCCTCTTCTTCAATGGGCACATCATCTTTCTTGAATTCATGCAGCTATTTTACAACCATCATAGGCGATAACAACAACCTTCAAATATGACCTGCCCTACAACTAGCTTTGTGGTTCTGGTTAGGTCAGATAATAATTATTCTTAGTGTTTAAATCACCTTTGATTAGGTATTCTAATTCCTATTAAGGAAATCATTCTATTGATTTAGATGAGATGACAGAAATAAGGAGAAATATGTTAGTTCCCTATAAACATATATGAACAATGATGATTGTGATGATGATGAATGATGCTAACAACAGCTAACATTTACAAACTGTTCATATGTGCCACACACTAGTCCGAGCATTTTCATCTAATAATTCATTTACGTTTTACAATAATCCTATGAAAAGGGTATTACTTACAAAGTAACTTACAGATAAGGAAACTGAGACACAGATAGGTAAGATGACTTGCTCAAGCTCTTACAAAAAGCAAACGTTAAATGACTCAAACCCAGGCAGGATAATCCCAGGCTTAATGTAATCATTAAGCTACACTGTCTCCATAAATAAGTTCCTAACAGTAGTTACCAGAGTAAAAAAAAATACAATTGCAAAGGAAGAAGAAGAAGGGAAGAACAAAACATAAATTATTCTTACGTTACTTTCACAATTAACAAGAATATACTGCAATTATATTTATAGTTTTGCTAATACCTATACCTTAGGTATTCTTTATACAACAAACTTTGTTGATGACGAATTACAGCAAATTTTCTGTTGTAATCTTCAAGAGAATCTTCTAAATTCTTTAACTTTTTTTCTTTATTTTCTAGTTCCTGAAAAGTGGTTTAGAAATAAGAATGCAAAAAAAAACACAATAGAATAAATGCTGAATTTGAAAGTATAAATTCATATTCTGACAACATTATAGGAAAGTTAAAAGTCACCAAATCTGTAAGCAACACAGATCATTTTTCCATGATATTTTGAACACTTTAGTTTAAGGCATAAAAAAAGAGTACTATACAACAGGTAAAGTTATTTTTAGCACACAAATTACCAGATTACAAAGTTTTATTAGATAGAATAGTTATAAACTCGCCTCTAGTCACTCGGCCACATACCCTCTCTTATGAACACATAATTTCATACCCTCACTCAAATTATCCTTTCCAATTATTTCATTTTAAAGATGAAATTGAAATTTAAATAACTTACTCAATATCCAAAAACTCATTAACACTACACTTGGCAATCATTTTTACCAAGTACATATGCTAGGCTTGTTGTCAGGTGCTTTCCATATACATGGATCCAACATTTGAGTTTGGGTCTGTCTGACTCCAAAGGTCTTGCCACGTTTATAGCTCTATACAGCCTTAGGATTGAGAGTCTAAGTACCTGTTTTGCCACTTTGGACAGCTTTTCAGACTCCCAGTTGGTACTCTCTAATCTACTACAAACTTCTGATATATTTCTTATACAAAGATTAAAAATCATGAATTTTATCTCAAAAAATACGACAATGCCATACTACCAATATTTGCTGATAGTGTTCCTATACCTCAGGTAAATAAGAGAAATAATAATGTTAAAATTATACATTTAAAAATAATAATATCACATACAAAGCAATATTCTAATAAGTAGTTAAGGCTGTCCTTAGACAACATAAAATAATAATAAAAATCCCAATATTGAGAAAAAGATGAATTACTGTAATTTCCAAAATAAAAATGAGTACTTAATAATTATAACTCAAGTATACTCACAAATGGATCACCTAGCAGAGAGAAATAGTGGCCCATATAATCAAAAATATATTTTCATTGATTCTGAACATATATTTGTAATTATATTTATAATGTATGTGATGTTATAGATAGTCAAATTTCAAATAAAATAATGAAAAGGATCTGTCATTAGGACATTCATAACGACCATTATATAGACAGCAAAACTGAGAAACCCAGGGCAGGTAGTATAGTAGAGTACCCTTTCCTCTTTGGTGGTAGATTAACATTTTATTGCGTAAAGGGAAGACAAAGATGAAGAATAATTTGGTTTAGAAGTTTTTGCTTATGGCTGTGTGCAGTGGCTCACGTCTGTAACCCTAGCACCTTGGGAGGCCAAGGCAGGCGAATCACTTGAGACCAGGAGTTTGAGACCAGCCTGGCCAATATGACGACACACCATCTCTACTAAAAAAAAATACAAAAATTAGCCAGGGATGCATGCCTGTAGTCCCAGCTACTCAGGAGGCTGAGGCATGAGAATCACTTAAACTCAGGAGGTGGAAGTTGCAGTGAGCCAAGATAGCGCAACTGCACTCCAGCCTGAGTGACAGAGTGAGGCTCTGTCTCAAAAAAAAAGTAGTTTTTACTTGTGAATGCAAAAAGGGGAACAATTCTATCATGACACTAAAAAGCCTTGACAGACTTTATTCTTTTGTTTTCCACCCAGCAAGAAATAAAAGTGCTCATTTACTTAACACTGCTTTATAATAGCTGCTTGTTGTTCTGCTTGTGAACCATATATTTCACATGAATGACAGGTGTGCGAACAAGATGTATGAACATGCTGCTCATGCAGATGAATGGAATGAATGGTATAAATTGCTTTTATTTATAATCCATCTAACATCAAAATCCATAAAAAATATATTTCACTGTTACTATTTTGAGAACTCAGGAATACATGAAGACTAAATATTGAGAAAAGTACTATCTGCATGCTTTGGTGATGGAAAAATTAAAATAAAGTAAAATAAAAATAAAAACATAAAGAAACATACTACCAATGATTTTTGTTATTCACATGTAAAATTTTCAATACCTGTAACAAAATTTTCAATACCTGTAACAAATGTATTAAATATTCATTCTGAGAATTAATGATACTGGCACTAGATGGTGCTATCCCATCAGGTAAGTCAATTCCTTTAAAAACAACATTTGATCCTTCTGATTGTCGTAAAAGACTAGTTTCTTTTTCAAGATGGTCTATCTGGAAAAAAAAATCCAGCAATGAGAATCACAACTCTTACACCCAAAGAAAGACAAATTGACAGATATGTGAATGCCCTGCCAGGAATTTTACCTCAACCATACTTCAGTTTCTGCTTAGAAATGCCTAGGTATGAGATTTAGAATTTTTGTATTCTTTTCAATCTTATAAGGCACTTATTTTCCACTTATAATTTTATAAGAGAAATCCAGTTTCTTAATATTGAAAGAATTAATTCAAGGGGCATTTTCTCATAAAGCATTCTTTTTAAAAAATTAAAAATTTCCTATTAAATCTACATTCTTATGTTTAGCATTTTCTTTTATTTAATAAAATTCTCACCTTTAAATTAGCTTTTGCCAACTGCTGTGAATAATTTATAGCCTCTTTCCGAGATTCCCTGAGCTCCTGTCTTAATTCTTCATTTCTTCCGGTAAGCTGATCAACTTGGGCTTTCAAATGCAGACTCGCATCAAAGATTCCTTCTGCATTCTTTGATTCTATAGCCTAGCAAATTTATATTATATATTAGAAATGTGGAGAAAAACAGTAAAATCATAGTAAAAAACAGTCTGTCTTTAAATAAAATGGACATTTAAGCATTTTCCTATTTTCATTGCCAAGCATGATAATAAAGTATGCCAATTCAAATTCTTATTTATGAATCTATAAAACTTTCATTTACATTACCAAGCATAGTAATTACTTCATTAAAACAATTAAAAAACACCTAGCTAATCTTAATAGACTGGTAGACTAGAAAAACAACCAGACGGGAATAAGATGACCAGGGTTCAAATTTTAATCAGTCACTTAACAGCTGGGCAAGTGACTTAAATTCTCTGTATCTTAGTTTTCTTGTCTCTAAAAGGGGAAAACAATGTGAGCTCTGCTCCCTACATGGGGTTTTTGTACAGTCAAAATGAGGTATTTTTCTCTGAAATTATATAGCACCTGCATTCAAAGCATGCGCAAAGGAATGGAATACAATATTGAACAATTGATCAATACAACATTCAATTAAGTGAATTTTTCAGTGCTTCCTCTCCACATAGTTGAAGCATAAATAAAAATAAAGGCAAGGTATCATAACATGATATTATCTAAGAATAATGAGTAAGCAAAAATAATATGTCAAATATTAAAATATTATCAGAGTGGCATCACTGGCCCGAAATCTCCAACAGTGGCATATCTAAGTATATACACACAATGCACACATCTAATAAATATATTTGGACTTTAGATGAACTGTATGGAAAAAACTGTTAAAGGCAAAGTAAGTCTTAAAAAGTGAAGGTAGAAGCCAAATAAGGTAAAATGAATAGAACCAAATGCAATCTCCTACTCAGGAAGGTGATCTGGGGTTTAACTCTAGGTAGTAGATTTGTAAAAGCCTTCCCCTGAAGGAGATTAGAGCAGGTCATGCAGAGTAATAACTTATACTAACTCAAAGAGGATATAAGGAAGATAAAAGTAGGTAGAGGAAGGTACTCTGACTGACAACAAGGTGGTCTAGTTAGTTGTCTCATTGAGGAATAGTGCCGTGTCTACATGGACTTTGGTAAAATGAGAATGAGTTAAGATAGCTGTTGGGGGCACTGAAAAATACCTTGTAGTAACAAAAAGTGAACTGAAGTGCATAATCCAGCATTGTCTGGTCTAAATTGTCATGGATTCTGAAGATTTCTTAGAGAAGTATTGCTAGGTGATTTGTGAATTTCAGATAGGGCCTATGAATCTGAAAAAACAATGACAATCCCGGATAAAAGTAAATGAAGTCTATGCAAACAGTGGCTTCAGGAAGGTCCAGAGATTGTCAACATAAATAGAAGTTAGGATTTCTTGGGCTATTCACTGTGTTTTCATTTGGTCACTAAGTAGAGCTGCCCTTGGAAAATTAAGTTTGATCTGGGACACAGTATCAGTAGTGGGCATCATCACGGACAAAAGATGTTCACATAAAAAAAGCATAAAGAATCATTTTAGACATTCAAAGTGGCAGAGGCAAAACAAAATCACCAATCAGAGAAGGAAAGTCAGTATGAGAAAGATATAATGGGAATCAAATTATTTTCTTGCCTCAGGAAGTTTTTAACATACCAGTATCACTCTCATTCTCTGTTAACAATTATAGTGTTATTTTAAAAAGTATCCAATTACTGATTAATCATGATTTTTTTAAAAAAACAATTCAATAAATAATAAGAATTTTTTTCCCATTTGAAATCAAGCACAAATTTGGGAAATAATATGACAATGTACGCTAAATATGTTCAGATAACATAAATGACATATACTTAAATATTAACAATCTAAAATGTGTATATTATTCAAGTTTATATACAGATACTGAATCCTGTGAAATTCTCAAGTCCCTATATGGTAAATATATATAGAATATTAGTGATGGCTAAATCTTTCTTGTAGCAATGAGTAAATCTTTAAACATTTAGAATAAAGCCATTTCATAATACTTCTGATGGCATAAGTTCCTAAGAGATCTACACTCCCATAAATAAAAAATGAATGAAAAAAAACTACCTAGATGTTCTAGAAAATGAACAAAAGCAAGCAGATTTTGGGAAAAAACCCCTCAAATACGGAAGACAGGACCAGCAAAGATTGACTTTGCCATTTTTAAAGATTTAGTCATAGGGCAGGGTGCAATTGCAGAGATCTATCATCTTTCTCATCTAGAAAACCACAGGATACAGCCCAAAGCCATGGGATAAGTGAAAGGAAAATCCCAATAAGAAAAGAGTCAGCAAAAACGAGCTCCAAAGTCGGTGTAAAAAACTCCTCAAGGTCTCAAGCTGACCCTTGAACCAAAAGAACACAGATAAAGAGGAAAATGTCAGTGAACTTGAAGACAGATTAATAACAATTATCCAATTGGTAGAAGAAAAGTATTGAAAGCAGCTCAAGAAAAACTACACTTTACATACAGGGAAACAATGATTCAAATGACTAAAAATATCTCATCAGAAACTATGGAGATCTGTACACAGCAGAAAATCTCTCTAAAGTGATAGGGGAAAAACATTAACATGAAAAAAATAACTTACATTAACTAGTCTTTCAAGGCTAGGGATAATTAGAGATGTTTCTCCTCCTTTAACATCAGGATCTTTCTGCATTTCCTTAATTGCTTGCAATATTTCTTTCATACCTTCTTCAAGTTGCTTATTTTCTTCAACTAATTCTTTTACTGTAATTACACAGTTTTCTCATTGGATGATCAGATCTTTTTCACAATTTACACTATGCTATACAGATGACAAATATTTCACATATACCAAAGACATCATTGGAAAAATCCAAATGTAAATAAACATACAAAAAAATTCAACTATAAATCCAACGTGAATAGTTGAGTTAAATGACAGACCTATTTATATCACGTGCATATACACACGTATATAAGGCATACTTCTGCCTTAACTTAAACTATGCTTTATATTAAAGTATTTTAAATTTGGTGTTCTAACTTCATTTTGATTGAAGAACACACAAGAAAAAGGAGTTATATATTCTCACAAAAAATTCATATTAGTAACATTCTCTCACAATGAAAACAGCAAGGCAAATCAACTGGATAGTGACAGACTGAAGTATATACAGTACAGAGGTAATTAGGAGTAAAGCAGATTAGAAAACAGAGAATGTGTTAACGCCCTTTTAGGCCCATGATTTTAAGTATAGGAAAAATAAGAACAGAAAAGTAAAAGATAATTGTAACTTACATTTATTCTGAAATTTGGCTATCACTGTCCTACTCCTTTCTAAATCTCTTTCTTTTTCAATTAGTTCTCTTGAAAGAAATTCATTCTGAAAAAAGCAGAGAGAATAAAATTGATTTTTTTCAACAAAATATCACAAGTCTATAATTTTCAAGTTAAGAAAAGTTTGATCAATTAAGTATAACAAAACAAAACAAAAAAAACGAGCTATGAAGACATAGCAGCAATCATAAAAATAAACTAAAATCTAAACAGTAAAGCAGATGGTGATCTTAATCCCACTTTCTCCCTCTCCCAACATCCATGGTAAGAGGCAAAAAGATATAACGGTTTTTGTCTTTAGTACCACAATCATCTCTTTTAATGTTCTGCCTTTACACTACCTGTTCTGCCTGGCTTCTGTGATGTTCAAGCTCTATATCTGCATTTCTACACTCTGCTTCTTTGATCAAGAATTCCTGTGCTATGATTTCATTCTAAAGAAAAATTTAATAAATTAGACAAGTCAATGAGTTCATATCAATGTACTGCATTTTAGATTTTAAAAAGTACAATGTGTATAACTGATGTTAAAGTGCAAACAAAAATATTCTAACTATAATTGTTACAGAACTTTGTTAGAGACGTCATAAAAGAACAACCACAGAAATATAATTTGGAGAAAAACTCACCTGAGATCTAAGAAATACTAGCTCTCTCCGTAACTGTTCTATAAGATTTTCAAGAGAATTTATCTGAGATAATTTTGATTGTGCAGTAATAGACACAGGGTCTGGAAGATTAACCTTAAGCTTATTTTTCAATATCTCTGTCTGTAAGGGTACTTCACTTTTTATTATATCTTCTTTCAAATTGATATCAGCATACTTTACTTGGGAATGAACCTGTTCTTCTTCTAATGTTGCTACTTGTGATTTATCCATGTCAGCTCTATTTTCATGAATTTGTTGACAAAATATTGCAGATTTTTGCCTAAGTGATAACTTCTGCATTATGTCTGAAGCTGTTGATAAGCCATGAAAAGATGAATTGCTTTTTTGTACAAAACTAGTCTTCTCTAGTGCTTGATGGCTTCTTGACACCTTCTTCATACAGTCATCAGAAAAAAGGCATATGTCATTTATTTCTTCATGGCTTTCCCTACTAAAGGTGCTGACTAACGATTCTAGATTTCTTGAAGACTGCAGACATGGTGCTTTAAAAATCTCTCTTATTGTAATAGTTTCTGGAGTTGAATTCTCTTTAACTTGCATGGATGAAGAAAGTCTAGTTAAAGGGACAAAAGGATGCATTCCACTTTCTACACTATGGTGAATTTCAGATAACATTCTTGATAATGATCCTATGGTCATATTCTCTTCTGTCTCATTCTGATCTGACTGTGGGGTATTGAATGATGATCTCCTATGCAGCAGCTCTGCTTTATCTGAACTCCTAATCTGTATTCAGAGTAAATAATGTCTCATTAATCAATCTTTGAATCAACAGGTTAAATAAGCAAATATTTCCCTCTACTTATTTAACAACAATAATAAGATTAGATGTTCAAGAATGAGATAAAGGGGGAAGAAATGAAAACACAATAAAAATATTTTCCTGGCCGGGCGCGGTGGCTCACGCCTGTAATCCCAGCACTTTGGGAGGCCGAGGCGGGCGGATCACGAGGTCAGAAGATCGAGACCATCCCGGCTAAAACGGTGAAACCCCGTCTCTACTAAAAATACAAAAAATTAGCCGGGCGTGGTGGCGGGCGCCTGTAGTCCCAGCTACTTGGGAGGCTGAGGCAGGAGAATGGCATGAACCCGGGAGGCGGAGCTTGCAGTGAGCCGAGATCGCGCCACTGCACTCCAGCCTGGGAGACAGAGCGAGACTCCGTCTCAAAAAAAAAAAAAAAAAAAAATATTTTCCTTTACTCTCTTTGCAATACTTTACTATTACCTTTGATTGTGCTTCACTCATATTTTTGAGGCTCAATAAATCCAATTTTCTTTCACTTATTCTATCTCCTTGAGAAATGTTTTCAGTTAGGTTCAGGTCCTCAGTGGTTAATCCTATATATAAGAGAATTAACAAACTAAAAACATTAAAATAACCCTCCTACTATTCCAACACTTTAATTCTTAAAACCTACAATCAAGTTTTAATGCAAAGGTAGAATAATTGTTTCCAAAATCCCTCCAAAATTCTACATAGCCAATACAAGCTTCTCATTTAGCTCACTTTTAATGAACTATTAATAATGTGAGAACCTAATTTTTGAATTTCATCTTCTCTACCATTCTTTGCCTATTCTATATTAAAGTGCTACTTAATAAGCACCAGTTAAAAGACATATAAAGTAAATATAAATGATGAGTAATGAGTAAACTGATTATTGTACTAATAAATCATGAAGTTTTTTCTTGAGAAAGTTTTGGATGTATTATAGAAATCATAATGCTAAAAAGAACCACTCTGCTATTACTCATATACGTGCTTGGGGATTTGGGGCAAGTGAAAAAGACAGTCCTTCTGTGTGGTCTTCTTACAAAAAAGCACTGCAATGGCTATTATAAAACTTAACCAACTGTTCTCTTTAGCTCAAGTAAAATAAACCCAAGAAAGATGTTAATTTATATTCAATAAAACATTACTTTCACTTAGAAAAGAATAATTTAAGGCCAGGCATGGTGGCTCACGCCTATAATTCCAGCACTTTGGGGAGCCAAAGTGGATGGATCACTTGAGGTCAGGAGTTCAAGACCAGCCTGGGCCAACATGGTGAAACCCTGTTTCTACTAAAAATACAAAAATAAGTCAGGCGTGGTGGCTCACGCCTGTAGTCTCAACTACTCAGGAGGCTGAAGCACAAGAATCACTAGAACCCGGGAGGCGGAGGTTGCAATGAGCAAGATCGCACCAGTGCACTCCAGCCTGGGCAATAGAACAAGACAGACTCCATCTCAAATATTAATAATAATAATAATAATAATAACTTACAAGAAAAGCTTTTCAATGCATAGTCCTTAAGGAAAGGGAAAATGTTGAGTAACATATATTAACATAAAAACTACTAAGTTTTATTATTATTAATAACAACATATTGGTGCTGTCTAGAAATTAAAATACTATACTATAAAACTTTTCAAAAATTCCATAATTCTAAGGTTTTTTTCTTTTTTGTTTGCTTGGTTTTTGTTATTTTGTTTTGTTTTGTTTTTGTCTATTTCAGATTCAGGACTGAACCCACTGACACTCACTTATCTCCTTCAGGTTATTATTGTCATTTATTAAATTTGTAGCAGATCCACAATAGAACAGCAAAAACAGCTAAGACACAAATAATTTCATATCCAGACAACTCACTTATCAATAATTCTTTTTAAAGGTTTAGAATAACTGAGTATACCTGAAGTTGCACTTCTTTTTCCTCTTTCTTGAGCCATTTGACGAATTTTTTTTTTCAGATCAAGTCGTTCTTCCTCTAGACTTTCAATCTGCAAAGTATAAATTATTAGTATTTCTCTATAGTTCAGCCAAGAAAATAATCAACTGACTACCACACTTGCCTCTTTCAAAAGAATCTGGTTTTCAGCTCTGTACTGCTGCTGTTTTAAGTGTTTGCTATTTCTAAATTCAGTTAAATCAATCATTGTCTTTGGTTCAAGGCCTACAATAGAAAGCAATATAATTAAAAACTTAAAAACATTCAAATAAGCTGCAAAAATGTCATATACCATCAAGCAACTGGTTATAATTCACTTAGCCAGTATCACTGAAGAATGAGGTAACTTTCTGTGAAAGAATTTTCCAGATATTTAAACTGTAACCCAAGTTAAAATTTTATCACAATTATTAATGGAAATCCTAACAAAAACCTAAATGAAATTATAAACCAAGATTTGGAGCTTTTTAAGCACAGAAAATATGATGTCTATGACAGCTACCTAGACGGGCCAGAAGTCATCTTTAGGAACTTCCAGATTCTTGGCTGTGATCTGATAGTCCAAGTTGATCAGAAGGCTGTGATCTGATAGTCCAAGTTGATCAGAAGTCTAATTTGGGGTCCTAGCACAACTACGGATCCAAGTTAGATACTTTTCACACATATATATCTGTATAAAATACTTATTTGTCTATTTGTCTTTTCTTTAGATAATAGTTTTTACAAATGATCATTTTTAACTAAGAAAGCATTAAATGAAATTTAGCAATAATGAAATTGATATTTAGATATTTATTTTCATTTTAAAGCAGCAACTTAGTCTGCACTATCATAACACTCAAATTAGTAATATTAACTAATAGGCTATTTATTAAAATAAATATATAAACTCTCAAGCTATATTACTAATTACTCCTTAAAATACTCGAACAAAGTAAAACGTAAGTAGTCTAAATTATAAAAATCAAGTACTTAAAAATCTTTAAAAGATTTTAACAGGCCAGGCGCGGTGGCTCATGCCTATTATCCCAGCACTTTGGGAGGCCAAGGCGGGTGGATCACTTAAGGTCAGGAGTTGGAGACCAGCCTAGCCAACATGGTGAAATCCCATCTCTACCAAAAATACAAAAATTAGCCGGGCATAGTGGTGCACACCTGTAATCCCAGCTACTCAGGAGGCAGAGGCAGGAGAATCACAACACAGAGCAAGAAGTTTAAATATCTCATCTGTTACAAGAGCATTTTGCAAACAAACATGGGTAATACAGACCCTACTTTTGTTGGGAAAAAAAAAGGTTAATCTCTGATATGTGGTATTAATAAACTTTCATCTTTTTAAACAAGCAGCTATTACTGAGGAGATGCTAGACCAAATAAAGCAATGTTCCAGCCCTGCCCACCCACCACTCCAACCCCATAAAATCTGATTCCACTTCAATCAGGTTAGCTCCACTTTTATTTGTATTAAATGTTTTATAAAAGCATTTGAAAAAAGCATTAAACTACTTAATAAATAATAATAAACAAAATTTAAATTAAAAAAAAAGACTTGTAAATCAGGTTGCGCAAACTATGTAACTTAAAACATGGCTTACCCACACGCTCTCTAAGTGCCTCATTTTCATCAAGGAAATCACTGATCTTCAATTCAAGTTTATTGATTTCCTTTGTTAATATTTCAATCTCTCGATCTCTTATTTTAATTTGGTTTTTACAATTCTTTATTTCAACGACAGCATCTTCTAAACCATATACTCCCTGAAAAATATCCAATTTAATTTAAAATATAACATGGTTTACTTGAATAAATTTATCAAGTTCATGATTTTTTTTTTACTAAGTCTAAAGGAAAATGTACATATGCCTATAATTTATATCATTACACTGGTTTTTTATTGTGCTTTTATAAACCAAATCCAGTAATAATAATGATGTAATATGCAACAGTTAAAACTTTCCAGTATAATATCCTAAAGGCAAAGTGACTCTGAATATGCATTACATATAAAAAACACTTACCAAAATACTAAAAGAATTAGTAAAAGCAAATCAGCAATACCAGTAGAATAAGTAAGTCATTAGTTGCTTGAATTAGTTGTAACCAATGAAAAAGTATAAAAAGTGGAGAGCAGGTTGTATTGACACAGTATGTTCCTGTCATAAATTCTGTCAAATTGGCCAGTGGTGTCACATCTACATGGTGGCCCAATGAACACAGATAATAAAAAAAAGTAATCCTGCTGCTTCACCAAAACTGATTATTTGGACAAATCACTGTGATCAAAAGTTTGAAAACAATTCTGGCAAAAAGTAAATGCTCAAAGGTTTCAATAGTTTAGTATAAATTAATGAGGATAATCTTTATCAAAAGATACTTATGGAATGTTTTTTAAATGGTATGCAGTAAATAGCACAGAATAGTCTGTGAATGGCAAGAATAATTCTAAGCTCCTTGAATGACAAGATAAAAATACATACCGATTCATAATCTTTTAACCTCTTCAGAGCCTCAACTAATTCTTTATCCTTTTCCCTAGCATCAGCCTCAGCCAGTTCAGCTGTTCTCTCAGCCTCTTTAGTTTTCTCTTTTAAAATGTCTAACGTTGACTGAATTTTCATATGAGTCTGTTGAGAAAGGGTTGAAGCACCTACAGAGTAAAAACAAAAATCATGAATTGAATTGACTACTTATTCCTTCAAATCAGTGATCCCAACATGGTGGCAAGAAAAGTGGTATGCCATTAAAAAAAAATCCTTTAAAGTTGTCATTTTATATTTGTAAGATGAAAGTTTTGTTTTGGTTTTACTAATACAATTTACTAAAAAACTGAAGTTCAGTAAAACCTTCTTAGCTGAAGGGGTATGGATTTTAAAAGGTTGCAAAATACTGCTTTACAAAAAATGATCATTGTGATACAGACTGCTAGCTGTTCCTAATATTTAACCTCCCTTTTGTCCACTGTACTAAAACTATGGATTTTTAGCTTGACACGTGGCCATTTGAAATAAAGAACTAAATTTCCACTTACACACAAGCAGCTATGTGTGGTCATGTCAGTAATGGAATATAAACGCAAAGTTCATATGTGAATTTCAAAAAAAAAAAAAAAAATGTTTTTAAAATAAAGGAGTAATCTCTCTTCTCTTTCCTCCTTCCTGCTAGCTGAAATCCACATGGATATGAGGGTGGCAACTTCACATGAGTTAGAAACCACATGTTGAGATAGGCACAGCAACAAGAGACAGGGTTCCTGATAGGGGATATTTGAGCATCTGTCACACAAATCCTGCCCTAGTTGCTTCAACTTTGTCTATATTATAGAGAAATAAATTTCTATCTTGTTTAAATTATTGTATTATGCTTGATTTTTCTGTCACTTGCAGCTAAATTTAATCCAAACTAAGCTAAAAACTTCCTAAATGCCTACTTGTAATATCTTACTAAATTGTTAAAAGACCAAAACATAATATTGCTATCATTCCAAAATTGATTGACAGATCATTCTCACACTCATTCATTATAAGCATTTACTAATATATAGGTTATATATTTAATATTGGACTTAGGCATAAAACTAGTACGTTTGAGATCACAAAAGTTTTTAAGAAATGAGCACAGCTGTCTGGAGCTAACATCTAAGCTGTGGAACATGACACAGGCTGAGTTGTCCCCCAGTATCTATTCTCCCTTCCATCCACATATCTATTCTCCTATCATTCTTCCACATGGCCCTACACAATAAACACTATATTTACCTGCCTATCCTTCAGCACATGCTTTTAACTCTTGCCCCTCTTCCTCTGTCTTGCTGTTTGGGACACAGACATGAGATAAAGCTGCATTCCATCCATTTTGGATGGGGCAGATGAAGGCAACACCCTGGAATGCTTAATTCTAGGCCATTACATAGATGAGAAATAAATGTCTATCTTGATTTTGCCATTATTCTTCAGCTCTCTGTTCCTGATAACTAAACCTAATCCTAATCTTATGAAGGAAGAATACCATTAGCCATTACGTTTTACAAGTTAAGTTCAAGATGTAGAGTACAGTCTAGTACACACACCTTCTGTGAGCTTTAGGGATTATATAACTACGGACTGACTAAAGTGTTATCAGATAAGTCCTTTTCCTTATTTGACAGCAGAGATCAATTGCCACTTTTTCTCCTAGTAATTAGAATACGCACAATCCATACTATTAGTCATCCTTTTAAAGCAGTTTAAACTACTTTCAAAGTGTTCTGATACAAATATAATAAACACATAAATAGAAATACATATATATATCGTGGGCTCTTGAAGTTACTCAACAGTCATACCACATTCTCCACGTCTTCAATCTTTCAGATGACCATTTTATACTTTCACTTCTCTTCTTTCTCCTCAAACTTATGAAACATCTTCTCCTATCCTCACCTTCAGCTAAGAACCTTGCTCCCTTGTTCACTGAGAAAAAAGCAGCAACCAGTTTAGAACTTCCACAAATTCCCATTACCAGGATGTCTACCAAGCCACCTACATCGATATCTATACACTCTACCTTCTTTTCTACAATTATGGATGAACTCTGTGTTCCTAGTTAAGGCCAACCTCTTCACTGGCACACTAGGATCCCATCCCATTGCATTCTTAAAAATATTATTGTTCCAGAAGTTCTCTCTCTCCACTTCATTGATTCATTAATGTTTCTTCTTTAATGGAGCTCTCCTATTAACCTAAAATCATGAGTTATTTCTTCCATCTTAAAGAGAAAAATGTTTTCTTAATCCCTCTTTCCCCTCAAGCTACCACCTTGTTTTCTCCTTCTCTTTATAGAAACAGTCCTGGAAAAGGGTTCCTATATTTCTTTATTACATTTCCTCTCTACCCATTTTCTCTTGAACCAAAAATGACCATTGCTAAGTCCAATAGTCAACTTTTAGTGATCATCTTGACCTATCAGCAGCAATGAACACAGCTCTGAAAGCAGTTGTTTCTTCTTCCTTGGTTACATTCCTCATGTGGTTTTCAGGGCTCTCCATACTCCTGCTTTTCCTCCTAGCTCTCTGGGCTTTCCTTTTCAGTCTCCTTTGGTAGCTCCTTTTTATCTCCCCAGCTGCTAAAGTAGAAGCTCTTTAGATTTTTCTTCTTAACCTACATTTACTCCCTTGGTGATCTTAGCCAGCCTCATTATTTCAATTACTTTTACAGAGACAGTTACCAAACATATCTTTAGCCTAGATTGTTGTCCTAAACCTTAAACTTTTATATACAAGTGCCTACTTAACACCTTCACTTGAATGTCTAATAAGCATCTCAAACCTAACATGTCTAAAATTAAGTACCTGATTATCTCTCAACCTGCTCTTCCCACAACCCCACCATGACCAAAACTTTTGGTTCAGACCAAGAGTTCTCTCTCTCTCACATCCTACATCTGATCTGTTAGCAAATTCCATTTTTATCACTTTCAAAATACATCCAGAACTGCTGCATCCAGTAACTCCACTGCTACCACCATGCCCCAAACCACCATCACTTTTCTCCAGATTATTGCAATAGTCTTCTAACAGGTCTCCCTGATTCTTATTTACCACTCCTACAGTCTACTGCAAACACAGCCTAAGTCAAATTATATCATTTCTATCTTCAGAAACTTTCCCCGGTGTCCCTTCTCACTTAAAAGCCAAGTCTGCACAATGAACTATAAGGCCCCATATGATATGGCCTCTGTTTACCTCTCTGGTCTTATCACTGCCTCACTTGCTGACTCTACTCCAGCCAAAAAGACTTCTTTGTTGTTCTCAGACATGATTGGTACACTCCTGCTTTACTGCCTTTGAACTTATTCCCACTGCTTAGAGCCATCTGCATGTTTCACTCCTTTACTTCCTTTAAGTATTGGTTCAATTATCTCCTGAGCAAGGCTTTTGCTTCATTTTTGAAATTACAACCGTACCTGCAAACACATCACTACACTTACACACACATATGTGCACGGAATCACTATTTCTTCTTCATGTCATATATACAAATATATATATATACACACACACATATGACATGTATATATATGTGTATATATGTATATATATATGACATGAAGAAGAAATAGTGATTCCATGCGCGTGTGTATAAATGTAGTGTATACATATATACATAGTCACCAATTATAATAAACATGTCCATGAATTTCCCATGAACAGTTCGCACTAGTGTGCCCTGGCATAACTATAGTATGTAGTGCTATGGAAATATAACAACACAGATATTGTAAGAACTTATATTCATAGAATTTGATGTGTTAAAAAAGGTAATATGGCTCAGGGTAAGGAGAATATGATGAAACATTAATTTGGGTAAGATTAATGTGAAATTACCTCTGAAAACTATCTGCAATGCTGTTACACTGGTCAAAATTTTATTATCTTCCATTCTTTGTTAATTATAAAAAGTTAAATAAAAATAATTGTATCACAATTTTTCATTTCTTTCATACCAGTGACCTGGTAATAAACGTTAATGTAATTTTCACCAGAGGAGAAAAATAATAGAAAATGCATCCATCATTTACAAATGTAAGCACTAGTAATATAAGTATAATAATAAATATCTTGTACAATTTTTTGAAAATATAAAATTCAAATGGAGAAAACTCAATATTGACTTGACATTTTATTTTAATAAAAATAAAGTCGTTAAAAACATAATTGTATATAAAATAACTATATATTTATAAAAATACCTTTGTTTCTTTGGAGCTCATTTTTCAAATCTTCAATAATACAAGTATTCTTTTCCATTTCTTTTGTATATTGTTCTACTTGTTCGGTGAGCATCTTAATTTGACTGTCTCGTTCCTGTATACCCTATAAAATATTTTAAAACAATATATATCCCTTCATGAATATTAACCTAAAAAGGTAAGGAAAAAAGTACGTCTGATTTTTTTCAACAAGACTGTAGAACATATTTTCTTGTGGGTACAAGTATGCCTTTTACCATTTTGTACACTTCAACTGTAATACACAATGATAGGTACACTGCTGTTACTCCAATACTGAAAGATGGATATAATGGCTAACACTCTGGAAAATAGGATTTCCAGAACTCCCTAATGTTTATGGCTTCTATACTTCCTTATATGTTACTTTCCTCATCCTCCATTCAATTCCACCTTTTTACCATTTTGTATGTTTCTGTTTTGCTCTGTGCTTTCTCTTTTATTCAACTTAGCTTTTTCCCCTTTCGTACTTTATTAAAAAATGTTGTCCCCTGTAATTGTTCTTATTCAGCATACACTTTTCAAATCATCTTCTTACTTGTGGACTATAACTACAGCACAAATAATAAAAGTATTACTTCCTTTTATTTGGGTTATTTTCACTAAAAATAAAATAGGTAGCACAGTCAAATTATAACCATGCTTTTAGCTTATTTCACATTGTATAGGGTATGTTAGGACTAAGATACAGTAAAATAAACCTTAAAAGAGTATAAAATTATTTTAAATTTCTAAAAGTTTTTAATCATTTCTTGTTAAATAATTTCTAACCAAAACAATGTGTGTACTATCCACATAAACATAGAAAAATAAACACAGTAACTCTAGTTCTAAGTCTAATCCGTGATCTAAACTTAATTCTAATTTTTTATTGGGACCAGGTGGTAGAAGAAATTTCAAAAGACATTATTATACACTTGGTAGTACCAGCCGCTACACTAGGCACTGATGATATAATAAATAAAAGACATCGTTCAGAGTTCCAACTGTAATAAAACTGGTTGATAAACAAAATTCTGTTAAGATTTTACCTGCTGTAGAGCCATAACATTACTTTTATCAGCATCAAGCTGAGCATTCTTAAGTTTCTCCCTTAGGTTATGTAACATTTGCTGATACTCAATAATTTCATCATCTTTAGAAGACAAAATTAGCTAGAAATAAACACAATAGAATCTGTTATGCAAAAGGAAAGTTAATAAAACATTCTTCATTATCATAAATAATAAACACCGTTAGTAGATTTATGATACAGAAAATAAAAATTATTTGAAATGAGAAAGTATGAGCAACTACTGGCATAATCTCTGTTCCTTTTGTATATACAACCTGAAATTCAAATAGAAAATGATTTTAAAATATATACCGAATTTTCTTTTTTTATAATTCAATCTTTAAAAATATTTCAACCTTTCAAAACTCATTTATAAACAAGAAGTACTTCCATACAACTGTGAAAAGTTTTATACAATTGATCTTTATGAAGTATGCATTAAAATGCAACCAAGAGGCATAAAATATCTTGAATGAATGAAAGAAAAGGTATCTTGTGTTCTTTAGCTAGAAGGACCAAATAACATAAAAAGGTTTATCCTAAATCAATCTATAAAACAATTTATAACTTTAACACATACCCAATAAAAATCCACAAGATATTTTTTAAGAACTGGACAAGCCAGTTCTATAATTCACATTAAAAATATTCATAAAGAAGTCTAAAAGCAGAAAAATAATAACGTTTTTAGATATTAAAACATACACAAATTAAAACAAGTATACACTGCTAGAAAATAGATCAATCAATTCAATAAAAGATGAAATAATCAATAAAAGATGTTTGGACAACAGAGTAGCTCTGTTGAATCCACATGATACTCCTTACATCAAAATGAATTATATGTTTCGAAGATTTAAATGTAAAAAAAGGCCAGGCAGAGTCACACCTGTAATTCCAGCACTTTGGGAGGCCCAGGCAGGAGGATCACTTGAGGCCAGGGGTTCAAGACCAGCCTGGCCAACACAGTGTGACCCCATGTCTACTAAAACTACAAAAATTAGCTGCGCATGGCGGCACATGCCTGTAATCCCAGCTACTCAGGAGGCTGAGGCACAAGAACCACCTGAACCCAGGAGGTGGCATTTGCAGTGAGCTGAGATTGTACCATTGCACTCCAGCCTAAGCAACTGAGTGAGACTCTGTCTCAAAAACAAAAACAAAAACAAAAACAAAACAAGATATTAGGAGAAAAGATGAGAAAACAAGTTTATACTCAGAAGCCTTTCTCATTATAACAAATGTCAAAAGTCATTAAAAAATAATAAATTTAACTAAGCATAAAAAGAAATATTTCACAGCAAAAAATGCCATAAAGCAAAAAAAGTGACAAACTGTTAGAATGTATTTGCAACATACATGACAATTACAACACTTGCAGCAATTTATTCCACAGATATACTTGTACATTTGCAAAATAACATATATAAGGATATTCATTAAAACAGTTTACAACCCCAAAATTGGAAACTTCATAAACTTCACAAATTATCAAATTAACACCTGTATAAAAAGAAAAATTACATAGCCTTTAAAAAGAACAGCAATACTATACGTACTGATATAAAATAATTATGAAATGGTATTAAGTCAAAACAAAGTACAGAATACATATAACATGTCACCATTTACCCTGCCAACATTCAATCTGGTAAAGACAACTGTTTTTTCCAGGGGTTGGTAGACTATGGCCCAAAGGTCAAATCTGGCCTCCCATCTGCTTTTGTAAATAAAATTTTACCGGAAAACCACCTTGCTCACTCATTTACGTATTGTCAATGGCTGCTTTCATGCTATAAGCAGAGTTTAGTTATAGCAGAGACCAGGTGGTCTAAAATATTCACTGTCTGGCCCTTTATATAAAGTTTATGGAGACATGACTGATTCTATAGGCCTTATTTCCATTGCTAATGCTTTTGTTTAAAATATAGGTTATCTGAGCTCCCTAGATGCTAACCAGTTCCAAACTGCCCACAAGATTTATGTGAACCATACTAGAAAGCAATGACTCTAGAAGTGATAGTTTTTAAAATTAGAATTATTCATTCAGAATAATCTCTGATGTTTTTCAAGTATACAACCATCATAATCCCAGCTTCTAATATGGTAAGGCCTGACAATTTGGTTAAGGTTGGAGAGTGGTGGTGAGGAAGAAAAGTGTATTTTGAAAAGGCTTCCCAAGTTATTCTGATCCCTTTGCTTATTCCCATTCCCACTGATGAACCTGACATTTAGTTAGAAAAACTAAAATTAAACCTGCAACTATTTAACTAATGTATATAAGGTAACTATGAGTTAAGTAAAAAAATTTAAATTATATTTCGAATTATATATTTTAGATGCCAAATATATTTTGGAGTTAGACTTCTATCAAAAAGTTTAAAGTTAAACTCATTGATGTGAAAGAGGTCATTCAATAACAAATTAGCTAGAGATCAAAAAGGACAGTTCTAGAGCTTTTCTAACCAATAAATAAAATAAACTTATGTTTAAAAACCCTAATAAACGTGTTATAAACCAGTATAAGACATTTAAAGAAAAATAAGACTAAAATTTAAATCTAAAATACAAAAAGAAAAAGTTATTATGTCAATTGAAAAAAAATACCTTCCATTCTTCTACTTTTGCATTGACAGCTACCATAATTGGATCATCTTCTTCATTTTTTGATTTCAGAAGATCTGTAAGCTCCTGCACCTAAAAGACAAAGTTATTTCAAGAGTTGTTGCAAACTGATGTAACATATATTTACACCTGTGCATATTTACATATACATTATATATATAAATATATCTACATACACACACATACGTATTCATACTTATATACACATACATACGGATACATTACATTACATATGTGTATTTATCATTGAAGTCATCCTGGAATTATAGGTGACATTTAATAGTTTCTGCATCTTATAATTGCATAATTATCTTTCATTACTAGAAAATTTTATTTTTAAACATTATTCTACCTTTTAAACAAATTTAATCCACATAAATACTGAACAATGTATTGGTTTCTAATACATTTATAATGTATTTATTTTAAGATAAAATGAAATGTTATGATCCACAGGATTTTCAGTAGTCTTTTATAGAAAACCCCATAATGACTGCTATCTACACATTCATTCAAGTATCATTTATATATCCTAAATTGCAAAAATTAGTGTTTGTGAGGTGATTGGAGAAACACATATGGACAAATATACCAACATGACAAGATATTACACTATTAAAAAGACAGACAAAAATTCACATCCTAGAAAAAGTACTTTCTAGTGTCAAATAAATAGTAATGAGATAATATGAAGTCTGAATAAATAAGTTATTCTAAAAGTAATTCTTACTTGAAGTTGATAATGATCGTTTTCTTTTTTTAACTGATCTATTACATTATCTGTCTGATGCACAATAGCTTTCATTCTATTATATTCATCAGTCATCTTCTCCATTTCCTGTACAGACTCTTCTAAATTTTTTCTCATTTCTTGATTCTGAACTTCAATTTTCTCATTAGCTTCTGTTAAAGTCTAAAAAAGTTAAAGACACTATAATTAAAAAGTAATTTTAAAAAAACTGAAATTTAAACCAAATTAAAATTAAACGCAGCCATAAGTGTCCTCTAGAAAAAAAGAGAATTCTTTATAGACCTTTACTAATTGGCATTGACCAATTAAATCAAATTGAATCAAGAAAATAGTACATAAGGACCTCAATTGTTCTTAATGACCAAGACAGGCAAATATAAAAATGGCTAAAAAGTTGCAACTTCAAAGATGTAATTTATTTCACATTTTACAAGTACATAGTGACAGATTTATACCAGGGAATTTACATGTAGGGCTAAATATTATATTTACATTGTAATGAAATTAAAGTTTTTAGGAACCATTGCTCTGAATTGACTTCTAGCCATTTTACCTGAATTTCATCAAGATATTGGATAAGCTCATAGTTTTTTTTAGACAACTGTGATCGGTAGTCACTGTCTTCCCCTCTTCTTGATAAAAGTGTTTCTTTCTGTGAATCTATTTGTTTCTGGTAGTCAATAATATCCTGACAAAGTTGTTCATTCTGAAGGTAACCAAACACAACATTCAATTACAAAACTATTCAGAATAACAAAATCATATCCTCTAAATAGTGCTCTCACAACATATTTTAAATTCCCAAGATTTCACCACACTTAAAGCCTCACCTTTTTCTTTAGACGTTTGTTCTACAGAAAAGGACAGGAAAACGGTAATTAGAAATGAGAAAGGTAATACATAATTAAAAATAATAATCAGAAACTAAAGAAAACAAAAAAATTTTGGGAAAATGATGCATATTATCTTGAATAACCAAAGAAAGAATACTAATTATCTACCAAAACAAATAATATTTCAATTATGTTAGAAACTTAAGAACTTCTATCAGAATAAACAATGTACAAACATTATTTGGCTCAGTAGAACCAAATGATAATCAGAATTTATAAGATTCCACAAGTAACAAAAAATTTTAAAGGATTCTGGGTAAGAGAAATAAGAATAGAAATCCAGTCATCTATTCAATTAGAAAACTAGCAAAGAATGGCTTATAAAACAACAAAAAAAGATTTACCCGCATAGACCTGAGATGAATGTAATACTTAATGGCCTCACATTTTGCTTTGTTTTCTATTTCCCTGAGACAAAGTCATACCATAAAATCAGTCTGAAAACATCAGTTACTTAGAAGACTCCAGTCCTGGTTAAAATATAAATTTATGTAAACTTAGGTACTTATTTTAATAAGTACCTTTGTTGAACCACCACAACTACTAAAATTTTTTACCTCTCTTCTTAATTTGCTGTTTTCATTTTCTGCCTCCTCATTTCGAAGAGCCAACTAAAATAGTAAAAAAAAAAAATAAATAAGAAGAAGATAAAATTCAGCAGTAATTTTTTTTTTTTTTGAGACAAAGTCTTTGTCGCCTAGGCTGGAGTACAGTGGTGCGATCTCGGCTCACTGCAACCTCTGCCTCCCGGTTCAAGCAATTCTCCCACCTCAGCCTACCGAGTAGCTGGAATTACTGGCATGCATTACCATAACTGGCTAATTTTTGTATTTTTAGTAGAGACGGGGTTTCACTGTGTTAGCCAGGCTGGTCTTGAACTCCTGGCCTCAAGTGATCCATCTGCCTCAACCTCCCAAAGTGCTAGGATTTCAGACATGAGCCACTGTGCCTGGCCATCAGCAGTAATTTAATATAAAGCCAGATATTCAGCTTATCTACTTAAATTTTAAATCCTCTCTAACAAAGTAGAAAATGTTAAAGCTATTAAGGATTTAATATCAACCTAACACATAAATAATAGGCCAAAATTTTCAAAACTTAAGGATTTAAGGATTAAACAGTTTCATTTTAAAGAATTAAAAAGAACACACACACAAACTAACCAAAGAATACAGAAACAAATTAATCTGCTCCTCCAAAAAAACCCCTAATAAAATGGTTTTCTGCCCAACATCTTTATTTTACTTTTCTAAGTCATAGCTAGACTATTATTTGCTCTCAGTGAACATAAATTACTTAGAAATATAAGGCAATACAACACAATGGTTAAAAGAAGCAATCTAAAATCACACCGGCCTAGGTTTATGTCCCTCATCAACCAATTTCTAGTAAAGCATGAATGAGTTACTTAACATCTCTTTAACTCAGTTTTCTCATACATGCTGACATAAGAGTTAAACAAGAAGCATACAGAGTTCTTAGAAAAATGATCAGTGAATAGAATAGCAAAAAGTAATACAGCATTCTCTTATCTACATATAAGTGACTTTATCTGTGATTCTTGTTTCTCTGAACAGGCAAACATTATTATAAACATTATGATGCCTTTTTTCACCTATTCTCCAAACCTCATTCCTCTTATGACCTTTCATTTTTCTGGTTCTCCTCTTTATTAAAGGAGACGATAGAATCACAATGGTATACAACGATATTTAAAAAGTCTATAATAAAGAACCAAATGTAGTATGTGATCCTTGACAGAACTTTGGATATTGGAGGTGGGGAGACTGAAGGATATTATTGGGCCATTAGAAGAAATCTCATTATGGACTAGATAATGGTGTTGAATCAATATTAAAATTCCTGAGCATGACAATTATATTGTGTTCATTGTAGGAGAACATCTTTCTTTTTCAAACAGACAAGCTGAAATATTTAAGTGCAAAGTATCATATCTGCAATTAGCTCTTAAATGACTCAGCAAAAAATGTGATTGAACAAACAAGAGACAGAGAAATACATGTGTGTGTAAAAATACTGACAAAAAGATAAAGCAAAGTTGGCACAACATTAAGAACTGGTGAATCTATATGAAGGGTATGTGGGTGGTTATTGTTTTTCTTTTTCCCATCAACTTTTAAGTTCTGGGGTACATGTGTAAGATGTGCAGGTTTGTTACTTAGGTAAATGTGTACAATGGTGGCTTGCTGCACAGATCAACCCATAACCTAGATATTAAGCCCAGCATCCATTAGCTATTCTTCCTGATGTTCTCCCACCCCGACCCCTTGACGGGTCCCAGTGTGTGTTGTTCCCCACCATGTGTCCATGTGTTCTCATTGTTCAGCTCCCACTTATAAGTGAGAACATGCAGTGTTTGGTTTTCTGTTCCTGTGTGAGTTTGCTGAGGATAATGGCTTCCACCTCCATCCCATGTCCCTGCAAAGGACATGATCTTGTTCCGGTTTTTTTTTTTTTTTTTTTTTGAGACAAACTCTAGTTTTGTTGCTAAGGCTAGAGTCCAGTGGTGCGATCTCAGCTCACTGCAACCTCTGCCTTCTGGGTTCAAGTCATTCTCCTGCCTCAGCCTCCCAAGTAGCTGGGACTGCAGGCATACAGTACCATGACCAGTTAATTTTTGTTTGTTTTGTTTTGTTTTTGTAGAGATGGGGTTTCACCATACTGGCCAGGCTGGTCTTGAACTCCTGACCTCAAGTGATCTGCCTGCCTCGGCCTCCCAAAGTGCTGGGACTGTAGGCATGAGTCACCACGCTTGACCTCTCATTCTCTTTTGATGGCTGCATAGTATTCTATGATGTATATGTTCCACATTTTCATTATCCAGTCTATCATTGATGAGCATTTGGGTTGATTCCATGTCTTTGCTATTGTGAATAGTGCTGCAATGAACATATGTGTGCAAGTATCTTTATAAGAAAATGATTTATATTCTTTTGGGTATATACCCAGTAATGGGATTGCTGGGTCAAGTGGTATTTCTGCTTCTAGATCTTCGAGGAATTGCCACACTGTCTCCCACAATGGTTGAACTAATTTACATTAACACCAACAGTGTGTTTCTTACAATCTTTATGAAGATATGACATTTTTCAAAATAAAAATTTAAAGAAAGTTTATAATAAAATGCAAACTACAATACAAATTTTAGAAGTTTGCCTATCATTATTATTATCAATTGAAAGTTAATAATCCCACTGTGTTCTGAATTGGGAAATTTTTACAAGAAGAGAAGCCAAGAACTTAATGCTAAAGCATTTAATGCTATTAATGTTTTTTTCCCTTGTCTTCTCAAACATCACACTCTGTTTCTCCTTTCTTGAGCTTTTCCTTGAAGCACTCTTCCTATTTCATTGCTTTATTAGACATTTCTCAGAGACGTGCCTTACAATCACTTCTCTGGCTTCAATAATGTCTACATTGATGATTCATAAATCCTCATCATCTGTACAGGGTCTCTTGTGAATTCCATATCCACAGATACCCTTTTTGAATATGCCCAGAAGAACCTCAAACTCAACATCTACAAAACTGAAATAATCTCAAGCTTTCCAAATTCCTCTTGTGTTCCTCCTTAATGAATGGCACTATCTACCTATTTAGTGGCCCAACCCACAAAATTAGGCAGACTCTCCATCCTCCCTCTCCTCCAACAACCAATTACATTCACCACATCCAATTACATCTACTTCTCTCACACTTGTCTTTCTCAGGCAAATGCCATCATTAGCACTTCCCTGAATTAACACAAATGTTTCCTTACTAGTCTTGGCCCTTTTCAATCCACTCTCTACAAAGTACAGTAAACTTTTAAAGTATAGATCTGATCATGATATCCTGTGCTCAAAACTCTTCACTGGCTCCTTTCAGGAAAAGAACCAAATTCATTAGGAACTGGCCCTTGCTTATCTCTCCAGAGGATCATAAAAAATAAAACTGGGAAGGCAAGATAGCACAGACTCTTGAGTAAGACTGTTTTCAAATCCTACCTTTACCATTTATAAGCTGTGCAACCATGGGCAATTACTCTTTCTGTGTCTCCATTTCTTCATCTGTATCATGGCAGAAATGACAACTATCTCATATGACAAGTATCAAATAAGCAATAATGAATTAATGCATATGAAGTGCCTGGCACATAGTAAGGACTCTATGAAAGCTATTTTCACTTATATTTCAGTCAAAATGAATAACTGTAGTTTCCTAAATACTCCATAACATCTCTTACCTCTAGGTCTTAGCAAATGCTATATCTTCTACCCAGAATGTTCTTTTATTAACCACCATATATATCCTCATTCCTCTTACCAGTCTAACTATACTTCAGGTCTCAGTTTACAGATCACATCCTGCACCTCAAGGCTGATTACGGTATCTCTCTCCAGAGTATGCCAGAATATGACCTTATGTATCTCCCTAAGTATCATATTATCACTATGTTATGCTTATTATTGACTATGAATATTCTTGAGAACCAGAACATAGTTGCCCACTATATCACTAGTAACTAGCAGCCTCTGGTATGCTGTAAAGACTCAATAAAACTGAATGACTGGTTAACGGCAAAGAAGTAATTGCCAAAGCAACCCATACCCATATTTCATCTCAAGGAATTGAGCAGCCAAAAAGGAACACAGGCCATATATTCAAGTTTTCTCTGTGTGTGACTATGAAAAAAGACAATAGTCTAAGATATAAATGGACAAGGTAGTTCTGATTAGCTAAGGGTGTGTGGTATGAATGATAAGTCAACTGATACAGGTCTATATAGAAGAACAAAAGTCCAGAAAACCACAGACATCCCCCTAAGCAATTCTACCAGTGTATATTATAAGTTAGATCCTTGATGACTATTAAAAAATCCACATGTCTGCTATGTTTTGCAGTTAGCTAAACAGATAATGCTCTAAGAGCTTCTTCCTAACATTTAAGTGGCATCGATCCATACTTTCTCTACCACATTGTTTTCATAGCTAACTTCTATATGATTCTTCAACATTTTAGAGTAAAATACATACATGAAGAATGGGGATACTTTTCCTTACAAATCAATTTATGATACATTCTCTTAAATAGCATATCATTGTTTTCTTAAAATGTATGACCCTCAATTTCTGAGAGAACAATGGACAAAATAAAATAAATGGAATATAACACAACAATGACCTAAAGGACACAAAGGTGGAAAACGTTTCTGAGTATAAGGGACAGGACAGTTACCACATGTAGGCACCAAATTTTACTAAGTTTACTAACAGTTCAGGTGAAATAAAAAACAAATAAATGTTAAGTAAATAAATAAATAATACATTAAATAGGAAGCTGAGGTAAAATAGGAAATTTTCTTCCAGGAAATACAAGTTGATCTGCAAAAAACTTTTTTCCTAAAACTAAATTCAAGTGAACACTGCAAGAATTATTAGTTTATAACAAGGAATAACGAGGTAATAAAAACTATGCATTAAAAATGTTATTTTAAATATGTGATTTATAAACTGCTGACATGAACACAACTTTTCAAAAACTATACATATATATATATATCTCACATAAAATAAGGTACAACCAAAAACAAGATATTTAATTAACCATTATTGAATATATCGAAAGATTCATTTGCGAATCTACTAATCATATAAATACATTGAAATGAACAAATATAACTTTTACCCAAAATAAACTATGGCACTAGAAAGATCACTTCTTTATGAAAATCTATTAGTTACTTGATACCAATCTTCCAGACAAAAGCATTAATTTTAGGTAACAAGTTTGATGTCCTGAGAAAAATGTACTTCCAAATATAAAGAATTAATCTTCAAGTCATATTCACTAGAAGTACCATTATATTTTAAAATTGGTGATGACAAAATGAACAGTGATATAAAACCTTAGAGATAAGTGTACATCATTTTTCAAATATAACATACAATATAAAAATTGATATTGTTACCAATAATAATAAAAAGCCAGGTAACTTGAACAGTGAAGATTCATGGAAAAAAAAAGTGCTTTACTTGCTCATTAACTTTCTTCTCTTTCTCCAACTCCTTTTCCATGTCCTCCAATTCTCTATCTTTTTGTTCTAATTGTTTTTCAAGTTGGCAAATTTCATTACGTAAAAACCGAGTATCTCGTCCACCTGCAGACTGCTGAGCCATCTTAAAGTAATAAACCCAAAGTATAAATTAATCCCATTATATTTTGAGGTTCAAATGAGTCAACAACAAGCAAATAATTATGCTGAATTTAAATTTGCATTATACTTCAGTGCAGATATTTAAAATCATATTAGCTTAAGAACTTTTTTTTTTTTAATTTAACTTACTTAAGGTTAGTTCACAGCTAATAACTCCTTAAATTTTTCCTGAGCCACCCAGAGATGCAAAGAATTGACTGTTAATCATTCTGTTGTAACCACTGGGCCACAGGTAACCAGACTAAACTGCAAAGGTTCCTGAGCCTCAGGGATCTGGAACCTGAGTACAAACCATCAGAATCTCCACCCCAGTCAGTGAAGCTGAGTGCCTTAACCTGCCCTTTCTCTCATACCATGCACTGTTTAGACCAGTGCTGTCCCATAGGACTTTCTAGCATAATGGACATGCTGTCAGTGCTGTCCAGTTCAATAGCCACTCGCTACATGTAGCTATGTTCGGGCATTTGAAGTGTGGCTAGTGCAACTGAAGAACTAAATTTTTCATTTTAATTTTAACCAATGTAAATATAAATAGCTACAAGTGGTTAGTGCTAGTGCTACCATATTAAACAGCTCAGGTTTTGGTTATCTTAAGATTTGTAGCCGATTAAATCCATTTTACCTCACAGTCTTGTTAATTCAGGTCATGGCCAAGAACATCAAATCATTTGGTCATCTAATGTGTCTCACATTCATTTCTTCACCTTATAGTTCTGTTATTCCTCTACCTTAACCAAATTGTTCTTACTCTTTCTCTCCTCCAAAAAGCATTCCATTGTGCTCTCTAAAATTCTCTTCCAAGATAAATTAATATTTCACATCCTCAGATTCTTTACTGAATCCTCCTTTCCATCTCCTTGGCTTAGCTGCAATTTGGATCCTTTAGTATACTAATGCCCTTGGAACTCTTTCAATTGGAAGGTGCTCATTCTTTCAGATTCCAAATACATGAGGGTCAGAAGAAGGTGTTGGTGCTTCTAGGTTTACCCCACCCTGCAACTTCAGGTGATCATTCCTATCATTCCTCCATCATCCTATAGAAACTTCAGCTGCTTTCTCACAAAATATCCTGCTCTCCATCTTTACCTACTCATGGTAGAAACAAGCCACCAACCTTCCAGTAACTCCGCAAAATGCACTGGGAATTTAAGCATGTGGCCCACAGATGTCTATCAAATGCCCACTAAGCAATCTCCACATAACTTTTGTTCTAGTCTATTTTTTTCTTGAATTCACTATAGTCTCTCACTCCCACACCCACATCAGATCCTTGTCCAACCAGAACATTCTTTCAATTATTCCCACTATGCCTGTCCTTCGACCTCACAGGACACTCTAACCCCTCATCTTCTCCCTCCATATCCCTACCCTTCTGCCCACCCAACCCCAATCTTGATTTTATCTATTCAGTTAAGACTTCATAATCATCACTTCAACCACTTTCCTACCAATATCTTCAACTGTGCTACCCTTCTATTCTACAGCAGCTACCTAGCTAAACACTAACACAGAACTGATCCAACTCCATAATTCATTTAGTATTTATTGAAAGTGCTTGGCATTTTCCCAGGAGCTGGATATACAATCAAAAACAATAGGTCATCCAAGTTCAGAGAGTTAACGAGTAGAAGAATCAGGACTAGAACTCAAATCTGTCTGACTCCAGATCCCCAACTCTCCAGTCCTGTCTCCAATATATTTCAAATTTTACCTAATTTCCTTAAAATGTGACCACACCATTTCCCACTCTTTTTAACAGAAGATGTCATCACCAACCCCTCAACTTCCAAGCATTATGCCTACAAACATAAAAGCCTCTATACACATCCACTCTTCCCACGCTCATCCACTCATCCTCCTCTCCTAACACAAAGGAAAAGGGTATTCCTCCTTTCAAAGGCTGATCCATTTGTATCACATTCCTACCTTCTCAGGAATCTCAATGTATTTTGTTCTTCAACAATACATTCATATTTTAGCCTTCAGCTTTGTCAAAAATTACTTCTATAACACCCTTTCGTCACTATTCCTCAAATCCCCACCCACCCTCCACCTCAGTTACTAGTAATCTTTCTGTATATTTCCCAAGACTATAAGCTCCATCCAGCAGTTAACTTCTTATTTTGTTCACAACCATATGCTCAGTCCTTAGTACTATATAAGGCACATAATAGGCATGTAGAACATATACAGAATAAACAAATAACCATGATTACAATCATCCTTATAATTTTTCCAGCCAACAATAATTTTAAAATTTGAAAACAATTCAAAATAAAATTAATGACAATTACATCCTAGGGAATACAAAAAGACATACCTCCAGTTCATTTTCCAGTTTCATTACTTTAGTTTTTAATTGATTTTCTATTTTTTTAAAAAAAAAGAAAAACGTTTTAATTGATTAGTTACCACAAAACAAACTTTTAAATAAATTTCAATAACAAAATTAATTCTTTTAAAAGAGTCCATCATGATTATAAGGTAACAAAAAGTATTATATGGCAGATCCATAAAATAGGAGTCTAGAAATATTTATTATTAAATGTTATATATTAAAAATAAACTGAATATATATATTTTATAGAATATAATTTAATTTTCTACAGTTTAATGAACAAATGGAATTCATTATTTAATACCATAATAAACTTTTTCCAAGGTGCTTACCAAATTTTGCTTGTTCTTCTCCAGCTTTTTCTACTTCTTCCAAAGCCAGCTCCACTTCTTGAGCTTTCATCTAAACATTAAAAAAAGGTTATTTCAATATGCCTTTATACTGGAATGTAAGCACTGAAAATAAAAATTCTGTTTTATTTGTTATGATCCTTAGTGCCAGCAATGGCTGGCACATGGAGACGTTCAGTAAATATTTGCTGAATAAATAGTTTTTGGTTTTTGTTTTTGTTTTTTTTGCTTTTGAGATAGGGCCTCACTTTGTCACCCAGGCTGGAGTGCAGTGGCACAATCTCAGCTCACTGCAACCTCCTGCCTCCTGGGCTCAAGCAATCTTCCCATCTCAGTCTCCTGAGTAGCTGGGACTACAGGTGCATGCCATCATGCTTGGCGTGCCATCATGCTTGGTGTGCCATCATGCTCGGCAAATTTTTTCGTACAGGCAAGGACTCACTATATTATCCAGGCTAGTCTTGAACTCCCAGGCTCAAGCAATCCTCCTGCCTTGGCCTCCCAAAGTGCTGGGATTACAGACGTGAGCCACCATGCCAGGCAATTTTCTTACTTAAGACTACAATTTCTAGATTTTTAATAGCATGAAACATTTTTGATTCTCCTTTTTACCTCAAGTCCTCAAGTCTTATATCCAGTAATGCAACATCTCCCTTTGTAATGTCTTTCCACTACTTTTTTTCTGTTCCAATTGCTATTATTCTAATCCATAATTTCAGGTTTAAACTCCGCTATAATGTGATGTCTACAAAGCTCCAATTTCCTTCAGTTTGTCCTACATAATATACTCAGTTTTGCCTTCTTAAGGTGTATTTTTGTACCTATCAATTGTGTTTCGAAAACCTTTACTGCCTTCTCAATTGCTGATAGCATAAAATACACCTTTAAGGCCCTCAACAACCTATCTCAAAGTACTTACCCAAGATTTGTTTTCTCTACAGTCTGCTACAAACTTGCTGCACCTTGTTTCCTCAAATATAAAGAATAAACATATTTCCTGTTCTCAGTATTTATTTATGGTAACCAACAGCTCTAGAATTCCCTTACTATCTTACCACTGCATTGCCTTCCACTTATCTAACACTACTCCTCAGTATTGATCCTTTGTGAAGTCTTCTGACATCTCTTAAATCATTTCCCCTCTTAACAAATCCCTATAGCAGTCATTGTCTGCATTTGTCATTTGGACCTCAAGATATATTTCCTTATGTTACTTTTCAACATACTCATTCTATTTCCCCTACACACCCTTTTAGAAACTTTAAGTAGAAACTAGCAATGTTTTATACACTAAAATACTTAATTCACATTTAAATATATTGCATTTTTTAGTGGTGATGTAGATATTACCAGGTATTTTCACAAAGATTACCTTATATAAGAACAGATTTTTATAGTTCCACTAATAGCCAAACCTATAGTTAAAACCTACTACATACAAACCTTCATTAGTGACTGAGTAATTCTGAAAAGGTGTATCACATTTTCTTGCTTTTCACTTTTTAGCTCATTTACTTCCACCTAAGTAAACAGAAAAGCAACTGTTTTATATTTTATAACCTTCAAGCAAAATATAAGAACACTTCCAGATTGTGACAATTATAGTTGTCCCTGAAAAAAATAAATTCATATTTTATTAATAAATTAATCATAAGTTAATGTATATATCTATTATTATTGACCAATTAAGCACCTTGGATAAGGAAATCAATAAATTATCTGCCAGTTCTTCTTGACGGGGCAGGTCATCTGGGTCAACTTTCATTATTTCTTTCCAGTTTATATTAGGTGGCATCTTGAATTCTTTCACTGTGCTCCACCTCTGTAACAAAACAGGTGTATATTAGCATTTTCAAGGTACACAGTATTATTGGTTTTCTAGCACCTTACATTTTTTGCAGATTATTTCATTATAACTTTCTGATGTTAGCAAAACAGACAATTGGGCCACAAAATAGACAAGTGGGCAAAATAGCCTTGATCAAAAATAGCAGTCGGCACAAACTGTCAGAGTGTCCCGGCTAAATAAAATGTGACGGCTTCCTTGCTAACACTAATCTAAGTTAATACTTAAGATTTCTGGATCCCTTCCTCCACACCCCTACCCACAATGCGCGCGAACACCCTAATCCTGGCAAGCGCGAGGGTCTGTGGAAGGCCGACAATCATCCCTGATTTGGAGAAACAGAATTGGGGCTGAAAAAAAACGCAGAAATTAACATTTGGAATGAGTGAAGTTGTGCGGCGGAAACTGGAACCGAAGCAAGGCAGTATTAGGGACCCGAGGCTGGAAGGGCGGGGTAGCTATGCTGTGGCACACGGGCCCTCAGGCTAAAGAACCTGAGCGTGGAGTGACTCGCTAATCCTGCTTACAAGGATCCACCCACCTAGACCAAGCCTGGCAACCAGCGGAGGCCTCTCACTACCGCAACCACCAAGCTGGACCCGGCCGCGGGCCCTGACAGATCCCTATCGCGGTTCCACGCGGACTCTGGGTCCAGCCAAATGGTCCCGAGCAAGCCAAAGCGGCAGCGGCTGCTAGGCGACACCATCCCCAACTCCGCCAAGGCCAGAATAAGATCCCGGATGCCAGGAGAGCCTACAGTTCACGACCGTGGGTGATGCTTTACGTTTAGATTCTCCGCCGGAGTCCCAGAGCTCGGTGTTCAGGATGATGAGAAGGCGTGGAACGAGGACTTCAAATCCCAGAGTGCAGTTCTGCCTGAGGCTTCTGCATGCTGGGAACTGAAGTCCCTGAGAAGAGGAGGTAAGGCGCTCCCGGCATGCAACGCGTAAGACTGCGACGGTACCGGGGCGGCGGGGAAGGACCGAGAGGCGGGAGGAGCAGCGGCTCAGGCGCCTGCAAACTGGTGGCCTGAACGAGGTAGACCATGACTGTGGTTTCAGTGGCGTCACTCGCTGGGCTGCTCTTCCTGAGGTTTTCCTAAGCCATCCCCTGGCGGAACCGCCCCCAGGTGAGGTCGAGCTGTCGGTCAGCATATTGGGAGGAATTGAGGGGAGCAGTCCTGGGTTAGAGAAGCTTCTGCTATTGGGGCCGTAGGGCCTGGTCCCATTCTGAAAAAGTGGGAACACCCTGCCTTCTCTTCAGGCGTTTGCAAGCGGCGTCCAGGGTAGTGCCTTCTGTAAGAAGGAAAAAACAAAAAGTTTTAGCCTTGTTTAGTATCAGAATCTGTCTTGATAGTTAGAGTGAGAGCCGCGCAGCCGTGATCCTCGTTTGGGGGCGAGCGAAGAATTGACAAGAGGTCTCGGCATCCCGACCCCGCCCGCCTTACCTGTAGCACCATTCCTTTCGCGGATCGTGGGGCTTGATGGTTGTGGAGCTAGTATAAAGTCAAGGCTCTAGAGAGGAGAGGTTAGTACTTGTCCGGACCACTGCCGGGGGTGGAGAGAGAAGGGATCCAAGGACTCACCTGTACTATTGTTGCCACTTGCTTGGTTACCTAGGGTGCCCTTCCATGAAAGCGCCTTCTCTGGTGTTTACCACTCTTACTCGTGCAAGTTTTGCTCATCCTGCTCGTCTGCTCACAATCATGCTGGAGTATGATACATCTCTACCTAACTTTCCTAAGAAGCTGTAGACTTAAATCTAAATGACATTTCCAACTATCTGGACCAGTGCTTTGTCTTTTTTTTTTTTTAAACGCTGCTTTAAAAAAAAAATTACTGTACTTGACAGTAAATTTTCCTTTCGAAAATAAGTAATGAGTTTCTTTTTAAACCCCCAATTTGGGTAAAATAAGTAGCTCAGTACAAAATAAAAAGATACTGATTTTGTGAGATGAATTTTAAAGACATTAGTTAGATTTATAGGAATGACAATTTTACTACTTTTCTGAAAGATTATATGCCAAATACTATTCATTATCTTGTTTATTCTTCCTTACAATCCAGTGAAATAGGTGCTTACATTGTCCTCATTTTCCATCTGAGTTAAGAAACTGAGGCTTGGAGAAGCTAAGTAACTTAAATAGTGTGATTGAACACAGATCTCTCTGGCTGGAGGACATATTCTTAACTTCTATACACCTCCTCAGACATTCTGGGAAACCAATATTTGTGAAGTGCTTGTTCCTCAATCTTGCTATTTTTATTAAATGTTATATTTTAATTTTGTAAGTGTTTACTCAATAATTTGAATTAAACATTCTTCATGTTCAGTGTTCTTAATTCATAATTTAACATGGGATGGTGTTTCTGGAAAGGTGTTCTGATCTGGACCCCAGGAGAGGGCTCCTGGATCTCGCCAAGAAAGAATTGGAGGTGCATACACCCCCATTGGAGGTGGTAGACTAAGGATTGTTATAGTTATTTCTTGATTATATGCTAAACAAGGGGTGGGTTATTCATGAGTTTTCTGGGAAGAGGGTAGGCCATTCCTAGATCTGAGTGTTCCTCCCCTTTTTAGACTATATAGAGTAACTTCTTCACATTGCCATGGCATCTGTAAACTGTCATAGCACTGGTGGGAGTGTCTTTTAGGATGCTAATGCATTATAATTAGTGTATAATGAGCAGTGAGAACGAGCAGACGTCCCACCTTTCTCGCCATCTTGGATTTGGTGGGATTTGGCTGGCTTCTTTACTGCATGCTGTTTTATCAGCAAAGTCTTTATGATCAGTATCTTGTGCCCACCTCCTATCTCATCCTGTGACTTAGAATGACTGACAGACATCCTGAGAATGCAGCCCAGTAGGTCTCACCCTTATTTTACCCAGCCCCTATTCAAGATGGAGTTGTTGTGATTCAAATACCTCTGACAATGGTAGGAATGAAATTTAATAGTTACTGAGCACATGTTATGTCATACACTATGCTGACTACTGCGTGTTTGTTTTCATAATAGAAGTCTGTTTTCTCTAACACCTTTTCTTCTGTTTTTTTTTTCATTCGTTATAACTTATTTTTATGTATTCACTTACAAGTTTCGTTTGTCTGTATTACTCTTTTCTACCCTTCTGCCACCACCCTCTTGCTCACATTCATAAACTCAAGGTGCCTGGTCTCTAATGGTAAATTTTATTCTAATTTTTCAGAAGTGAGAACAAGTTCATAGAAGTTAAGTAATAATTGATGAAGCTAAGATTGTAACCTAGATCTCAGTGACAATTGTAACTAAAAGCAAAATCTTACCTAAATTTTATTCTTTAACTCATTCTAACAGTATTTTTTATCCTGTTTCCTGTGCTAGGCACTGGGGATACAGCAGTGAACAAGTCAGCTCTGGCTTGAACAAGTCAACTAAGTTTTTATGCATTGTCGTCTGTACCTAAGTGTGAGTCAGGAAATTTAACTCAGGTTCTAGTTCAATAACTCACTGTATATTTTTGAGGAAAATTGGCAAAACTATTATTTTTCGTCAGATTTTCTGCACCTGTCAGTTTTCATCAAGAAATGGGACTTATGTGACAATGTTGTAAGTGGCCTTGTTATAAGAACACTTGTCTGGACCTGCCTTCTTTCTGCCCTAGGCTTTTGTGAACAGTTTTATCTGACCAAAATCACTTCACAAGAAGGCCTCACCTTTTATTATTGCTTACCTTTGTTCTCTGTAGCAATGAATTTATATTCCTTGGATGTTACTTCTAGTTCCTTTTTGCTGACTTACCAAGAAAAGTCATAGTAGCTTACTTCTCCGATCTCTAAAACAAAGCATGGCCATTTTGTATCCATTGTGTGTCCTAAACATTTTGTTTTGCCTTATCTTCATGGCAAATTAAGCCATGGTTAATGGCTTAATTCACACTGACTCCCTACTGATCTTTCCAGTTTCCTCATGTTGAAGGAAGACAAGTATCTGCTTGCTGCACACTCATTCTTGTCCATGAAATTAAGGCAAAACAATTTGCCTTAATACAATTTACAGTTTTATTGAAGGGATTGTATTTAGTTTTGTATATCTATAATGTAGCTCATGAGAAGTCTTTGTGAACCAAAAAGTGTCTAAGACGGGTCTCAATCAATTTAGAAGTTTATTTTGCCAAGGTTAGGGACATGCCGAAAAGAAATAAACACTGAATCACAGAAACAGTCTGTAGTCTCTTCCTTTCTCTAAGATGATTTTGAGGGCTTCAGTATTTAAAGGGGAAAAATCCATTGGAAGAGAAAAAGGGTAGATATGGTAATCTATGTGTTGCAAGAGAAAAAGAGCAGAGAGGGAAATAGATATTATGTATTCACGTGGGGTGGTAAATCAGCACTTTACGTGAGATAAGATGAATGTCCTAAAGTAGCTACCTGTGGAGATATTTAACATTTGATGTGTAGCTGTCTGCTAAGAACAAAAGGAGAGCAGTTTCTTGCATGACTCAGCTTTCACCCTAATTTTTTCTTATAGACATAATGAATTGAGATCCCAAGTTTTATTTTCCTTTCACATTTCCAATTGCACTTGGATTTTGTGCACATATATAGTAACACCCCATTTTTGTAAGCAAACAGAAATCAGTCATCCCATCCACTTAAACTGCATCTGTAAGTCTGCTTCTGTGCCTAGGAAAAATTAGAAGTTCTCACAACTAACAAGAATAGTGTGTTACATGTTTGCAATAATGGCCCCCAGTGAGTCAGGTCCCCGTCTGCCTATGCCTTTGTGTAAATCTGTCCCTTCCCTGCAACCTCTACTTTGCAGGTGGCTCTTGGAAGTAACCTAAGATGACTCCACAACTGAGCTCGTAACATGCTCTCTCTCCCTTTCTCTCATACTATGCTCCCTTGGGGAATCTTAAAAATTCTGTTATCTTGGCCCTTTTATAACTTCTTCCCCATTGATTCAGGATGTACCTTGCTTGAATAATAATTTTTAAAATACGCACTAAATAGAGCCTTATAAAGAGCTTGTGCATTGAACCTTGCCCTCCTGTTGTCCTGAGATCATCATTTAAGAAGCCTAAGATAACCTATTAGAGGATGTGTTAATAAGTAGCAGAGACTAGTTTTCAAAGCTGAGAAATCTACCCTTTAAAAGCCATCCAGCCCTAATCAAGCCACTGGATAACTATAAGCACATGAGTGACCCCAGGCACAACTAACAGAAGAACCATATACATACCTATATATTTGTGTGTGTGTGTGTGTGTGTATATATATATATACATATATATGTATATATATGTAAAATAAAGATATATTGAAGAATTGAATTATTTTGAATGTATTCATTTTTAAGTACTTCAGATGCCTAACTTAACAAAGAAAACTTTCTCAGTACTTAAATAACTGATTAAATTTAGGAAATAAAACTTGAAACTATAGCAAATCCCAAGTTCTTATAAAAATTCCAATACTATTTGTGTATTTAGCTAATTATTATACTTTTCAACTATAGTTGTGAATCCAGAAACTACATAGTCAGTAGTTTAATATGTTTATTATGTTTAATATGTTTATTATACGTATTATTGTATATTTTAAAATTATAGTTATGCAGCTAATATATCAAAGTCTCCAGGATGTCAGATTCTCTTAAAGGTTGCAGTTACTCTAAAAAATCAGATGCATAATTTAATATTGTTTATTATGCATATTATTGTATATTTTTATATATTTTTAAATTATTTAATTTATTTTAAATTATTTAATTTAACAATAATTTAACAGCTAATGTATCAAGTCTCCAGGATGTTAGATTCTCTTAAACATTGCAAGTACTCTAAAAATTAGATACATAAGTTGTTCCCAAGTATAACTTTAAAGCACTGAAACCACAGGTTTAATTTACTTTTTTCTTCTATTAATTTTAAACTTTCCTGTGGTTAGAACATTTAACCAAACAACAGTTTGTCACCCCAAGTGAATTGATGTTACCAAGCCAGTGGCCTGAGGTTATTTATGGGAAGAGAGGTTTCTGACCTGTACACAAAACTTGATTTTTACCTACCCAAAGGTAGATATCCTGAGTTGTTTCATTCGGTTTTTCTAAATTACAACATGTATATATAGCTGTCCTATATTGGATCCCATTTCCTGATTTCTGTATCTTTGTTTCTTAATATACTGTTTCATTTTACTAGTGTACCTTTTCTCCTAGTTTCTTGAAAAGGAACATCAGAGGTAAATTTTTTGAGACCTTTAATGACTTAGGTTTTTATTCTACTTTCCCACCTGGAAAACTTAGGTTTATTAATATAGAATTTTAGTTTAGAAATCAATATGCCTCAGAAGTTTGAAGCATTACTCCTTTTTTATTTTGGAAGGGAATTTTTTGTTTTGTTTTGTTTCTAACAGCATTTTGGGTGAAAAAAAAAAGATTTTTGATTCCTGATCCTTACTCTGGAACCTTTTTTATTTCCAGAAGCTTTTAGAATCCTATTTGTTTTCAGTGTTGTAAAGTTTTACAGAATTTTGTGCCCAGTAGAAAAGGGATGGAGGGTCTCAACCTAAAATATATGGACAGACTTTTTTTTACTTAGCCTTTATTTTCAATATGCTGCCTTTTCCCTGTTATCAGAGACCCTATGTTTTAAATAATCCACAGAGGAAACCTCCAGTCTTCTGCCTTGGAATAGGAGAGGTTACTTGGCTTTATCCCGTAAGAGAGGGGGCTGACATAATGTCCCCGTTATCAGGGACATTATCCAGTAAGAGATGGGGCTGAGTTTCAACAATGTGACTAGCTTATGCTTCTTAGAAGTGGATGGCATTTTAGCTGCGCTTTTCTCTGGAGAATTAATATGCAATTACTTACCCACCTACTAAAATTGAACTTACTTGGAATAAATATGTTCCTTATTTTATCTTCATGATTTTTTTTCCAGTTTTTGTCCAGAAGTGCTTATAGAAAAGATGGCTAATATTAACCTAAAAGAAATAACCTTAATAGTAGGTGTGGTTACTGCCTGCTATTGGAACAGCCTCTTTTGTGGTTTTGTTTTTGATGATGTTTCAGCAATACTGGATAACAAAGACTTGCATCCATCTACACCTTTAAAAACTTTATTTCAAAATGACTTCTGGGGAACCCCTATGTCTGAGGTAAGTAATTACTTACATATTACTTGTACATGTCTCAGATTTTGAAATATTCTGGTATTTTATTACTTCTAATTCTTTATCAACATTATCATCACAACAGTTACAGATTTTTAACCCTAAAATGTTTATATGAAACGTAACATGTTTGTAATAAATTGAACAGGAAGCTGAGGATGAGTACTTTAAAGCAGTACTTGGTTATTTCTTTGCCTGTGTACCTTGGCTGCTGCTTTTTTTTTTTTAACTTTTATTTTAGATACAGGGCTACATATGCAGATTTGTCACGTGGGTATATTGCGTTATGCTGATGTTTGGGGTACCAATCTGTCACCCAGACAGCGAGTATAGTACCCAATAGGTAGTTTTGGCTTAACTTCTTAAAAATAATATATATTTATGTGAAAACCAAATGTATAGGGAGAGCAATAGGTGTAATACATGCCTGTTTCTTGCTAATTGACTTTATTTCTCTTTTTTCTGTCTTGTGAGTAAGGCAAAAGAGATGTGATATATTTCAACATTTTAAAATATGGCAACTTCAATATAAATAGATAAGAATTTAAGAGTAAAAATAGTAAGTACACATATTGCCAATTTCTCTTGCAGAAGAAGTGGTTATTACAAATTTTGAATCTTTGTCCTATCTCTTACATAATAGTTATTTAGGTTATATATCGAGAACCCAAAAGTTTAGTTCAATAATTTAATATTTTATTCATCCATATGGTTCATTTTTATGAGGGTATTTTTACTGTTTTGAAGGTCACTGTTAAACTGTTGGGATTAAACCCTTATCAGCTTGATATCATATAGAATGGATTCTAATTTTAGTTATGTCATATATTAACTGTGTGAAATAGGTGAGAATACATCTTTCAGATGGAAAGTAATTTTCCTGATCTGTAAAAGAGGATAATTCCTTTCCAAAATAAAAAAGAGAGTAATGCTTCAAATTTCTGGGGGATATTGATTTCTAAACTAAAATTCTATATTAATAAACCTAAATTTCCCAGGTGGAAAAGTAGAATAAAAACATAAGTCATTTAAGGTCTCAAGTAATAAATGAATTATTTTATCTACACTACCTGGCACATAGATATTGAATAAATTGTTGAAACATAACATGTAACTCTCTGCAATGTTAACAGTATGTTTCTCGGTCATTGTGGCCTCTTTCCCCATTCCCCAAATTTGGAAGCCTCTCAAGGTTAGGGATGGAATCTTTCATTCCTCTGATCACAAGCACATATAATTATTTTGTCTTATTTAGTAAGAAGACTTTATTCGCCTTTTTGTTCTCACCCAATTCTAGCTTTTGAAAAAAAATCTTTTGATAGTAAGGGGGAAAATATGGCCCTATTATACATTATTCTACACAGCTTGTCCTCCTCTATACCTACCTTTGATCTCCAGAGACCCTCAGAACTATGTGTCCATTCCCTCAATTTATGCTAGTATCTGTTATGATTTTAATCATAATGTTGAGGTTTTGAACTGATGGTTTAGCTGGCCATATTAAATGGTCTCATTTTCTAGATTAGGCTATTCTTGTATTGCTACGAAGAAATACCTGAGACAGGGTAATATATAAGAAAAGAGGTTTTATTGGCTCACAGTTCTGTCAGCTGTACAAGAAGCATAGCAGCATCTGCTTCTGGGGAGGCCTCAAGAAGCTTGCAGTCATGGCAGAAGGGGAAGCAGGAGCAGGCACTTCACATAGCAAAAGCAGGAGCAAGAGGAGTACGGTGGGAGGTGCTACACAGTTTTGAACAGCCAGCTCTCTCAAGAACTCATTGTAGCAAATACAGTACCAAGTGGGGTGGTGCTAAACCATTCATAGGAAATCCACCCTAATAATCCAATCATTTCCCACCAGGCCCCACTTCCAATATTGGGGATTACATTTTGATATAAGATTTGGGCAGGGACACACACATATCACATACCATGGTGTCAGTGATCTGTTCAGTGATTTTCTCAGCTTTGCAGATTGAAAATTTGATTTTGTTCAGAAAGCCCGTAAGCAGATGGACTAAGAAAAAGACTCATATGTTCTGACAGAATGGATGAACAAACTAGAATAACAGTTTATTAAGAGTGAAGAGTGTAGTTGTGTAGTTTCCTTGTATTTTCTGATGGGCATATTCTCTCCCTGAAGGCAAATGTGACACTAGGGAAAATTATTCTAGGTAATCCTTAGGTGTCATAGGTTTCATGATAAGCCTGGAATTAGCATATTCAAAGATCTAATCATTGATATCATCAAGTTATGATAGCCTAGAAGATACGTGTCCACACGTATCTTACAAGAATTTTTGTACCAATGCAGGTCTTAAAGACACATTTTGGGCTTAGGACATTCTCCTAAGCCATATAAATACTGCCGTATTAGGGGTCTTTGGACTCATGTGAACCTCTCAGTGTTTAGATTATCTCTCTAGTAGGCTTATGCTATAGATATGTGCTGCTCTATTTATTGATAATTCATTGGATCTCAACCCTGACTGCCGTATTAGAATTTGCCTGGGGCATTTAAAAGAATGAAAACATATTACCAAGGCTCTGTCCAAACCTGTTATTTCAGATAATCTCAGAGTGGGATATAGGTATCAATATTTTTGTCTTATTTTGTGTGTGTGTGTTTAGTTGTTTTGTGTGGGAGGGAGGGTGGGGCTTTTGTTTAAGTCATCCAGGTGATTCTTTGGTATAGCCGTGGCTGAGAGCGAGGGGGCTGTAATGAGCCACCTTCCTCTGGCATTTGGCCTATAAAGTACCTTGTGCTAAGGTAACTTCTGCAAATATTTTATCTCATTATGATTTTGCCATCCCTATATTGAGATTCACATTAACAGGGAACTGTTAGCTTAATCATTCATTACACTGTTGTGTATTTTTATTGCCAACTAATATCATGAGTAATTTTTTCTTTAATATGCCCGAAAGTAATAATGATCTGAATTGTTTTATTCATAATGGCCCTAGGTGTTTTCACAAAGTAAACTTAGTATCTAATAGGCTGATGATGATTTGTCACAGTGGAATCTGAAATAGATCCCTAATGAGTTATGTGAATAATTATGTTAATAATTGGTCTGTCTGTTAGTTGGTCATCACCTATAGTATATGTATGTCTAATAGTCCTAACTGAACAATTATGTATACTGCAATTCAAAATACATATTCCCTTCTACTTTCTGAGTACATCCTTTCACCTAGAATATATGTTCCATTGTAGCCACAGTGACATTTCAGGTACTCGAAGGGTTTCTAGAGTCCTTTTCTACTTTCTAGTACAAATCATGTCAGTTCAGTACAGTGCCTTAAAAATAGCTTTATATGCCTGAGATGAAATTTGAAGGATGTAAAGGAATTAGGCAAGCAGGAAAGAACATTCTAAGTAGATAGTACATTATGGAGTATATAGTCAGTACAGAGATACTAAAATGTTCCTAATTTCAAGATGAGAAAGATTTATTCTTTGTGTTTCCTAATGTTCCCTACTAAGGATGAACAGGCTTAAGTCTACTTGTGTGCCAGAAAGTTACAGCAAAATATGATAGGAAGTAGAAGAGCAAAGAAGCTGAATATGGATGCGTATATTAGTCTGTTTTGCGTTAGTATAAAGGAATACCTGGTAATTTATAAGGAAAATATGTTTATTTGGCATATGGATCTGCACACTGTACAAGCATGGCAACAGCGTCTTCTTGGCTTCTGGTGAGGCCTTGAAAGTTTTACTACCTGTAGAAGGTGAAGGGGGAGCAGGTGTATCACATGGTGAGAGGGGGAGCAAGAGGGAGGAGAGGAGGTTCCAGGCTCTTTTAAGCAACCAGCTTTCACATGAACTCATTACAGTGGGGAAGACACCAAACCATTCATAAAGGACCCAACCCCAATGACCCAAACATCTCCCACCAGGCCCAACCTTCAACATTTCAACCTCCTCATATTTCAGCATGAGATTTGGAGGGGACAAACATCCAAACTATGTCAATGCCCTTTGTATAAAACTACAAAAAATAACTTTATTAATATTTTATATATATTCGAACTGTGTGTTTTATTCTTAAATCTGGTTTGGTTTTGTGTTAGGGAAAGAAGTATTTCTGATTAAATGTAACTTATAATTTAAAAAGAGATTCAGTACTTTACATGAAATTTTATTTATTACCAAAGGAGAATACCACAAGAATGGTGTCTATTTGCATATTCTAAGAAAGTTTTTACTCTTGTATTACTCTCTGTAATTTGGGAATTCCTAGTTTAATATATTCAGATTTACACATTATGGAGATGTTTTTCATAAAACAGCTAGACAGTACCTTTTTGAGTCATCACTATTTTAATTGAACTGGTAAGCATTCTGTTCTTACATTTCCTTTTGAAGATCTAGCCAGTAGTTACATGAACTTTTGTATTGCTGATAGATATGGAGGCAGGCTTTGGAGAGAATCCTGTGCTCTAACTTGACCAATGCCGGCATTGTCTTTTTTTAAAATTGTTATATTGAAGAGGAATTAATTGTCAAATGTCCTTTTACTGTTAGTTCTCTGACCACTGTATATCCAGGAGGAAATTAACCTTGTTTGTGGCCTAAGGAAATAGAAAAACACAGATTATAAAACTGTATTTTATTTTTGTGTTACTCTTACGACATTTCATATTTTATTGTTATTTCTCAGTAAAATGTAGATATTAATATCTTTAATGGTAAATGCAGTGATGAGCTTTTGTACCCTGTTGGACCAAGGTACTTTAATAATCACTGATCGTTTTTTCCTTGTAGGAGAGAAGCCACAAGTCTTACCGTCCCTTAACAGTATTGACATTTCGCTTAAATTATTTGTTAAGTGAACTAAAACCAATGTCATATCATCTCCTGAATATGATTTTTCATGCTGTGGTTAGTGTGATATTTCTCAAAGTATGCAAACTTTTTCTGGACAACAAGAGTAGTGTGATTGCTTCTTTACTTTTTGCAGTGCACCCAATACACACAGAAGCAGTAAGTAAAACTATGAACTGACTTTTTTTCTTTTTCCTTTTTTACAAATCCTGCACAGTGATTATAATGGTATATATTTTTAAGAAAAAAAAAAATTAACCCTGACTTTAATCCAAATATTTGAAGACTCTTAAATTCGTACAGTTAATTCTTAACTTCCTAGTATGCAAAGTATAACTTCCTACTGTGTAAAATTTTTAAATTTAACATTTTTGAAACATAAACATTTTTCATTCAATAATATAAAATCTGTTTAGAAATATATACATGAATACAGTTCTTCGGTCACTTTTTTTAATGAACAAGATTTCTAAGGACTATTTAAAGTTTATTGTCTTTTTAAACTTTATTTTTCAGATTTATTATGAGATGTAACTTTTTGAATTTATGGTGCCTTTGTATATTAAGAACATTCGTATTTTAAGAAAATATGTAAGAAGTACTTAAGTTCTAGATATTCTACCATATTTACGTGGTTACCATTGGAGAAAGCTGGATAAAGAGTACGCAAGATCTCTCTTTACTAGTTTTGAAACTTCCTATAAGTCTTATTATTATTTCAAAATAAATTTAAAAAAGTATAAACTGTTAAGAGTCACTAATAAATGTCTATTTATGTAAGATTCACAAATTCACCACCTGAGGGCACCCAAAGAATGTTTAAGAAACAAATGTGCACTTGAAAAGTTACGGAAATTAAAGTATTTTTACCATTATATATAGTAATTTTTCAAGATATTCTTTATTAATATGAACCCCCTTCATTTTTCCTTTCTAGGTAACAGGAGTTGTTGGAAGAGCAGAACTTTTGTCATCTATCTTTTTTCTAGCAGCTTTTTTGTCATATACCAGATCAAAAGGACCAGACAATTCCATAAGTACATGTCTCACATTTGATTTTTTTTTAATAGTGCTAAAACTTGATTAAGGAATTTTTATTTACTCCAAGTGCTTCTTATAACACATTATATACCACATTTGGGATTTATCTTTATGTATTGTTTTACTTTAGCATATGTGAAAATATGAAATATGTAACATTGCTAGTATTTAGGAAGTTTGTGTATAATTTATATTTTTATCTTGAGCTAATAGATTTTATATGATCTAATTTTAAAAACCAAATAACCTTAGAATAGAAGAGTTTTAGAGTTAGTCCTAGTTCCATCTTCTGTTATCTATTAATGATATAGATTCCAGTATTTCAGTTGTCTTTGGATAAATAACACCTGGTAGACTGTCATATTGTTTAGGTAAGGTTAAAAGCCTCCTAGAATATAACTTTTATTGTGTGTTGATCATAGCTATTTATTGAGCTCCTACCTTGTGACCTACCCTGGAAAGTGCTTCGAATACATTAGCTCATTACTCTTAATGATTCCTGGCATTATCAGAAAACAAGTTCTAGGCAATAAAAATGATTTTTTTCAAGTGTGGGCACAGTGGGCACAAACCTTTAAGTTCTTGGGGAAGGGGCAGATTTTCTCACTGTAGTTCCAAGGTACTCATGACAAGAAGACTAGTTTTATGTGTGGAAACTGAGGTTCAAGAAACACATGATTTAGCCAAACATCTTAAGAGTGTTCTGGATTTGTAATAGTAGGTTTGCCTTTGCTGCTCTGCATAATGCCTTCTTAAAACAATTTGAGTGGCAGCATAGCATAGTACTTAAAAGCATGGACTAAAGAGTCTGGTTTCAAATTCTAGCTCCACTGTTTATTTACTAGTTCCATTCACCGTAACACATCAGGCAAATTAACCTCTCTGTGCTTAACATTTCTTTATCTGTTAAATGTGCATAATAATAGTCCCCTACCTGTGCAGTGCATCATGTAGTAGGAGGTACTTTTGTAACTAATATGGAATTGCAGACCAGTATCCTCTTTAAGTACCATCCTCACCAAAGCCTGAATGGTAAAGTTAGAAAATACTGTGGCCTACAGGATTATAATCAGGCTCTCAATTACCTGTCTAATCATATCTTCTGCCATTCTTGCCCTAGCTGTCTTCACTATAGCTAGATAGACCTTCTTGCTGTTCCCAAACAGGCAGAGCACCCACCTTTATACCTGCATTTCCCATTATTGAATTTTCTTCCCTTAGATCTTTATGTAGTAGTCTCATTTATACACTATTCTATATTATCAGGCCTCAGCTTAAGTATTTCTGTCTTAGAAAAGCCTTCCCTGTTCTAACTGAAATAGCTTTTCACCATATTATATCTTTTGTTCCAAATACTTGTACTTGGTGCTTTTTAATGATTTCTTATTCTTTACAATTCTAATATCTTGCTGTATTTCCTTAAGAATTACTTATTTGGGCTGGGTGCAGTGGTTCACGTCTGTAATCCCAGCACTTTGGGAGGCTGAGGTGGGCGGATCACATTGTCAGGAGTTTGAGACCAGCCTGGGCCATTGTGGTGAAATCCTGTCTCTACTAACAATACAAAAATTAGCCAGGCGTAGTGGCAGGCACCTGCAGTCCCACCTACCCGGAAGAATGAGGCAGGAGAATCGCTTGAACCTGGGAGGCGGAGGTAGCAGTGAGTCGAGATCACGCCACCGCACTCCAGCCTGGGAGACAGAATCCATCTCAAAACAAAAAAAAAGAATTATTTGAAATTCTTGGTCTGTCTCTTTAAGTAATTCTGATTTAGTAGTATATGTTATTATGTTTGTTCTCTCTGTTTTATGATTGTTGTATCCTTCAGATATTGAGTTGTTTTGGCTTGTGAGCTCAAGCACATGTTCTTCTAAAGTTATAAACTACTGTGCCTGTTAAAGGGAAAGGCCAGGGCCACTCTTTGTTCATCCTGTGAGTCTGAAGGGATGAAAGGAATTATAAACCAGGATATAAAGTTCCAGGTTCCGCAGAGCTGCTGTGGATCACTGTTGTTCCTACCAGTGCTACTAGGCACACTCTCTGTTTTCTTTAAGAGAATCAGCATTAAGAGGCCAGTCCACCATCCCTCTGCATTTAAATGGTAGCTCTGTAGAAGTTACTGCCTAGGAGTGATTGGTTGGTTTGTACCTTTTAAAAAATATCTACCTCTTACCCCATCAAGACTTCTGAAGTGCTCTGCTTTTACCTCTGGAACACCCACTAGCCATTGTAGCTGTGGATTTCTGCAGTAACAGAGTAGAGAGTGATCTACCCAAAGCAGTCAGGAGAGGATAAAACAAAAGTTAAAAAAAAAAATTCCCACTCTTGTCTTCTGCCTTAAATGTAATCCCTCATAACACTCACAGAACCACACATGCTTAAAATAACCTCGAAATGCTAAGGTTTTGTGTGTGTGTGTGTTTTTTTTTTTTTTTTTACAAAAAGTGTCTTAGAAACTATTTTTCCCTCTTACTTACCTTTTTCTAGGGTTGATTTTTGGGGAAAGGACCAACAGGTCAAGCTAGTTCACCATTTGAGCGAAACAAAAACAGAGTAATGTTGTTTTCTATACCTTTAACTTGCATTTCTGAAAATACTCATTTCTAACCTGAAAATACATAGTTTACATTTTTCTTTTGTTTATTGCTTTCTCACAATAGAACGTGACCTTCCTTAGGGTAGGTAACTTTTTCTCCATTTTTTGATCTTCATTTCCTAAAATGATTCCTAGTTTACAGTAGGTGTTTAGTATGAGTATATTGAAGAAATAAGTAAGTGAATGAATGTAATGTATTTTAAATTCTAATTGAAAAAATACTGAAATCTACCTTGGACCTCTCTTTATCCTCTTAACCACTGTGATACTTTGTACTCTTAGTAATTTTACCCTTGAAGCCACAGTTTCCACATCATCTTTGTATTCCCTATTGTATCTAGTATACACTGGCCTGTGCAAAGGTTTTCAAGTTGTAATTCTTTATATTCATTTTAACTTCTATATTCATGTCCCATACCCCTTTTGTAAATATGGTGATCCAATTTCAGGGCTTTACACTTGATTTTTTATTACTTTGGGTTTCTGCTTAAATATCCACTTAAATGTCATCAATATCACTACTCATCTTTCCCAGTGGTACTATTTTTATTTCCCTTCATCCTCTTTTTTTCTCTATAACACTTAAACGTTGTCACCATTTGACAGAGTATATTATTACTTGTCTCTCTTCCCTATACCCTTGAAATGTAGTAGATACTTAAAATAACTGTTTGAATAAGTGATTGCTGAAGATGTGTTTCTTTTACACATGTAGAGTCAGTTTAGAAGCCTGTATTTTGAAATGGGAATAGATTTAAGTGTCCTTAACTTATTTACCAGGTGTACTTGTTTTGGACAAAATCACATGTAACTTTTAACCACAGTGATCTGATTGTAAAATCAAAGTGTTTATATAGTAATATAGTCACTAGAGGCTGAAGAACTGAAGTGATTGGTTTCAGTAAGACATTTGCATTTATTACTCTTAGTTGAGATGGAATTCAAGTTTGTAAAAGGTAACCATTTGCTTGTTCTTCCTTGAAGTAGAAATACAAATTACTGAGAAGCTCTGACTTTAAAATCAGAAGAACCATGTTAAAGTCTTGGTCTCCTTATTCTTTGTTACTTTTTAAAAAATACCTCTACAATTCTTTCCTCATCTTAAAAATGGGTATGATTACATCCATGTTCTTACTCCATAGAGTGATTTTAAGATTCAGTGAAATAATATATGCCAAACTGGCTATATAAACTGTTTAAAATATCTGCTTTCAATGCTATTATTTCCTATGAGTTTTTATGTAGACATACACATCCATTCATACTATTCTCTATATCCTTCATTTGCTTAGCTTACTCTCACCCCTATTTATTTCTACATCCACCTTTCCCAATTTTTCCATGGCTTCTATATCCTTCAAGGGCCAACATTAGGTCCAGCCTGTTTTGTAAATAACCATCTTCTGATTTCTTCCTCTATGAAGTTCTTGTTGAATTTAGCATTGTAGTGTAATATAATCTATTATATTAGTATTGATGTTTTGGCCTAATGAGATTATAAGATTTTTTTTTTTAAGGAAAGAGTATTATTATACTTAGTATCTGCAATAGTTTCATGGGTTTGGTTTTTTTCATTTATTTCTTTGTTTTCGGTTATTTTTTCCTTCAGTAATTTTAGTCTACAGAGTACTTTGAAAACAATTTCAAAAATATGTATTTCTATATTAAGCCCAGTGACAGAAGAAAATGTATTCATGAATTCTGTTCTTGTTTATATTTAGATTTAAGTCAATTATTTGAATTTTTGCTTTAGTTAATAGTCTTAATAAAAACCGAGGTCACGGCCGGGCACAGTGGCTCACGCCTGTAATCCCAGCACTTTGGGAGGCCGAGGTGGGCGGATCAGCTGAGGTCGGGAGTTCAAGACCAGCCTGACCAACATGGAGAAATCCCGTCTCTACTAAAAAATACAAAATTAGCCAGGCATGGTGGTGCATGCCTGTAATCCCAGCTACTCGGGAGGCTGAGGCAGGAGAATCACTCAAAGCTGGGAGGCAGAGGTTGCAGTGAACTGAGACCGTGCCATTGCACTGTAGCCTGGGCAACAAGAGCGAAACTCTGTCTCAAAAAAAAAAAAAGGAAAAAAAAAAAAAAGAAAACCAAACTGAGATCACACAGTCATACTACCAGATCTTTTTTTAAACTAGAAAAGAATTAGAGATTATAGTTTTTCATAAGAAAACTGAAGCCTGGAAAAGCTGCCCAAACTCACAAGTTCACAATGAACTTTCACAGTTCATTACTCTTTAGTCAAATTACTACTACATGGTAGACACTTACTTAAAGTTGATGAAGTATGTTTTTCATTTAAATAGAACTTATAGTCTATTGCAAATTTTTTGAAGAATAGTATTTATTTAAGTGCCTATTGTTAACCACTTTCATTTTAGTTTTTATAAAAATGGGCTAGACACAATGGCTCGTGCCTGGAATCCCAGCATGGTGGGAGGATGGCTTGAGGCCAAGAGTTTGAGACCAGCCTGAGCAGCATAGCAACACCCTGTCTCTACAGAAATAAAAAAAAAAATAGCCAGATGTGGTGGCACATGCCTGTAGTCCTATTTGGGAGGCTGAGGCAGATGGATTGCCTGAACTTCAGAATTCAAGGCAGTAGTGAGCTATGTTCACACCACTGTACTTACTCCAGCCTGAGTGACAGGGCCAGACCCTGTCTTAAAAAAAAAAAAAAAGTATAGTACCCTACTTTTCCCAATACTTTTAAATTTTAAGTTTTTAATAATTTATCAGTTTAATAAGGTATAAAGATATCTGTCATAATTTCAGGAATTTGTCTTCATTTCAGAATGATAGCTCATTAATTATGACACACAAACCTGTAAATTTCTCTTCTCCAAATTCACCACCCTACCTTTGTTTTAAAAGTTAGTATTTGATGAAATAATTTTTCTCTTTGTAAAAAATTTCAGTTCAAATTATACATGTTGATATTTTGCTTTGAATGTATAAAGTAAAAATTATTAAATTTAAGTATATTTTAAAGTATGTACTACTAATTAATGAGAAATAGCACTCATATGGATATGGAATCACAAAGTTTAAAATATCTTTTTTTGATATTATAAAATTGTTTTCTGAATTTTTATATTTTCTGTTCTCAAATTGCAGTATGGACTCCAATTGCCTTGACAGTGTTTTTAGTGGCTGTTGCAACATTATGTAAAGAACAAGGAATAACAGTTGTAGGAATTTGCTGTGTGTATGAAGTGTTTATTGCCCAGGGGGTAAGCCAAACTATAAATATATAAATTTTCTTATTGATATATTTTATCCTAGTTGAATCAAATTTTATTTATTTTTATTTTCTAAATGTATCATTATGTAAATTAATGTGTTTACCAATAATAATACCAGAAATCATGTTTTATCCTCATACCTACTGAAAATTACTTAACATTTTATGATACTTTAAGTGTTTTAAGAACTGTGTTTTAAATTTCAATAATGGAATCATTAGGCAGCTTGGAAAAGTATGCAATAGTACTGTACAGTATAATTCATTATTAGGTAAGACTGTTGAGCTCAGTTTTATTCATTATTAGCTTCACACATTCTTCCACATTAATTTTATAATTATACTTGTATCTAATCTTGCAATTAGAAAGTACTACAGTATTGAAAACATTGAGATATGTCGTTATTTGTTGCTTAAAACATTTCTTTTCTTTTTCAGTATACTTTGCCATTACTATGTACTACTGCTGGACAGTTTCTCCGTGGAAAGGGTAGCATTCCATTTTCTATGCTGCAGACACTAGTAAAACTCATTGTCTTGATGTTCAGTACATTATTACTTGTTGTGATTAGAGTCCAGGTTATTCAATCCCAACTTCCAGTATTCACCAGGTATGAAATTCTGGTTCTTTGTTTTCTCCATTCTTTTTTTTAACTTTGGATTTTAATGATCATAAATGTTGAAGAAAGTATTTTATTTTGTTTTTTAACAGTTTTATTAAGCTATAATTAACATTTTTTAAACTGCATATATTTAAAATTTATGTACTGATAATTTTTGACATATGTATACACCCTTAAAGCCCCCACAATAAAGATAATGAATGACCCATCCCAAACTGGTTAAGTGTTAAGGTTAGTGTTAATTTAGTCTCCTATATCCTTAGTGATTTTTGTCTACTCATTCTGTCAGTTACTGAGAGATGTTGAAATCTCTGACTATACTTGTAGATTTCGCTATTTCTCCTTGCACTTCTGTCGGTTTTTGTTTTGTGCGTTTTTGAAGCTCTGCTATTAGGTGCGTAAACAACTAGGATTGTCAAGTCATCTTGAGGAACTGATCCCTTTGTCATTATTAAATGAGCTTCATCCCTAGTAATAGTCTTTACTCAGAAATTCACTTTTTCTTATCACAGCTGTCTTTCGTTAGTGTTAGGTGGTGTATCTTTTTCCATCTTTTTACTTTTTACCTGTCTATGCTTTTATTTATAAAGAGGATTTCTTGTAGCATCCATACAATTTGGTCTTCTTTTGTTGTTTGGTCAGATAATCTGACTTTTAGATGGGATATATCATTGATTTATATTTAATTTGATAATTGATATAGTTTGATGGAAATCTTTCATCTTGATAAAATTGTTTTCTCTTTGTCTCATCTAATCTTTGTTCCTTTTTTCTCTCTTTCCACCTTCCTTTGGATTCTTTTTTTAATATTTCATTTTATCTCCTTGTTGGCTTATTAGCTATAAATCTTTGTTGTTTTAGTGTTGCTTTAGGGATTTTAGAACATCCTCTGCTTATCACAGTTTACCTTCAAGGAATATTCTAATTTCGAATATATATATAAAATAAAAATATCAGTGTATATATAGTATAAATATATGTAATATACATTTTATATATGTAAGAACTTAACTTTTGTGCAGTTTGCATATGTTTTCCTTGAACATACATTGCTTTAAACAATTGTCTTGGAGGAATTTAAATAATAAAAAAGTATTTTACATTAACCATGAGTCACCATTTCCAGTGTTCTTTATTCCTTTGTTGGATAAGATTTTTATCTGGTACTATTTTTCCTTTTACCTGAAGGAATTTCTTTAGCACTTCTGATTAAAAATATCAGGTTTTGAAAGATACCTTCTCTGGGTGGAGAATTCTACACTGGCTTTTTCATTCAGTATTCTGAAAATGTAAATCTACTGTCTTCCGGCTTTTATTGTTTTCAGTGGGAAAACCTCTATCATCCTTATCTCTTTATGCTAATGTATGTTATGTGTATTTTTTCTATGCCTGTTTTTAATATTTCCTGTTTACCATTGTTTCTTATGTATTTATGTTTCTTGTGCTTAGGTAAACTGAGCTTCTTGAAATCTGTAGATTTTAATTTTGTAAAAATTTTGGAAAATGTTTAGCTAGTCTTCAAATATTTTTGCCATCTTTTCTTTTTCCTATTTTTCTTGTATGTCAGTTAAGTATATTTAAGTTTCTTGAAGTTGTTGCACTGATGCTCTGTTTTTTTCCCTCAATCTTTTACCATTTTTAGTTTGGATAGTTTCTTTTGCTATATCAAGTTCACTAATCTTTTTTCTGCAATATCTAATCTACTCTTAATTTCATCTAGTTGTTTCTTACCTCTGAATCTGTTTTCATCTTCAGAAGGAAGTCTGATTTGAGTATTCTTTTATATCTTCTATATCTCTACATGTTCTATTGCTTTAATGTCCTTGCCTACTAATTCTATCATCTGTGTCATTCCTTGGTCAGTTTTTATTGAATAAATTTTCTCTTCATTATAGGTTGTATTTCTCTGCTTCTTTGCATGTCGGGAAATTGTTGAACAGATACCATTTGTGAATTTTACCTTAATGTATTCTATAAATTTTGAGTTTTATTCTGGAATGCATTTAAGTTACTTGGAAAATGTTTTATCTTTCAGTCTTGCTTTTTTTCTTTCTTCTTTTTTTTTTTGAGATTAGAGTTTCGCTTTTGTTGCCCAGGGCTGGAGTGCAATGGCGCAATCTCGGCTCACCGCAACCTCCACCTCCCAGGTTTAAACGATTCTCCTGCCTCAGCCTACTGAGTAGCTGAGACTACAGGCATGCGCCACCACGCCCAGCTGATTTTTGTATTTTTAGTAGAGATAGGGTTTCTCCATATTGGTCAGGCTGATCTTGAACTCCTGACCTGAGGTGATCCGCCCACCTCAGCCTCCCAAAGTGCTGAGATTACAGGCATGAGCCACTGCACCCAGCCCAGTCTTGCTTTTAAGCTTTGTTTTGTGGGACCACAATAGCATTTAGGATAAGACTAATTTCACTTCACTACTGATGCAAGATCTTTTTGACTATTGGATGTGAACTGTAAATTACGAAGATTTCCACACTGTCTGCCGAGGAACTATTCCTGGCTCGGTATATTTGGGAATTTTTAGCTCTAATGCATTCAGGAGGTTTTTGCCTGATTGTATTAGTTTTCTGAAGGCTGCTGTAACAAATAACTACAAACTGAATAGCTTAAAATAACAGAAATTTGTTCCCTCACAGTTCAAGAGGCCAGAAATACCAAATCAGTATGTCAGCACAATTGGTTCCTTCTGGAGGCTCTAAGGAAGAATTTGTTCCATAACTGTCTGCTGGTTTCTGGTGGTTGCTAGCAGTCTTTGGCATTCCTTGGCTTGTAACTCCATCACTTCAATCTACTTTGTCTTCACATTGCCTTCTTTTCCAGTGTATCTCTTTCTTCTCTTTTTATGAGGACCCCAGTCGTTGGATTTAGGGCCCACCCTAACCCAGTGTGACCTCATCTTAACTAATATTGGCAGAAACTATTTTCAAATAACACCACATTCTGAAGTTAGGGTAGACATGAATTTTTTAGAAATATGATTCAACCCACTACACCGACCATGGGTATTTCCTCACATATATGTGCTGATTTGAACTCATCAAAATCAGGCCAGGTGTGGTGGCTCACGCCTGTAATCCCAGCACTTTGAGAGGCTGAGGTGATCACTTGAGGTCAGGAGTTTGAGACCAGCCTGGCCAACATGGGGAAACCTCATCTCTACTAAAAATAGAAAAATTAGCCAGCGTGGTGGTGCACGACTGATCCCACCTACTCGGGAGGCTGAGGCACAAGAATCGTTTGAACCTGGGAGGCAGAGGTTGCAGTGAGCCAAGACTGTGCCATGGCATTCCAGCCTGGGTGACAAAGCAAGACTTTGTCTCAAAAAAAAAAAAAAAAAAAAAAGAACTCATCAATATTGAAAACTGGAGAGAGACCCTCTACAGATGTCTCAGGTTCTCTTTCTCAGCAGCTTTCTTCTGTCTGGATTCTTCCTCACTAATTCTAGCCCCCGCACTCCTAGGGCTCCCAACTTCATACTCTCAATTCAGTATACCACTGGGCTCAGCCTGGGTTCCCTCTTGCTGTTTTACTGACTAAAAACTCTATCCAGGTACTAAACTCTTTCCAGAAAAAGCTCCCCTTATTTGTTTTTCTTCTCTCAGGTATTACAGTCCTTTTTCACCTTATGCTCAGTATGTTTAAAAAAAAATTATACCTCTTATACAGTTTTTTAGTTGTTTAAGGCTAGAAAGCAGAAGATATAGTGAATTTTAAGTCTGCATATCATATTTATCTACTTTAACATTTAGCCTTTTTTCATTTCACCTGACTTGGCTAAAATTTAAAATGAAATTTATACTATTTCCCTGTTCAATTTTAAGTTATTGCCATTACATGCAAGAACTTTTATTTTTAACAAAAGGCCAACATGTTATTCACATTATGTTACATGATCGTGCATTGCTGGCGCTGGGTAGAATAAATTTTATTCAGATAATTTTTAAACCCAAAACTGTGTGATATTTTCACATAACTATCCTCCCTAGCATTTTTTTTTCTTTAAAGAATAATTACTTGTTAATATCCTGGATTTTTATCTCTGAGTCTAGCCGTGCTAAAATGAACTTGTGCAGATATTACAGTATTGGAAATAGAGAAGATTGAATTGTTTATATAAGACTTCGGATTTCCTTCTTAGTTTCATTGGTTTTCTGTTATTCCTTTTAGAGAATTTGAATCAACTATTTTCTATTTCCCTATCTACAGTCTAAAAATATAGTTTATAGGTGTGAATTTATGTATGTGTTAGTAGGTATGAATATGGTGCTTATAGCATATAAATATTTTCCAAATAAAGCATTTCAACATTGTGTATATATGTTTGTGTATGTGTGTATAAATTCTATTACCCTCTGAAGTTGGATTTAATATAATTTGATTTATTTTGACATTAACTCTTTCTTTAAATCAGCTATCCTAAATAAACTGTAATTTTTAAAACTAAATTCCGAATAGTGAATTATAGGCAAAAAGATAACTTTTTATTCAGTTCTGCTGGTTATTTTGAGAATTCAAGTTCAGACTCAAGATTTATTATTTTATCTGAAAAATAATATGTAAGTTGTGAGATTCCGTATGAAAATTTTGAAATGATATTATTTGTTCAAATAGTATTTATTTTTATCAAATATTTGATATGTTTTCAGAAAATCAAGTCAAATAAGTGGCAGTAGTTGATTTTCCTTGGCTTACTCATCTTAAAATGAGAAAATGGGTCTTTTAAGTACTATATATTATAACCAATATAATTTAGAACACAGACTAAACTAATGAAATGTATATATGTTGTGGCCTGGGAAAAGATAAACTATGATATAAGCTTATATTAGTATTTACTAAGAGAGAAAGTAGAACACAAATTCTTACACAGGCCTACACAGTTACTACTTTGTACTAGAAATTTGGTTTTTAGCTTCCTAGGAGTCAAAGAAAAGAGGGAAGGAAGCTAGGTGATATGGTTTTCTCTCTCCATGACAGAAGAAAAATATACGAATTTTTTCCAGGAAGCATAATTTTTAATTAGCATTTAGCTCTAAAAGAAATGTCTCATGTAGGAAAGCATTGGTGAGTGTTTTCAAAAGTGATTCATACAACACATACAACCATAAATCTTATACAACTTTTTGTTACTACTTTTAATCAAAAGGTTTAATGGAACACTTTTGCAGTGTTGTAATATTATAGGATGCATGTCTGAATTATTCTAATAATAAACAGAAATGGATGACCTGCTTGCCTTTCAAACAGTCCTTCATAAATATCACTTCTCTGAAGTAGATGTTTCATAAAGTTTTGATAGTTTGAACTCTAGCAAGAGTCTGAGGTACACATAACATTTGTCTGTGTCTTCTGTTTAATAAGATGATATATAAAATGTTTATTGTTTAGTGTTTTACTTATGTAAATAATTCTGTACTTTAAAAGTTTTATTTGTAATCTTTTTTTTAATCCTTTATACAGGTTTGATAACCCAGCTGCTGTAAGCCCAACTCCTACAAGGCAACTAACTTTTAACTACCTCCTTCCTGTGAATGCTTGGTTGTTATTAAATCCTTCAGAGCTCTGCTGTGATTGGACCATGGGAACAATACCACTTATAGAGTCATTACTAGATATTCGAAATCTGGCCACATTTACTTTCTTTTGTTTTCTGGGGATGTTGGGAGTATTCAGTATCAGATACTCTGGTGATTCCTCCAAGACTGTTTTAATGGTAAGAAACTTTTCTTAACTTCCAAATGATGTTAACATTCAGTTGAATAAGTAAGAAACTACCTTTAATTCAGCAAAAGCATCTTTTTAGAAGCACTCCTTTCTTTGTTCAACGGCATCCCAATTTATAAACGTATTTGAGTTTATCCCAAAATTCTCAGTTAATTTGCAGGCATAATTTGACATATGTTCAGCACATAAAATATTTGTTACCTTTATCCAACTAGATTATACACTTTTTGAAGAAATTGATTATATTGTATATTATTTGTTTTCTTGGCACAGAGAAGAACATCATATAAGATATACAACTAGAAATATAGAGCTTTTCAGTTCTCATGAGCAAGGTGGTTTTTATTACTCCCTTAGATAGCTTTCACTATGTTCGGAGAACTCTGATTATTTGAACAGTTTTTTTTTTTTTTTTTTGGTGGTGGTTTTTCTGTACTGTTTTTCTTCTTATTTTCTTACCCTGTGTCACTTCATACTCATAAGAGTTATGTTTTCTCTCCCTTTTAATTATTGAAGACAGGCTGGGTGCGTTGGTTCTTGCCTGTAATCCCAGCACTTTGAGAGGCCAAGGCAGGTGGATCATTTGAGGCCAGGAGTTTGAGACCAGCCTGGTCAACCTGGTGAAACTCTCGTCTCTACTAAAAATACAAAAATTAGCTGGGTAGCTGGGTGTGGTAGTGGGTGCCTGTAATCCCAGCCACTCAGGAGGCGGAGGCACAAGAATCACTTGAACCAGGGAGGTGGAATTTGCAGTGAGCTGAGATTGCGCCACTGCACTCTAGTCTGGGCGACAGAGCAATACTCTTTCTCAAAAAAACAAAAATAAAAATAAAAGTTTATTGAAGACAATAGTACATTTTCTCAGGCATTTATTATATGTCAGAAAGTATGTTTAATGAATTGCAGATACATAATTTTTTGCTGTAGCTGCTAGATTGATTTATTCATTCAATAAAAACTTAGACTTTACCCTTTGTACAGTGCAGCATTTTAGGTGCTGAGGTTATGATAGTAAATACACAGTTCACGTTTCCAGAGAACTTACACAGTTCACGTTTCCAGAGAACTTACATTCTAGAGAAATTTGGATGTCTGAGATACAGAGTAGATTTAAAGATTGTGTTGTCTATTATCCTTGAACATGTTGAGTTTGCATTACTGTTGAAACATCCTGTTGGACATTTTGAACAGCACTTTATGTCTGGAGTTCATAGAAGATAGTTAAGTTACACATAGAAATCTTATCCATTAACATAGAGGTGGTAATTGAAACCAGGATGTAGATAAGGTGAAATGTAGATGAGGTTATAGAGCAGCCTTTCTCAACTGGGGTTTTGTCAATTCTGTCAAAGATGGTAGCTGTTAACATTCTAGATGCACAGAAGTTCACTCATACTCATAATGGAAGCCTTAGGGTATTTGGTCTTAATTCTCCCCAGAAAACAGTTGAGTGGGCTAAATACAGTGAAAAGAGAAGATACCTACTACTAGGTCTTGAGAAACTCCTATATTTAGATGTTGAAGAGAAGGATCCTGAATAGAAGACATATCGAATGAAGAGAAAAGTAGGAAAGTGTATTACAGACCAAATGGTTAACACTAACAGATGCTCTTGAGGGGGAAAGTGAGATCTAGAATCTGTTGGATTGGACTTCTTTTAGTCTGTAGGTACTTAAATGAAATTTGTTTATGTGCAGTGAGTGATTTGATGAGGAAGTGAAGAGAGCTAGTATAGACCTGTAGGAATAATTTAACTTTGACTGTTTCAAAGGATGGGATAAACTTGATTAATTCCTCCCTAAGGGAAGACTATGCTGGTCAGGCAATGGTTTCAAGTATAACAAACTGCTTATCTTATGTAGGGCCTGGGGAAGCATTGAGATCTGGCATTGGTAGACCTTCAGAGGTAGGAGGGAGCAATGTCAGGGAGAGACTGTTGATTGGTTGGCATATAGAAGCATTTTTATTGGCGTACTCAGCTACTCAGCTGACTTTTTTGAATGCGGATATCCCTGATGGGTTGGCTTGCAGGAACATATTTATTAAGCTGAAATGTTGATTGGTTAAGTGGTAGACTTAAGTTGATTAGTTAAGTGGGCTACTTGATACTATGGCAACAAAATCTTTTCCTAAGATCATGAGAACTTGTTTTGTACCTGAGGTATGTAACGAATAGGGAAGGTAGCTTAAAAAATGTATTGTTAAAGATGTTTAAGGCTGGAGAGACAAGAGCATGTTTAAATATAGATAGGAAGAATACAGTTGATTAGAAAGTGGTTAATAAATTAGAGAAGGGATAATTGTTAGTGAAGTTTATGAGGAGCAGGAGATAGGGAGCACAGGTTTGGCCTGAGATAGAAGAGACACCCCTTATGTTACAAGAAGAAATGAATGTGGATGTTGGTAGGTTTAGTAGCAGGAAATTAAAGAAATTCTTGTTTTATGGCTTCAGCTTTCATTGTAAATTAGGAAATGTAGTTGCCTGCTAAAACTGACATGGGTCAAAAATTTGAGAAAAGTAGTGAAGATTCAAAGCAGTCAAGAAGAGTGGAAGGAACTTTCCAGAGAAACCTAGAAATCCCAAACAGTCTTAAGGATAAATTTGAACTTGGTGCTCATGCTTTTATGACAGTATTAATCTGTTCAGCTTTGGGACTTTCTCTAGCAGTGCGTTGCCACTCTGGTAAATACAGACAAAAGAAATAAACGGTAGAATACATCTAAAGCTGGAGTTTTCCTAAAAGAAAGGTTAAAAAAAAAGGAGAGGTAGGGGAATTAAGGTTTCAGCAAATAAAATAATGGTGTATGTAATGTAAGCTGAATTTTAAATGTATATAAAAATGGAACAGCTGTGGCCTTAAGCATAACTCTATTTTCAGTATAGTCCTAATAAAGGTGCTATTTTTTTTATGGTGATGTTTTCTGAAGATCTCTGGAAGGGATAAGTAGAACAAAGGAGCACCTACCAGATACCATGTTAAGCACTTATTAGATAAGATGTCATATATATGTCAACAGCATAATGTAAGTTGTTATTAATCCCCATTTTATTTGTAAAGAACTAACTGGGTTCAATCGCTCATGCCTGTAATCCCAGTGCCTTGGGAGGCAGAAATGGGAAGATCACTGGAGGCCAGGAGTTTGGGACAAACCTGGGCAAGACAGTGAGATCCCACCTCTAAAAAAAATTTTTAAATTAGCCAGGCATGGTAGTGCATACCTGTAGTCCTAGGTGTTTGGGAGGCTGAGGCAGGAGGATTGCTTGAGCCCAAGAGTTCAAGAATGCAGTAGACTATGATCATGCCACTATACTCTATCCTGGATGACAGACAAGACCCTGTCAGAAAAAAAAAAAAAGGAAGAAGAAAAAAAGAAAGAAAGACTCTGGAGGTGACTGAGTGGTTTGCCGTATGTAGGAAATGAGAAGTAAAGCAGATTTGTCTCGAACTCTTTGCTCTTTCTACTAATATCCTAACATTTAAGGACAGTTTATGCTACTGGAAGAAGGAAATTACAAGAGAGTGATAGTTAACTAGGTTGGCATACATTATTAGAGAGCATATTAGGACCTGTGAATAAGTTAATCATTAGAGACATTTCTTATCCCAGAACCTATAGATTTTTCCTGAGAGATTTTTTTTGTTTTGTATAGTTTATGCATCAGTCTACAATACACTTTTGAGTGAATTTAACACTTAATTCCCTCAAGTGAAATTGCCTTGGGGCGGCCATGAATTAATAGGTATAATTTTTTTTTCAATGAACTACATACATATTCAGGAACTTTTCTTTATCTGTTTCACATTTTTTGCTGATTATTTTTGTCAAGCATCTCTGGGAAATGGAAAGTGAATTCTATGCACTCTTAGTTATTCTTACCTTTTTGATTTAAAAAAACTGAAGTGTCAGACCTATAAATTGGTATGATGGTGACCAGTTTGATGGTAGTGATTTTCCTCAGATTCAGTGTTGCCTTATTACAAATCATTAATGTGTGAACATTTGTGGAGAGTATTCTTTTCAATGTATACACCTCTATATTTCACAAATTAAGTCAAATAGAAAAAAAGGACATTCTTTCACCTTAGCCCATTAGAAGAGTCTCAAACTTGTGAAGCTAAAGGTTTAACTTGTTTATTCAATTAAGTACTGTAAAACAAATCGGGGTAACAAAATATGGAAGCAGATGTCCATAGAAACAGATTTCCTAATAACGACCAAACTTATTTCCTTCACAAGCTATTTATGTGCTAGTTTTTTATGGGTGTATAATGTGGAAACCACATGTCATCCCATTTTCAAAATGGTAAGAAATCTAAACATTTTTATGATGTTTCATTTCAATGTTCAGTGTTATATTAATAATTTTAGAAATTCTTGTAGAATGAAAGACTGTTGATTTAAAGGGGGGCAGTTTTATTTTTATGCATACACTAAGCTTCTAGTTAAATACATTTAACCTTTCAGGATGTTATGTGAAGTAATGCTAAGGTACAGTAGTCTGCTATCTTGTCTGAACGACACCTGATTTCATTCCCTCAGTTTCCAATATCATGTGGTTTCTTAAAGTAGTAAAGTTGTAAAAACTGACATGTTTAGCTTTTTTTTAATCAGCATTTGTGGTTTTGTTTTGTTGAAAAACCTATTAGCATATTTCATTATCATCTTATTTTTACCACACGCACATAAGTTAGATGTGTAAAATTTTTATTTATTTAATTTGTATTCCTCCTAACTGAAGTTTTATGCCTTTTGACCAACCTCTCCCCAACCTTCTCCCTCCAACCCTGGTGACCACCATGTACTGTACTTCTGTGAGTTCAACTTTTACAAATTCTACATACAAGTGAGATCATGCGTTGTTTGTCTTTCTGTGGCTGGCTTATTTCTCTTAACATGGTGTCCTCCGGGTTTATCCATGTCAGAAATGACAGGATTTCCTTCTGTTTTAAGGCTAAATAGTATTCTAAAGTGTATATGTACCACATTTTTTTCATCCAGTAATCTGTTGATGGATACTTAGGTTGTTCCCATATCTTGGCTATTGTAAATTGAATAATGCTGCAATGAACAGGGGAGGTCAGATCTCTCTTCAACATACTGACTTCATTTCCTTTGGATCTATACCCAGTAGTGAGGATGCTGGGTCACATGGTAGTTCTATTTTTAATTTTTTGAGAAGCCTTCCTACTGTTTGCTTAATGGCAATGCTAATTTACATCCCACCAACAGTGTGCAAGTGTTTCCTTTACGTTCTTGCCAACATTTGTTATCTTTTGACTTTTTGATAATAGCCATTCTTACAGGTGTGCGATGACATCTCATTGTGGTTTTAATTTTCACTTCCTTAATGATAGTGATGTTGAACATTTATATACTTGATGGCCATTGGCATGTTGTCTTCTGAGGAATATCTATTTAGCTACTTTGCCCATTTTTTAAATTGGGTTGTTTTCTTATGATTGTTTGAGTGTGTTATTTTAGATAGAATTTCAAAAAGTACTTCCACTATTTAACTGGATGAACCTTTATTGTTTAATTTTTGCTTAAAGATGTGAATATTTACATTTATTAAAGTTTTTATATTTTACTATGCAAGCATATTCTTTACAGAAAACCAGTGAGATATAGCTAATTATGCTTCTCAAATTTAAAATGCTGTAATGGTTTAGATTTTAATTTCAAGGAGTAATCACTCCCAAACACACCTAGAAATCTTGTTTTCAAAGTTCATAGATATCCTCTAATTTTAACTTTTAGAATTCAAGATTTCCATTTCACCTTGCTTACGTACATCCTGATGTTTGTTAATGTCTAAGTTGCCTTCTTTATGTTTAAATTAATATTCTTCACAGTATTATTAAAAATAGTTTAGCAGTACACTATCCAGGTTAAATGATAAAATATTTGGATTCAAGTATCAGATGCCCATATATTTCTTAATTTATTATAAATTATTTTAAATTTATTATAAATTATTAAATCTTCTTTTTTTTTTTGTAGGCGCTTTGTTTAATGGCATTACCATTTATTCCTGCATCGAACCTTTTTTTTCCAGTTGGATTTGTTGTTGCCGAGCGAGTATTATATGTTCCCAGCATGGGGTTCTGTATTTTGGTAGCCCATGGATGGCAGAAAATATCAACAAAAAGGTGAATTTAAATGTCAGTTCATGTAATGCTTACTATGGAATTAAGTGTGACACATTTTAAAATTTAAATATTTAGTTCAGTTTTCTAAGTCATGCTTTTGTATCTTTTGGTTTTTCATCTCCATAGTCTCCTCATTTGTCTTGTAAGTCAAGTTAGGAAAGCTCCATGGCACCTACTTATTCTGTGTTCTTCCCTATATTTATGTAATTTGATTTTACAGCCTGAGACAGAACAAACTTTGAGTCAGATCCAAATGAAAACAAGGATGTTACTGAGAATAAAGTCTCAAATGACCATTGCCACTTCCATATTCAGTGAACTAAGATAATAGTCATCCTACTTAAGTGAGTCATATTGAGTTAATATATATAAAATGCATATAGTAAGCAATCTGTAATTTCTTGCTATCATCACTATCTTCATTATAATCTTTGTATCCTAGTTGCCTCAAACTAACAGTTAAGGAACAGCATAGTCACACTGTATATATGCTTAGGAACTATAATTGTTATAGGTATTATCTCATTGTATACTTATGCTGTGGCACTAAAATTATCAAATCAAGCAAATTGTTAAAGGTCAAGTAATACTAATGTAATAATATTGAGTTTGCAACTTGAAAAAGAAATAGTCACTTCTTTCACTTTCCTATTTTCCAGTCATCCCTCACCCCACAGAATTCTGACTTCTCTCCACTTCACCCTTAAGCATATAACAAAGTGCCTCCTAGTAGCTAAACTAAGTCAACTCTTTTAATTTAAAGTTTATTTCCCTAGTGTCTGTAAAAAGTATTTGTCCTGATTAATTCTTCTGGCTGCACCTGCTCTTTGAATATTTACATTTTTCAAAGTCTTATGGCCACTTTTTTCACACCGCATGTGTTCCACAGATAATCTCATCCCTGTCTGCAATATTTAACTGCCATCTACCAAACCTGTTCTCTTAGCTTTTACCCATATATCCATTTATAATCACTACCCATTTTTGAATGCCTGCCATGTACCAAGGGCCATGATAGACACTTTAGATTTCTTTTCTCATTTAATCTTGACACTTCTTAAGTCTGCTTTGCAGATGTGAACATTGAAGCCATATAGGTTATCCAAGATCACACAGCTAGTAAATAACAGTCTTGTTTCAGATTCACATCTGACTGCTTCCAATGACCATGTTCTTTCACATCCATACTTGTGTGTTCTAGTTAAGTGGATCTATCAAAATGAAATAAATTAAACCATGTTACAGGAACAAAAACACAGACTCAGAGACTATTAATACTAAACAAGATCATAAAGATTATAGGTGAAGAATTGAGCCCTCAAATAATTAACCTAAAGTTGTATAAGTAATTTGCCTCTGTTTAATGAAGAGTCACTTTTACTATGCCTGTTAATAGACAATTCTAGCTTTACAATAGAGAAATAAACCAAAAATATCATGATAGTCTTGGTATAAATTGTAAGTAAAACATTTTCAAATGTGATCAGTGATAAGGTTGACCCCTTTCTAAACTCAATTAAGAATACTCAGTTGTAGAAAATGGCACAAAGGACTGTAAGTGTAAAAAGTCACGTTTAAAAATTGGTTTTTTCCATTTTTTATCATTTATTTTAAACAGAGCTTTTGAAATATAGCCAATATTAGCATATATAATGTAATTGACTGGAAGGTCATATTCACAGTATTTAATTTTTTTGGTGTTGTATCCTCTAAAGTTGGGTGTTCATTAGAATGAATTAGAATAAATTAACATATGATATTTTAGGAGCATTTAAGATACTTCTTACCTCTGTTCTAAAAGGTAAAATGCTTTTGGTGATGAAGACAATTTTTTTTGTTTTGCTTTTTTTCTCTTAAACAGTGTATTTAAAAAGCTATCCTGGATTTGTCTGTCTATGGTGATACTCACTCATTCCTTAAAAACATTCCACAGAAATTGGGATTGGGAGTCTGAATATACATTGTTTATGTCAGCCTTGAAGGTAAAGTGTTGTTCAGAATGACAGGAAAGTATGTCATCAGTGATTTCTTGGAACAATTTCTAAGCTGTTTTAACTTTGTTTTTAATTAGACATTTAACAGTCAATATTAAGTACTTTACTAAAAGATTAATGAAAATAATTTGTTGTTTAACATAATGCCATAACCAAATGCTCTGAATAATACTTAGCTATATGTCCAAAGCATATATGATAATTCCCTAAATGCTATACAGTTATTGGAAGCTCAAATGACACAATGTTTAAATCAGAATACTATATTTCATTGGTTCTAAAGGTGCTTATATTTTTCCTTTTTTATATCTCTGAAATCAAATAAGTCTTACAGTGAAAAGCATCTTAAATTAGTGGCCTTTTTTCTCTCTTAATGGTACTTAAAATAATGATGTTATAATCGATGGCATCAATTCAGTAAAATAAAATGTACAGCGAAAAAAAAAAGGCACCCAATGATGTGGAAGATAACCAGTGGTTACAATACTATCAGAAAGATAAGAATTGGCAGAAAGAAAGGATCAAGATTTCTATAGAATGGACATTATAAATCGGAAAAAGGTCTTTTAAAAAACAAAAATTTGTTTTCTTTAAAGGTTATCCGCAAAGATTTTTTCAAGCTCTCCCTTACCAGTACCCCTCTTCAGATATCTGAATTTTTACTTCCTTTGGACTGTTTCTTAACTCTTCATTACTTAGCTTTATTGGATTGCTGCTTCATTCCAGTGGTCTGTGTGATTTCTTGGTTCCCCATCTCCCTAAGATCAGATGAGTCTCTTCTTATACAACTCAGTAGCTCTACTCTCTCTCCCAACTCAGAAGTCTGCCAACAAGTGAGACCTCATTACCATGCTTATTAATCCATACTCCTAGGATACCAGTGGAGCCCCATAATTTTCCAGAATTTTGCTTATACTCACTCCCAGGACAGTGGTTGGAACCTATAGCCACAACGACTGCAATTAGTTCCTTGGCTAGGTGTCATCTATCTGCAAGAACACTACGGCAATCTGCGAACTCTGAAAGCACAGATTGACTCAGAGCTTTAATCTCAGGTTTTCCATTACCATAATGGACTACATAAATAATTTTAAATATGTCAAGTCTAAAAATAAGTCATCAGTGCAACATTTAAACATATTCTCATGTTCCAGTGCTTTTGCTCCTAAAAATACAAATGGCAGAGCAGAAGTTTTGAAACACCACTGTGCTTTCATCAAATAACATTTTCAGTAAAATGTTAATATATAACGTGAATGAAATAAGACACTGCTGTGGTTTTAGTATGTTGGTGTTCAGGTTCAGGGAGAGTAAATTTGGTGAAGCAGTCTTTATTTGACTCCTGTGTCATCCCCAGAGACATTTCCATAGAACATTATTTTCTTAATAGTATACCAAACAAATATCTGTATGAACTGGAGTCATTTTTTTTTAATTGTAACTTTTTCTATCTGTGCTTGTATTTAAGGTAAATAAAAATAATGCCAAACTTTGGAATAATGTGGGTCATGCTCTGGAAAATGAAAAGAACTTTGAGAGAGCTTTGAAATACTTCTTACAGGCTACCCATGTTCAGCCAGGTAAGCATTATTAACTAATAAAATCATGAATTTTATTTTTTAAAAAGTTTTGATTATCCTTGGGGGAAATAAGGTAGTTTATTTACTAGCTTTATTCTGAGTGACTTGAATACTAGAGTTCAGTGCTTATTTTGAACTGGATTACATATAACAGCCACTTAATATCAGACTCTGTTACCAGGCTGGTGGCTCACACCTGTATTCCCAGCACTTTGGGAGGCTGACACAGGAGGGTCACACCAGGAGTTCATGACCAGCCTAGGCAACAAAGCAAGATCCTGTCTTTACAAAATAAAAATTAAAAAATTAGCCAGGCATGGTGGTGTGGGCATGTAAACTCGGCTACTTGGGAGGCTCAGGTGGGAGGATTCCTTGAGCCCAGGAGTTCAAGGCTGCAGTGAGCTATGATCACATGATTATACCACTGTACTCCAGCCTGGGTGACAGAGTGAGACTGTGTCTCAAAAACAAACAAAAACATTTATGGATTTTTTCTTAACATAGAGTTGTTGTGTGGCATGGATATGGATAAGCAGTTTTGGTGGAATGATGGGTGCAAAAGCCTGATAGTAGTGAGCTTAAGAGAATGGGGAAAGAATACTTGGAGACAATTCGTATAGAAAACTCTTTTGAAGGGTGTTGATAAGAAATGGTGGCAGTGCTGGGTATGTGGTCAAGAAAGGATGGTAAGATAAGAGGGTTTTGGCTTTTTTAAACCAGTTTGGGCCAGACACAGTAGCTCAAGTCTGTAATCCCAGCACTTTGGGAGGCCAAGGTGGGCAGATCACTTGAGGTCAGGAGTTTGAGACCAGCCTGGGCAACATGGTGAAACCCCATCTCTACTAAAAATACAAAAATTAGCCAGGTATTGTGGTGGGCGCCTGTAATTCCAGCTACTTAGGTGGCTGAGGCACAAGAATCGCTGGAACCTGGGAGGCAGAGGTTGCAGTGAGCCAAGATCGCACCACTGCACTCCAGCCTGGGTGACAGAGTGATATACTCTGTCTCAAAAAAAAAAAATAGTTACATGTTTTTCTGTTGCAACTTTTTAGCTATAATAGTGATGGCATAGACATGGAAAATTCTGTTAAATAGGATTAAAGTTTTTTCAGTTGTGTATTACTCATCAAGAAAGGGTTTAAGGAGTGAATAAATGATGAGCCACAGAATCTAAGCTGGTTAAGAAGGGATGTGAGAGAGGATGAGGGATGGAGGAAAGGTAACAAGATCAGTGGATCTGAGGAATTGTTGGTTTCTGAGTAGGATGTAGCTAGAGCAGCAGTATTTTTCGACAGGAGTGCTATTGGCGTTTTGAGTGCAGAACTGTATTACAGGATATGTACTAGACATGGCCCCCCATCCACCAAATGCCATCATTATTTTCCATTCAGAGTGATGACCAAAAAGAAACCCCTGCACATTACTAAATATCCTTGAAGGGGTGCAGAGTGTCAGACACTGTTGTTTTTTTCTAGTAAGTACAACTATGACCACTGCACTAACTGGCTAAGGTAGAAAGGAGGTGAAAATCATTTGGAAAAAAGGTCATCAAGACCACAGTATTCAAAGATTAATATCTATATGGATTATGAAATCACTAAATCATTAAGAATTTTGACAAAAGTAATGTTAGAGAAAGCAACAGGGAGCCAGGGTCTGTGATCCAGGAATCAAAGACTACAACACTGATAAGAATAGCAGATAATAGAGTTAAATTACAATCAGACATGAGTATGGTAAAAAGGAGAGAGAATTGTCCAAAAATGGCAACATGGATCAAGGAAGAAGATACCTGTTCTTCCCCCAGGCCCAGTGTGGCAAAGGATAGAAAAGAACACAGTCACCACTTGAAAGGGCTAAAGGTAACCATGTCTCCAAAACAAAGCTAAGTTTCAATTAGAGAAAGGTGAAGAAAAAGTTGTGAAAATATAACTGATGGTCTAGCCTTTCAGTTTTATCTCTCTTAGCCCTTCATGTAGTTTAGTTTTTCTTGGAATGTGGGATTAATGTCCTGTACTTCCTTACTTCTTTGCCTTTATTTTCTTCCTTGAGACTAGAATTTCTCCCTTCTCCCTTTCCTCCCATTTTCCAGTGACTTCTCTTGTAAAAACTCTTCCTATCTTTCCAGCTGTAAGCAAATAGTTTTCATATGTAAAACCCCTTAACTTCCTCTGTATCTTTCCTATATTTGTAATTTTCTATTTAGTGCTATATTTTATTTATTTAAATACAAATTTATTTAAAATATTTATTTATTTAAACTGTGGAGCTTCCTTGGGGTAGCAGGAACATCTGATTCATTTTTGTACCCCTGCATCATCAAGTAGGGTCCTATACGCAGTCAGCAGTCTCTAAATATTTTAATTAATTACTTTCTTAAGTCTTGAGATGTGCAATGCATGGATTAATTATATTCTAAGAGTTTTTAGAGAAGCAGCCATCTTTGATTGTCAGGCACACAAGGGCTTTGAGACTGAGATGTTACTTAGGCCCCTCAGACTCTTCTTTCTTGTTTCTAAAATGGGATAGTAATTTCTGTCTCACAGTATTGTTGTAAATACTAAGTTAAGTGTGTGTGGGGTGTGTGTACACATTCAGTTTTGTCTAGTGAATAGTGTGCCTATCACAGGATGTTGCAGACATGGACACTCAGTTTTTAAATAATTTTTCCCCCTCATTGTCAATTGTCACTAATTGCTGTTTTTGAGATATTTGCTGAACCTTTCTTCAGTTTGACTTCACTATCACACTTTGAGAATTGCTGTTTCTATTAATCATAAGCCATGAGATAGGAAAACAAGTAAACCAGTTTATTATATTATGAATAAAGCGTTTTTTAAACTTAGAAATATTGAATGTGGCATCTGAGGTTTCTTGGCTTATTCCATGTTTTTTTAAGCTGTATTCTTCCTAGATGGGTTTGACAGATGAAATGACATGTTATTTTACTGTATCTTAGATAGTTTAGACGGGGCAAGACAGTGACCAGGATAAGGTTAAGAGGGACAACTAGTGTGATGGTTAGTTAAAAGTTTGGACTCTGGCATCAGACCTTTTCTCAAATTTAGTTCAATCACTCTAAGTTTTCTATCTATAAATTTGGAGTAATAATACCTCCATTCTTTTGTATGGGTTATGTTAAATACTGGTTATATAAGACTTAGGCCAGTTTCTAGGCAATAATGTATATTCAATAAATATGAGCTGGTAAGTATTAATGGCATTATTTTCACTGGAGCCAGGAAAGGAGGTTGCTGAGTCTGTCCTGCAGACTCTGGCTGAGTGATGGATGAAAGAGGTATGCTGACACAGGTATTTTGCCTGACAGTGTGGCTAGGAGACTGCACAGCTTAGCACCGCCAATGAGAGAGTGCAGCAGCCACCAAGAGAGTGCAGCCCCCGTAAGCAGGCCCCGGTCGCATTTATTTAATACAGATTTAATGACACAGGCTTGGAGCAAACACAATTTGTGGGTAATAAACATTGTCAACCCCCGGAGTAGAGAGCAGTCCTGTGCGCAAATGATCAAAGATTGGTTTCTGGAGACAGGAGTAAACAAATTTATCTAGATAAGTTCCTTTACATTCCCTTGTTATCTACCCTTTGCTCTCAGGCTCTGGATAAGAGAATCTGGCTGCCTTCAGCCATAATTCTCTTCTGAAGCTTTTGCAAAACCTCCTGGCCTTCCAAAAAGATTTGCATCTTTCCCTATAACTTTTTCTTACAACTTTTCCCACTACCCTGACCGAACTCCTACATCTCACCCTTTTCTGTTTTTTGCATCAGGTTTTGTTGATTGAAGAGTACAGATGTGTGCAGCAACAGGTTTGTCAGGCACAGCAGTTAACACTCGTATTCCGGCTTTGCATCCTAGAATTAGTAAATAACATAAGACAAACATGAGTATAATCAGTAATATTCTTTTCCAATTAAGGAGTGACATGTAGTGTTACTTGGCACCTCAGTCCAGTGTGTGTCATTACTAAGGAACCCCACTGGGGGTATGTTAATCCCTCCTAGCCAAGCAGTTACGTTATTAGAGGCCGGGAAGGGGGTGTCTGCCCAGGTAACAGGGTGAAAGAAAGGCGGATTTAGAAGATGGGCCTAATAGAGAGTAGCAGGTACAGATAGCAGGAAAAGTGAGAGAATAAGAAAAACCAATGTCCTATGAGAGTTGTAATGTACAACAGAAAGCATAGTAAGGAACAAATTATCTGGAGTGAATGGTGTCTGTGTCCAGAACAGGATTCCCTCAGCCTCCTGAGTTATCTTCTTCAGCATCCCGCAGGTAATGTTTGGGGCTTGTGTCATTCAAGAAAACCGCATCTTCTGGGGCTGCAGGTGCTGCAGGGTCGTTTCCTTCATTTCTGGTACCAGGTTGGGTCCTAGCGACACCATAGTATGGTTTGATGCATCATGCTGGAATCCATAGAGGACTTGAGGGGGTGTGAACACAAGCATATTCTCTTCCCCATGTCAACAAATCATTTGGACCACACCATACATTACTATTTACATCTTTCCATAAAACCACAGGTTTTATGTTTTGAAGAACTTTAGTGAAATGCTTTTCTATGGCTGATTGAAATTTATCATCTAAATTTTAAAAATTAAGGGTAAATAAGGCTTGTGCCAATAGTGTTGCAGGATCCTTACTCATATTCCCCCTTTTTAGTTTCTTGAGCATATTTTTAAGGGTAGAGTGGACACGTTCTACTATGGCCTGTCCTTGAGGTTATAAGGGATACCTGTGGAATGTTGGATGTTCCACGTGTGACAAAATTGTTGACATTGTGAGCTGGCATAAGCCAGACCATTATCAGTTTTAATTTTTGTGGGCCACCCCATAAACACAAAAGTTAAGAGAAAATGTTTAATAACATATTGGGAGGACTCTTCAGGAAGAGCATGTGTGCTAATTAGGTGAGAATTGGTATCAATGGATACATGTATATCTAAGTTTTCCAAATTCAAGGATGTGAATAACATTTGTTTGCCATAACCGATTAGGTTCTAGTCCTCTAGGGTTAACACCTGTTGAAGGAGGAGACATGCCTGTGAGTTGGCAATGTGGGCATTGTAAAATAATTTGTTTAGCTAGTCTTTGGGTAGGTTGAAATTGTTTAGTTAAGTTTCTTCAGTTTTGGTGGAAAAATTGATGCAATTGGGTGGTTTGGTCAAGCAGTGACGTCATAACTTGCAGGTCTGCTTGTTCATTGCCATAAGCCAGTGGGCCAGGCAGTGAGCTGTGGGCTCGAGTATGTGTGTTAAAAATAGGATATGTACATTGATCCAGCAATTGCTGAAGTTGAAGAAAAAGTGTACACAGGTGGGCTCGAGAGTGGACTTAATGAGGGCTGTCTTAAGCTTCTGTAATAAATAGAGTAAGCAGAGTCATTAACAATATTGATAAGCTGAGCAGAAAAGGTCTCCAGGGCCAATATTAAGGCTCCAACCTCAGCTCTCTGAGTGCTGGTAAATCCAGAACAAGTGAGGGAATTATGCAGTTTCCACCAAATAGCCACTTTTCCATTTTTACCAGAGCCATCAGTGAAAAGCGTTAAAGCATTGGGTATGGGGGAGTGAACTACTTGTGTAGACACAACTACAGGAGTACGAGAAAAGAACTGAAGTAGTTTGTCAGCAGGAAGGGCATGCTCTGCATGGCCTGCATAATTAGAGAGTGCTATCTGAAGATCTAGAGATAGGGGCAATATTGCTTCGAGTTGCTTTTTACTCAAAGGAATTCTTATGACATCAGGGTCATAACCTAGAAACTGATTGCATCATCTGCAGCCTGTATAGGTGACTTTACTAACTAGCTGGATATAGGGAGATAGTGTTTTAGTCCCAGTACGTGAGCAAAAAACCCATCCTAGGAAGCATAGCCCTGGGGCTGTCTGTCCTATTAATCCTGTTGGGGAATGTTTAGTAGGGAAAACAAACAATTGAACTGAATATTGCAGGTCTGTGCAATCTAGTTACCTCTGAGAAACAGCTTGCTCTATTTTTTCAATTTCCCTTTTTGCTGCAGGAGTTAAATACCTGAGAGAGTCTAAGGCTGTATTGCCCTTTAGGATAGAAAACAGGTTATGTAACTTATCAGTAGTTATGCCCAAGATGGGGCAAAGCCAATTAATATCGCCCAGTAATTTTTGATAATCATTTAAGATATGCAAGTTGATAGTATTTAATTTAACCTTTTGAGGTCTAACTGACCAGGAAGTTAGTATGTATCCAAGATATTTTCAAGGAGAAGACAATTGTACTTTTTCAGGTGCTATGACTAAACCTCTTAGCTATGTATTCTTTACGACAGAGGCTTATAAACTTAAAAGTACTGGCTCCGTTGGGGATGCTAGTAAAATATCATCTATAAAATGAATAATCTTGTATTTAGGAAATTCTTTTCTACTTGGGAGCAAAGCCTGATTTACATGATACTGACACATGGTAGGACTGTTCAGCATCCCTTGAGGAAGCACTTCCCAATGAAATCAGTGAGCTGGCCTTTCATTATTGATAGCTGGTATTGTAAACACAAATTTTTCTCTGTCCTGTTCTGCAAGGGGAATAGTACAAAAACAGTCCTTTAAGTTCATAATGACTACAGGCCAATCTTGAGGAATCGCCACGGGGGAAGGGAGACCCTGTTGAAGGGGCCCTATAGGTTACAAATTAGCACTGATAGCCCGTAAGTCATGCAGAAATCTCCATTTGCCAGACTTTTGGGAAATGATGAAAATGGGCGAATTCCAAGGGCTGTTTGACGGTTCTGTATGGCTGGCTTTTAATTGCTCCTCAACTAATTCATGGGCCAACTAATTCATGGGCTCTTTGTAATTTTTCTCCCTTTAAAGGCTACTGTTCTACCCAAATAGGATTTTGAGAGAGCCATGTCAGGGGGAGGAGAGGAATAACAGTGGCCATTATTAGAAAGAGGTCTGCAGAATGACCTCAGTTAACCCTCTCATAAATGGGCTAGCAGCTGTTTTCTTTAATGCTTTTCCTTATCTCTTTATAAGTGCCGAAAGTAATGAGTTCATATACCCCATTGCCTTGTTGATCTTGCATTGCCAGGCAGGCTAAGAGCTCCCCTTCTAATGCTGCTACCTAAGACAGGGTCCCATAGCTATAGTGTATCCCTTGTCTTTCTTCCAATTTATTGGAGGAGGGGCCTCAGGCAAAACCTCTGTTTCCCCTTTGGTATTTTTGCCCTTTACTGGTGGGGCTGAGGGAGAAGGAGGAGGCGGTAAGGTAGGTGACGGTTTCTCCTCCCTTCCCTTTTTAGGTTATTCTGTGTAGTGCGGGACCAAAGCAGCCCTAACTAAGGGCCATAACATTAGAGATGCTACTGGGACCTGATATCCTTGGGCATGATGTTAAGATTTCTCCACACTTGTTCTCAGAGCCCTATGTCTAGCATACCTTCTTCTGGGAACCATGGGTTATGGGAAACAGCAGTTTGCATTATGTCCCTTAATTGAGCCTGCGAAACTGGGGCTCCACTAGCTTTAAGCAGCTGTTTCAGTACTTTTATATACTGTTTCTGTTGAGCTGACAACCACTGTCCCATGATGAAACCCTAGCCTGAACAATTCCCTCGAACTTGGAAATCCCAAGCGGGCACCAATGACTTACTGTGCAGTCTCTTAACCTTCGTTTTTGAGGGTTCCATCGCAATCCATTGCAGCCTTCCTCACACGGGGCACCACCTGCCGAGTCTGTCCCACAGACTCTGGCCGAGTGATGGATGAAAGAAGTACACTGACACAGGAATTTTGCGTGACAGCGTGGCTAGGGGACCGCATGGCTCAGCACCACCAACAAGAGAGTGCAGCAGCCACCAAGAGAGTGCAGCCCCCCTAAGCCAGCCCTGCTAGCATTTATTTAGTTCAGATTTAATGATAAAGGCTTGGAGCAAACACAATTTGTGGGTAATGAACATTGTCGACCCCCCAAGTAGAGAGCAGTCCTGTGCATGAATAATCAAAGGTTGATTTCTAGAGAAAGGAGTAAACAAATTTATCTAGATAAATTCCTTTACATTCCCTTATCTACTCTTTTCTCTCAGACTCCTGATAAGAGAATCTGGCGGCCTTCAGCCATAATTCCCTTCGGAAGCTTTTGCAAAGCCTCCTGGCCTTCCAAGAAGGTTTGCATCTTTCCCTATAACTTTTTCTTACAACTTTTCCCACCACCCTGACCAAACTCCTACAGGAGGTGGCAAAAAAGTGATGTATAATGCAGGGAAGAAGGCTGAAAGAGAATGGATAGCAAATGGCTCTGTAGGTATATTTGTTCATTGGGCACGTATTTGAGAATTTACCATGTGTCAAGACACTGTTTTAAGTGCTGGGGAATCCAGAAGAAATAAAACAAATTTCCTCCCTTCGTGGAGTTTCCATTCTAAATAAAGGCATAAACATAAGTAAACAAATACACACCACATGTAAATATATATATATATACACACACACAAAATATATATATACACACACACATATGCATGCACATGTGTATTTATATGAAAGTGATAAAAGCTATAAAAAGGGCATAGAGATTAGAAATTTTCAGAGAAAGTCTCTTCGAGATGATAATAAACAGAGCAACCTTCGCACATATACTCTGGTGTAATTTTAAGTATCACTGGCTATGCAGAAAACAGTGAAGAAAAGCAGGAAGATCATTTAGAAGGCTTTTGCAGTAACCCAAAGACATGATTGAGTTGTAATTTTTTAATAGCAATCTTGAAGTACATGTGACATACAATAGACTATACATGTTTAAAATACATAATTTGATAAGTTTCGGCATATGTATATTATCTGTGAGACCATAATTACAATTAAGATACTGAAAATATCCATCAACCCCTCAAATTCCTTGGATCCTTTTCTGATACCTCCCTCTTACCCCTTTTCACCCCAGCCTTCTCTAAGCAAAAGCTTTCTATCACTACAGATAATGTGCTTTTTCTAAAATTGTGTATGAATGGAATTATACTCTATGGACTCTCTCTTTTTTTTTTTTCTTGGCTTTTTTACTCTGCACAGTTATTTTGATACTCATTCATGTTGTTGTATGAATCAAAAACCCATACCTTGGTATGGCTGAGTAGTATTCCTTCACGTAGATATACCACAGTTTGTTTATCCATTTACCTGTTGATGGATGTTTGGATTGTTCACAGTTTGGAGCTGTTACAAACATGGCTGTTACGAACATTCATATACCAGTCTTTATGGATATATGTTTTCATTTCTCTTAGGTAAAAACCTGAGAGAAAAATGGCATGGTCATATGATTTCTGTATGTTTAACTTTTTAAAGGCTGCTAAATTATGTTCCAAAAAATGTATTTCCCACCAGCAGTATAGGAGAGCTCTCCTGCCTTTCTTAATTCTTCATTTGCTGAGAATTTTTAACACAAGTAAATGTTGGATTCTGTCAAATGCTTTTGTGCACCATTTGAGATGATGATAAGGTTTTTATTTTTTTTGTCTGTTAATACAGTGGATATCATCAATTGATTTCATAATGTTAAAACAACCTTGCCTTCAGTAATACACAATTTGATTGTGACTTATTATCTTTATTATATTTTATTTGTTAAAATGCTATTAGTAATTTTTACATCTATATTTATGAAGGATAGAGAGTTCCTAGGAGATTCCAGATATTTATAAATTTATTTTTTTAAATAAATTGATAATTTTGTGGACAGGAAATACTGAAACTCTACATAATTGCCTAAGCCATCAATGTGAGAATACTTCACTGTTGGGCAGCTAATATTTCACTGTTGGGCAGCTGTGTATTAGTCATACACAGTTGCCTGAAAACTTCCCAGCCACATCACATTTGCATCCCTAGGCAGGATGACTGAGATCATATGTGAACCAGTGTCTAATAACTACTGTCATTTCAAATAAATGGTGACTGTAAACCTGTGTACACAGGTGTTTGTTACTATTAAAAACACATGCAAACATTCATGCAGGTAAGTTGATAACCTTTAGCAGTGAGGTAAGTTCCCTTCTAAACAAAGTTCCTTTGTTTTCCTAGTGAAAATATGATATTAGAGATGTGAGGAGAGATAAGAAATGAAAGAGACTCAACTAGGATTCTGGAAAAATTAACTGATTATAGAAACCTAGTATTGACAAACTGAGACTACATTTGAGATTTGTGAGGTCCTCATTTACCATTGAATTAAAAGCTAGATTGTTAACTCATGCTGCTGTTGTTTTGGATAGGTACTGGTAAGAGTGGGCTTGTTCTTTGAAGTTCCTTTAGTTTCTTTAGTCATTTAAATGTCATTGATTTTTTACATCTTGCCTTCTTTTCTTACCTTTTGTTAATACTTAAATTTATCTTAAAAGTGATACTATTTTACCCTCTAGAATCTTAAAACTTTGTAAATTATAAAGAATTGCTTAGAAATTAGGTCTTTCATTTTATTAGCTGTATTGAGTGGCCTTTTTGATGCTAAACAATATCTAATTGCATCTCTGCTCTTTGAAAACATAGGGCTGCTATACTCTAGTGTCTGAAGTCTACATTAATGACAATATCTCCTGGCCTTAATTCTAAGAGCATGATTTCAATGGATAGTAATTCACCTCATTTTTTATCTAAGTATATAACCTCTTTCTTTTCTAACATTGGTTGGGGATAATTTCAATAACATTTTAAATACTCAGCTGGCATAATTACAGTTTTATTTTAACAAATTTTCAGTTTATTCTTAAATTCTTAGTGTATAATTTTTTCAGGTTCTATGTACCTTAGCTTTTCCTAAATAACATTCTGAGCTCTATAAACATATGGTATGGATTTATCTGGTAAAAAAAAAAAAAAAGATATAAAAGCAAAGACTACCCCATATTTTTAATTGACAATAATAGTACATATTCATGGGATATATAGTGATGTTTTGATACATATAATGCAAGCAAATACCCTGATCTAATCACTATACTGCATATTTTATATGCAATTGGATAATACAATGATTTTCAGCCCTGATTCTACATCAGAATTGCCTTTGACACTTTTTATGAACATATTTTTGCAGATTTCATTTCTGAACATTATGTTTTGATGGACCTAGGTGGGGCTGAAGTATCTGACTTTTTTTTAAACTACACAGGTATTCTGATTTGCAGCCAGAATTAAGAATGGCTAGCTTAAACGTTTTTTTTGCTTGACCCCTCCTGGCTCCATGAGACTCAGCAATACATCTAAAAAGAAAAAAATCTACTTCCTTACTCCTAAACTTATCTATAATCAAACCTGGACCGCATCTGCCAGTTTTTGTGCAGTGCACACAATTGCCAGCCTAAAACATTATATAGCAAGTTCTTAGGACTGTTACTCAGGGAATGCCCAAGATATATATGCTTGGCCCCTATGTGTCCTAGGAGTTGCAGGCAAAGAATTATTGCACAATTGCAAAATAATTGGTATCACAAGGCAAGTAGTAATCATAATGAACCTTTTCATGTATTTTAGTTCGTGTTGAGTATAAACTGTCTGATTTAAGATCTTCTACCTTCCTTCTATCATTATTCCAAACCTTTGAAATATTTACTGGCAAGTATATCTTTTTAAAAAGCTACTGTACAATGAATCCTCATCTCTTTCCTATTTCAGCTACATTTTTTTTCCTATCCCTGAATAAATTTGCTGGGATTTTTACTTTCCACATCAGAAAATGAGACATAAGTTCCTGACATTCTAAAATTAACACAACCTTTTAAAAAAATCTAAAATTAATTTTAAGGAGTTAATTATCATTTAAAAGAGCTGGGCCACTGCATCTTAAGTAATACTATTATCATTATGTTCCATTATACTCTCATTCTAGCCACAGTCACAAAAATTTTTAAAAATCGAATGGCAAAGTTTTTTTTCAGTCTCTTTGCCCCTGTTCCACCATGATGCATATTTGTTATAACACTTGAAATAATTCTAAAAATCCTGATGATTCATTTTACTTGTAGAGTTGAGCTGTACCTTTTGAGTGAATTCCTAAGCTATGAGATTAAGTAAATGGAAGCAAGCTTTAGTGTAGTAAAATACAATGAAGGAAGGTAATAAAAATTTCTTCATTACCTTTATCTCTGGAAGCAAGCTTTAGTGTAGTAAAATACAATGAAGGAAGGTAATAAAAATTTCTTCATTACCTTTATCTCTCTTATGTCTCAACTCTTCAAAAATCCATTCAAATAGTTTTTTCATGCCATGTATGTATTTTCTGTCTTTACATGCTTTAAGTAATTTTGTGTATACCATTGGTTTTAAGTTATAACAAGTTAAATTACAAGAACTTTAAGGAAGAAGCAGGACCTGTTGCCTGCTTTTGCATTTTTGCCTAGTGTGTTTGTTTCTGGAAATATGTCTTCTCATTAGTTACATTGAATACTTGTTTATATATCAAATACATTTAATCATTTCATTGAGTATATTGAATATATCAGTTGTATACTTGCCAACAAATGATTGTTTTAAAATTTTAGATGATATTGGTGCCCATATGAATGTAGGAAGAACTTATAAAAATTTAAATAGAACCAAAGAAGCTGAAGAATCTTACATGATGGCTAAATCACTGATGCCTCAAGTAAGTTGCCATAATTTATCTATTGTGTCATATCTATTAGATGTCCATATTGAATAGAATTATCTAGAAGGAAAATCTTTATCTTTTCTTCAGTTAGTTGATATAAAAGTAAGTTTTATAAAGAATTACATTTTTCTAGCTTACTTAATTTTTTTTTTTTTTTTGGAGACGGAGTCTTGCTGTATTGCCCAGACTGGAGTGCAGTGGCACGATCTCAGCTCACTGCAACCTCTGCCTCCCAGGTTTAAGTGATTCTTCTGCCTCAGCCTCCCAAGTAGCTGGGACTACAGGTGCCTGCCACCACACCCGGCTAATTTTTGTATTTTTAGTAGAGACAGGGTTTCACCATATTGGCCAGGCTGGTCTCGAACTCCAGACCTCGTGATCTGCCCACCTCAGCCTCCCAAAGTGCTGGGATTACAGGCATGAGCCACTGCGCCCGGCCGTAGCTCACTTAATTTTAAAAATTGTTTTTATAGTCCATTTGTAAAAACTAAATTCATAAAGTATGAATTTTAGATATTCTTGATTATGAGTTATCAGCAAGTTAATGACTTTAAATAAATATAATTTTATTTATGTATATTAAGCATACAGTTCAACATTATTCCTATCAAAAAATAAAGTGATAAAATTAGTAGATACATCTCTTACTATATTGTGTCCATCAGTTGTTAGAATAAGATTCATTAAATATAAGGTAGTATCGAAATTGGAAGATCTTACCCTATGTCAATTTTCATGTTATCAGCAAAATATTTCTGGGTTGTGACCGTAGGATAGTTAATTTATTCCAGAATACTAAGGACTCACTTGTCTGGTGAAGTTTGGAAATTAAACAGTCTGATTATTAAGTTAAGGTTTTTATAATACATAGTATATATGGATCGAGACTTCCAGTGAACACAATAAATTAGATATGATAAAAACCAATAACAAATACAATTTAACTGTTACAGTTAAGGATTAAAATAATCCTTAAAATGTCATACAGTTCAACTTTAAAAAAAATTAACTATCCTATCACTATTAATATTACTATAAATATTATTACAATTGAGAAAACTTCAGCCCAGCTTAAGCTATTTTTTCTGAGGACATAAGACTATGCCACTAATTTTACCACTTTGTTAAAAATAAATAATAAAAATGTAAAAGAAAACACACACAAAAATGTGAATAAAAATATTTTACTTACAGTATCCTCAAAAATGTAAATAAAATAGTACTTTGTGGCATTAAGGATATATTTTTTCATTCATGCCACCTCAGTGGATTATTAGCTTTTTATTTGTATCTGTCTTTTTCTGAAGTCAAACAAATCAGAACTTTTAGAAGTCAAGGTATCTTAGGTTTAGTCAAAACAGGAGTAGAACCCTGATCTCTCAGTCCAGTGTATTTTTTACAGTATGTTCTGAGTTATTTTGAATTAGCCAATAGGAATATGTACTTTTGATTTTTGATACTGAAATATCAAATCATGAAAATGCCTTTTCTTCTAAACAGATTATTCCTGGTAAAAAATATGCAGCCAGAATTGCCCCTAACCACCTAAATGTTTATATCAATCTGGCTAACCTGATCCGAGCAAATGAGTCCCGACTGGAAGAAGCAGATCAGCTGTACCGTCAAGCAATAAGCATGAGGCCCGACTTCAAGCAGGCTTACATTAGCAGGTATCCCAGTTCAACTTTAAGCTATCATTATGGAATATTGAAACTGCATCTCCATGTACATTTTGAATGAATTGGTTTTTTTTGAAAAAAAATTATGTTTTTAATAATCTTACTTAGCAACCAAGTGCATAGAAGAGCATAACTTTTTAGACTGACAGTCAGATTTTATTGATTTGAAATTAACAAGGGGAATCCCTAACTTGTAATAGCCAACTTAGGTTTTGTATTAAGGAAAGGGTAGAAGCAGCTCTGTCTTAGTTGCATTTTCTTCCCATCACCAAAATTGTTCTTTTCCTATTTAAATTAAAACTTGAAACTTACATTTTATAATAGTTACTTCTAATATCAAACTCTCAGGAACTTTCTTGTTTTTAGAGTTGATTGGTTATTGATGCCTTTGACACAAAGAAAACATCTTGGTTCTCAGCAAAAAAAAAAGTTTTCTGGCACCACATGTTAAAACTTCATTTATTTTCTCATGTATGTGTTATCATTTGTATTACTTTTGAGGAAAAATGTGTTTTTAAACTTCGTTTTGTAGCCTGGTCCAGAAAACTAATAGTAATTTGTAACATTTTTTCCTTTGGGGAAAGTACATTCTGAATTTAAGTTTTTGAGATAAAATCTGTTTGTAAGTTGGGGTTTTCTTTGTTCCGCCGTGCCTATTGAGTTTATTAGCAGGGTTGTATCTATAAATAACACCTGTCATGTATTAATTCATAAAGAACTATTCAACAATCTCTACATTAAAAAAATAATATTTTGGACAAACATTCATTCTAGAAGTGGTTTTAATGAGAATATTAATTGTTGTTCCTTTTATTTCTGTGCTGATACTATAGGAAAGAGTAGTATTATAAGAACAACTCTCATATCACTACTTAAATATTATTTGTACATATGTAAAAATAATTCTTTAAGCAAAATTACTTTTTAAAATTTTCTAACAGAAAATAGAACCACACTAGAAAGATTTATACAATGGTTTCTTAACTGGTCCTCAATTCTAAGTGTGTTCCTCAAAGTTATCTACAGGTCAGATTAATCCCTCCCACTCTACCTGTTCAGCTTTTTTTTAGTCCTTTTTCTGTTTGTTTGTTTGTTTGTGACAGAGTCTCACATTGTTACCCAGGCTGGAGTGCAGTGGTGTGATCTCGGCTAACTGCTACCTCTGCCTCCTGGGTTCAAGTAATTCTTGTTCCTCAGCCTCACTATTAGCTGGGACTACAGGCGCGTGCCACCATGCCTGGCAAATTTCTGTATTTTTAGTAGAGACAGAGTTTTGCCATGTTGGTCAGCTGGTCTCCAACTCCTGACCTCAAGTGATCTGCCCACCTCAGCCTCCCAAAGTGCTGGGATTACAGGAACGAGCCACCATGCCCAGCATTTTTCTTTTTTTTTTTTTCTTTTTTTTTTTTAAGAATGGTCGTATTATAAGAAGACATTGATGAGGACTAAATTAATATAAGAAGGGGTTACAGATTTTTAATATTTTGGTTTTTTGCATAGTGAGCCTTCTATTATACATTCAAATATTGGAATTTCTCTTACCACTACTATATGTCATTTTTTTCTTCTAATGCTGTTATTTTGTCACCTGACAAATTCATTAATCTTTCACTCTGGCTAGCTGCCCTTTTTCTGATGCAGTTTAGTCTGTCTCCTTTTTAAGATAAAGTCAAAGAATATATTTGCTCTGTCCTCCTTCCTGGATTCCTCCTGATAGGTTGCCCTCTGAAATCAGGCATAATTTTTTTCTTCTTAAATAATATTTGAAAATATATCAAGCCAAATATACTGAACTAAGGAGTTCAGATTTGAGGACAGTTTCAAAGAGTTGTTTTCGAAAGAGAGTTTTTTAAGAGTCTGAGTTAAGAGAAAAAAAAGCTGTATGTGGAAAGGCTTAAAACTTGGCAAAAATTGTATCTACAAACTGAGATGGTAATGTTGTAAGTAAAGCTTGTGTTTGATTTTTCCACAGAGGAGAATTGCTTTTAAAAATGAATAAACCTCTTAAAGCAAAGGAAGCATATCTTAAAGCACTAGAGCTGGACAGAAATAATGCAGATCTTTGGTACAACTTGGCAATTGTACATATTGAACTTAAAGAACCAAATGAAGCCCTAAAAAACTTTAATCGTGCTCTGGAACTAAATCCAAAGCATAAACTAGCATTATTCAACTCTGCTATAGTAATGCAAGAATCAGGTATGTTTTCTCAAAATATTTCTGTTTATATAAATTGTAGTTTATAATATAATAAGACCTTAATTTAACTTTATTACCCATAGCAAACACTTTATGTATTGACAGTTTATAGCAATACTGTGCTTAACTGATTTATAGAAAGAATATTTAAAATACTTGAAGTAAACTATTTTCAAGTAACATGCATTCTAACATATGATAATACTGATTTTTAATTCTTCTGGCATGTGTTAAGACTAATTTTTCAGGCAGTCTATTAAGCAACATTAACTATTTTGTCATTTTATATACATAAACATAATGTAACTTATATATAAACTCTCCAAATAATATGAACTTGTGAAATTTTTTACATAATTGGCTGTGAGGAGCCAAGAGCATATGTTTTCAAAAAAATAGCATTTTATTTTCTTTTGATTCATAAGAGCAAATACTTTTGGCACCATTTTATATCCAGTTTTACTACGTTTTCTGAGATGTTGTAATTTTTTATATTTCCTATAATTTAGCAAAACTAAATTATTAACCACAGTAAATCTGGATCCTTCATCCATATTTTATATAGGAATTTCAGTTCTGCCTCATAAGATAGTGTATATGATTTATAATCTTTTTAATTTATAAATTAGAAAAATCTATTATAATGTTTAGTTATTTCTTAGATACATTTCGTAAAACTTTTGTAAAATATGAAAGAATCATAAAGTCGTAGTATTTTAGAGCTAAAGAGGACCTTTGAGTTTGCATTTGCCAGTCTTCTATTTAGTAGAGTGAAAACCAAATAGATTTTATGACTGCCCCAAAGTCATATGGCTAAATAGGTAACCCAAGACAAGAACTGAAGCCTCCTGATTTATTTTCAAATTTTCTTTATCCATCGTGCTGCCAAATAAAAGAATAGAGAGAAGTCTTTATGCCTGGTGTCCAAAAAAGTAGAAATTTGGAGAAAAGCTAATATTTTTGTAAGGTTTTCTACCTTGATAATCATGAAGGATGCTCATTATTCGACACAAGATTGTACTATAAGGTTTGTAATTGTAGAACTTGAACTTTTTTGTTTTTTTGGCTTTTTTTTTGCAATAGAAATTATCTCAATGGAGATTTGTTTCCTGCCAGGCAGTGGCTGATGCCTGTAATCCTAACACTTAGGGAGGCCAGGGTGGGGAGGATCACTAGAGGCCAAGAGTTTGAGAATAGCCTAGGCAACATAGTAAAACTCTGTCTCCACAAAAAATTTTAAAATCAGCAAGAAATGATGGCACATGCCTGTAGTCCCAGCTACTCGGGAAGCCAAGGTGGGAGGATTGCTTGAGCCCAGGAGTTTGAGGTTACAGTGACCTGTGGACACAGCACTGCCCTCCAGCCTGAGTGACATAGTGAGACCCTGTCTCAAAAAAAAGAAGATACATGTTTCCTAAATCCTAATTTTATAGCCCTATATTTAATGGTATGTTTTTGTCCTCGAAACATTCCTAAAACTTTGAAGTAACATTTTTTAAAATGTGATACAGTCATTCTGAAGCTTTTTTCTACCCAGTAATAGTTACTATTTGCTGAACATTTTTTCGATATACAACATACAATTATTAGAAAACTCAGTTAACCCAGAGAAGTTAAGTAACATGTTCAGTGTATAAAGTCATAATGTTATCAGAATCAAGATTGAATACATGTCTTTGTTGGCAAATCCCATGCTTCTTTTTCTGAATTCTCTATTTTCCTTCTATTTCCAATTGAATTCTAAATTATAAGAGACATTTCTCTCCTTTTGGTTTCTGAAGCACTGTTACTGCTTTAAAGGAAAAGAAATAAGCTATCTTTTTACTGTTTCAAATATTTTGCTTTTCCTATGAAGACTTCGAGATTTTTGCTTTCTACTTTTTTTAACTATGGAAATTAGTTGTTTTGAAGCTGTCTTTTTGTAATCTAAGTATTTGAAAATGGCTTTGTTCCTCACATTTAATTATTTTATTAACAATATATTTTTTCTTTAAAAAAACTTTCTAGGTGAGGTTAAACTCAGACCTGAAGCTAGAAAACGACTTCTAAGTTATATAAATGAAGAGCCACTAGATGCTAATGGGTATTTCAATTTGGGAATGCTTGCCATGGATGACAAAAAGGACAATGAAGCAGAGATTTGGATGAAGAAAGCCATAAAGTTACAAGCCGACTTCCGAAGTGCTTTGTTTAATCTGGCTCTCCTGTATTCCCAGACTGCAAAGGAATTAAAGGCTTTGCCAATTTTGGAGGAGTTACTCAGATACTACCCTGATCATATCAAGGGCCTCATTTTAAAAGGAGACATTCTGATGAATCAAAAGAAAGATATACTAGGAGCAAAAAAATGTTTTGAAAGGATTTTGGAGATGGATCCAAGCAATGTGCAAGGAAAACACAATCTTTGTGTTGTTTATTTTGAAGAAAAAGACTTATTAAAAGCTGAAAGATGCCTTCTTGAAACACTGGCATTAGCACCACATGAAGAATATATTCAGCGCCATTTGAATATAGTCAGGGATAAGATTTCCTCATCTAGTTTTATAGAGCCAATATTCCCAACCAGTAAGATTTCAAGTGTGGAAGGAAAGAAAATTCCAACTGAAAGTGTAAAAGAAATTAGAGGTGAATCCAGACAAACACAAATAGTAAAAACAAGTGATAATAAAAGTCAGTCTAAATCCAACAAACAATTAGGAAAAAATGGAGACGAAGAGACACCCCACAAAACAACAAAAGACATCAAAGAAATTGAGAAGAAAAGAGTTGCTGCTTTAAAAAGACTAGAAGAGATTGAACGTATTTTAAATGGTGAATAACATTAATATTTATCGTGACAATGGTATCAAAGAACATCAATCCGTATCATGTGATTGCTTTTACTGGGAGCTTTGAAAAAAAGTTCAAGGGTTCCTAATGGTCAATCATGAGCTGCCTTGAAGTAGGATCAAAATAAGATTTTCATTAAAGACCTGTATTATCCCAGGATGTATATTATGTATCGCTGTTTTCAGAGTGTGGGTGAATATAGCAGAAATATTACAGCGGAAGTGACAAATTTACAACTTTTATTATAGAAAGAAGGTGTTTCTGGCAATGTAATCTTTACTGCTCTCAATTAAAAATAATTTTGAGGCCTGAATGATAATCCCTTGAGGACAAATCCAACATGTGCTGGTTTATTCTGTTAATTCCCATTTATTTGCCTACTTCATTTTTCTTGCACCTCTTAGAATCTAACTATGAATTGAAAACACTTAAGTAATTCTGTTTAATCAAGGGATTTACACTACAAAAGAATGCTGGCTTTTTTTATGTTGTATTCCTTAGTTGAGTTTTAGAAGGAATGCTTGATGAAACATTTTAAAATAAGTCATGACATGTTAGCTTGAGAATGTATTTTCATAATTGTATACTTGTTTTTAACTTTAAATGTAATTTTTAATCAGGTAAAGTTTGACACATGTATAGCTACATACACACATTTTTAATGGTGCTCATATATACTGTATTTTTTGTTGTTTAGTTTTACTTATTGAGAGTGTCACAACATGAATCACATAATCATGATTTTTTTTTTTTACTTTTACTCCCCAAATTATTCATGTTTCTTAGATCGTAGTCATTGAGAAGTCCCAATAACTCTAAACTTTTGAGTTATAACGTAGTAAACTTCTCTTTCATCTTTGTGTTAGCTCTGTAGTCTTAACCTGGATTTTAATTTTTTTGTTTCCAAAGTCACAATTGAATTATTCTTAGATACCTTAAGCCACTGAATTCAGTTCTGTTTGACTGAAAGCAAAACAACGTGACAGTTTATTTTCAAACACTAACTTCTTGATATTTTGTTATGGTATATCTTTTTATTAAATATTTATTTTGACTAAGCTTTCATAAAATATTTGAAGCTATTTTAATCATCAAGTATGGAAAACAAATTACTATTGCATTTTCCTATATATGCATATATTATGGATTAACCAGAATTGTATCATTTTTGGCCTAATGTCTGGATATAAAAGATAATTAGCCTACTATAGTATTAATAAATTTTTCAGTTGGTTTGGGCAAATTTAAACCTGAAAAATAGGTTAAAAAGTAGTTACAAATTAAACTTACTAATTTATACCTGATTTTTTTTCTTGAATTAAAGTACATTTTAAATGAGCTTTATAATACCTTAAAAAGTTGGTTCTAATTTAAAATATGAAAGCTCTGGCTATCATCCTGGGATAGTAATTTCTAATTATATAGTATTTCAAAACTATATATTTTTTAGTTCCTTTGAGATAACTAATTTCTAATTATATATGTTTCAAAAACCATATCCTGTATTTTTTTTAAGAATTGTTTTATAAATAGGTCATAAGATACAAGGTCTGCATTAGAAGACCCACTCTTACTAGGTTCCCTAAGGATCTGCCATAGATTTTTTTTTTTTTTTTTTTTTTTTTAGGTAGTTTAAAGCAAGCACTGATACCAGTGGGAGTTGGTCTTGATCTAGGAGATTCTGTTAAGCATCCAAAAACAATGCCTAATTTCAGTTCTTAGGTTATGGCTTGTGACTCCAGATAAAAGATGGAGAATACCTCATGTACTGTGACTTGAAAATGAATTCTTAAAATTCTTAGGCTCTCTCCATGTATCTTTCTTAAGGAAAAGTTTCTGAGTGTGATCTCTCTTTTGCCATAGTATCAAGTGGAGGGTAGTTCAGAAAAGTTAATAGGAAATCTTTTGTGACAGCAGACTATAATAGAAGTTTGAGTAATATTTTAATAAATTTATATAATTCAAATGATAAAAATGTATCAATGTTATCCAATGATTTTTATTAAAAAATTACCTTATTATTAGAACTGTGCCTATTACATAAAAAGTGCTCATGTATTTGAATTTTAAATAATTTATTTAAATCAAGACCACCATAAGTCATTAATAATTTAATAATTGTTTTAAATCAGTGGTTTTCAACCCTCACTTCATATTAGAATCATCTGAGGACTTTTAATATGGAATCCACCTCATAACAATTAAGTCTAAATTTCTGGAAGATGGAGCCATGCTTGTTTTTCCAAAAGCTCTTTGAGTGATTCTAATTTGTAGTCAGAGTTGAAGACCACTGCTCTAAATTAGTGCAGGAAAATGCTTTTATTTCTCCCATGTTAACTTTTAAAACTAGTAATGTACCCAGTTAAGTTTTGATGGTTTAAATTCCACTAAAGAACATATTCTTCTAATAACTAGCATTTATTACATGAAATTTAAGAGTTTAAGTTCCATCAAACTAGCCCTTGTGTAAGATTATTATTTCTTCTCTATAACTTCAAAATAGATATTTCATTCAAACTGTTCAGGTGAGAAAACATAATGGATTTTTTTTTTTTTCCTCTGGAGCTGCCTGTTCAGTGAGATGGAGGAGGTGGGCACATTTAAGGTCAGTTCACTAACCTATGGTTCAGAGTTCTGATCATATGGAAGTTTGGAAAAGAGAGCTTATCACAGGTTTGTATGCTGGTGAATGGATAGTTTTAATTCTCACTGTCTCAAAAGAGAATCAGCTCTCCAGCAGTTCTAGAAAAGCTTTGACAATCCCCAAGGGGCAGTGTTACCTTACTCCTTCACTGCTTCTTAGAAGGTAGAATTAAGTTTCTGGAATTGCACCTACATGTTTTCTTATTAACATTCAGAATTGGGAATATTAATTTTTCCAGTGAGTAGTTTTCTGAAATTGGTAACTTGGAGAGTAAAATAACGTATTTTGCTTTTCAATTTTGTGTTTGTTTACTTTTATGTAAAAATTTGATATGTGAATTACACAGTTCTAATAAAACCTCATGCCTTTTCATTACATCTAATTTGAACTCTCAACTTCATGTTACAGAATGCTTTAAAGATGCTTTAATGAAAAGTATTAAGAAAATATATAGATTTGTATGTCAGTTTATACTTCAGAAATCCATATATTTGTCATATTTATTTTTTTAGAAACCTCCTAATTGGATAACTAGATGGTATTTAAAATGAATGCCCAAAAATATCTTGTACCTTTGTCCAAAAGTTTATCTGTTGGAAGCCGCCAGCCATTCATGTAGAGAGTTTATAAGAAAATAATTTAAAATTGTATGCATTTTATATTACTATGGTATCTGTGTACCATATTTCTAAGTATTCATTATTAAATTGGTACTTCTTAAAACCATAACCTGGCTTGCCTTTTAGTGTTAAAAAAATACAACATTGTATATAGAGATTTCTTTTATGAAGAAGAGCTGACGTAATTTATTAGCAGTGATCTGAGAAAGACATTAAATAAGTTTCTGAGAGTGATACATTTTCAAACATGAGGAGTGACAACCACCAAATTAAGAAAAGGAAACAACTCAGACTTGGAATTTTATACGAATTTCATTTCTATATGTGCCTGGTATTGCCTCTGGCATAACTTAGAGGAAATTGTTCTACCTATATGTCCTCAGTTTCTTCATCTACAAGTTGGGAAAAACATTTTCCTCTTAAAATTGTGAAGAGGATTTATATATTTATATGATATATTGTATATATTAATATATTTAAATTGCTTAGAGTTTCTAGCACATAGCAAATAATAAATATTAGTTATTAGTATAAACATAAGGCTTAAAGTCTTGGATTTGATGCATATGACTTAATTTGTATTTGTGCTAGTAGCTGTAATGTCAGTGACAGGATAACAAGCAAATGATTAGAAATCTAATAGTAATGCTTGTTCCTTTGCTATCTATGCTAACAAGTACATAGATAGCCTAAGATAAATTATACTTAGGATGAAGCTAAAATGCATAACTGAGACACCTTAAAATTGTACTACCTTGTGCTGTTCACTGCCATCAGGGAGGTAGCATAAAATGAAAGATAAAGTCTGAAGACTGGATCCAGGCAAATTCATGTTCTTTCTTTGTAACTCACTTTCTTCGTCAACATTTCTGTGACTCAATGGATAGCATATTTCCATCAAGTAGCACGTATAACGTGATGCTTTCATGTTTCTGCCTTAAATAAAATAACCCTCAAAAAACCATTCTAGTTTGCCCTTTCTTAAAGACGCATGGTCAAAATTTTGTCTTTATTGCTTGCCTCCATGGTTTAGTTTCAAATATTGGGACCATACACTGACTAAACAAACCCATACTAAAGTATAAATGATGGGTGAATCTTATTAGCCATATCAAAGGTTAAGTCAAGTGAACCACTTTCTTTGTAAAGTTTCAGGCAGTAGAATGGGTTTCGTGGATGTGGCGTTTCTCTACCATTCTTGCTTTCTAACTAAATTAGGTCTCAAAAAGCTTGCTAACTGCAACAAACACTTCTGACCAGGTAACTGTTTTGGATTGGCCCTGACAGGCCAGGTTACTGACCTTTGAGAGTGGGATTGAGTAACCAGATTGTTAGCAGAATCAGATCTAGTTTTAACAGTGATGTGTGTAAAAGTCCTGGGCAGTGGACAGCATGGAAATTTTTAACATGATTTCCTTTATGACTATTTGCTTCAGTGATCTATAGTTTTCATTGCAGGCTTCTTTTTCTCTGCCTATCACTTAAATACTAGTGAATACTAGTGTTCTTTTTCCACTCTTCTTTTTCTCTTTCTGTGGAGCAGTAGTTTCAGCTGTATATATTCCAGATCTCTAGCCCAGATTTTCTCCAAGCCCCGGAACTGTGAACCCAATGGTTTACTAAGCATCATATTCTCAGGCATTCATTGCCCCCAACCTCTTCCAAATGCACGGCCAGTGGATAAAAAGTTTACTGTAAGAAAGAAAAAAAAGTATGTACAATGTGAAGCCGGGAAGAGACGTAGGGGAGAGAGACCAAAGGATTATAAAAGCTTGCCAATGGTTTACCTACTCAAAATAATGACAAAGTTTAAGGGCAAATAAGCATGATTATGGGCTTAGGTTAAAACATACTACAAAAATACATAAAGACTCTACACCTCGTGGCCTATAATCCTAGCACTTTGGGAGGTTGAGGTGGGCAGATCACTTGAGCTCAGGAGTTCGAGACCAGCCTGGCCAACATTGTGAAATCCCATCTCTACTAAAAATACAAAAATTAGCCGGGAGTGGTGGTGCATGCCTATAGTCCCAGCTACTTGGGAGGCTGACGCAGGAATATCACTTGAACCTGGGAGGTGGAAGTTGCAGTGAGCTGAGATTGCACCACTGCACTCTAGCCTGGGTGGCCAAGGGAGACTTCGTCTCAAAAAAAAAAGGATCTAGAACTTTTAAATCATCAGAAGAAAATTCTGATGGAATATAATGGGAGAAGGGAAAATTTAAAAATGCAGTACTACAGAAGCTGTTAGACTTAATTAATATAGCAATAATTACAGTGAATAAATGGGTTAAATAAAAAGGGGCTCTTGATGTTTATGTTTGAATATTTAAATATATAACATTTAATTATAAATGTGTTGTAAAGCTTCAACAATATGCTGTTTCAAAACACACGATATAGAGAAGTTAAATAAAAGCATGACAGTCTAACAGGAAATATGAACCAAAAGCAAGCTAGTGTAGGAATTTTGATACATGACAAGATAGAACTTAAAGCTAAAGGGAAGAAAAGGAATAAGGGAAACATGAATAATGTGTACTGGTGGAATAATAGAACAAGAAGATATGTTTATCATAAATACATATGCCACCTAATGATACAGTCTAAAAATAGATCAAGCAACAATAGACAATAGTACAAGACAGTAGATAAATCAAAAAATGTAGCTGGAGATTTTAACAAAACCCTTGAAGAAACTAATGGATCAAGCAGAAAGAAAAATCAGGTGTCCTAAGGCTTAAACAATAAATAATGGTAAGTTTGAACTATAAATTTGTATGTAATTTTACAATTGATGCAGAGATTATGCCTTATTTCTTAATACTTATAGGAGAAGTAGAGTAAGTATTAGACCACAAAAGAAACCTTAGTAAATTCCAGAATACTATGACCATAATACAACAAAATTAGAAATCAATACCAAAAGAGTGGAGGAGAACTTCTTAGGGAGGATATAGTTGGTCATGGCATGACAAAATTCTCACAGCTACAACTATTTTTTTAAAAGACACATTAAAGGGCATATTTTAAAATATATTGGAGAGTTACAGCCAGGCGCAGTGGCTCACATCTGTAATTCCAGCACTTTGGGAGGCTGGGGAAGGTGGATTGCTTGAGGTCAGGAGTTCAAGATCAGCCTGGCCAACATAGTGAAACCCTGTCTCTACTAAAAATACAAAAATTAGCCAGGCGTGGTGATGCCTGCCTGTAGTCCCAGCTGCTCAGGAGGCTGAGGCACGAGAATCACTTGAACCTGGGAGGCGGAGGTTGCAGTGAGTCAAGATAGCGCCACTGCACTCCAGCCTAGGCGACAGAGTGAGACCCTGTCTCCAAAAATAATAATAAATAAAATGAAATAAAATAAAATGTATTAGAGAGCTATGAATAAAAGCAATTCAAACCATGAAAATTAAAATCCAGAGAAAAGAGTCCTTCCAAGGAGAGCCATTCGCCATTTCCAGCTAATTTCTTCTTTTGGAGCATTTCCAAATTCTGCATATGGAATGAAACTTTGGATTGTCCTGAGCAGAGGAAACTTACCAGGAGAAAGAGAAACTGGCAGAACTTTGGGTAATCACGTGGGAATGGCATTATATATTGAAAACTAGAAGAGACCAAACACAAGGCTGGTTCATCCCATGAGCTATATACTGAGTTCTCCATTGACACAGGAGATTGTTGGCCTTGACTGTAAAAGTACAGTAAAATCTCCCATATTTTTGCCTTGCTATGGTGACAAAATCCTGTAGAGGGGAGCCTGCATCAAACCTAAAACTGATCTCTGTTGTACCCCATATACACTTATCTGATTTTGAGTTACATATCCAAAAATGCAGAAAAATATGACTAATAAGACAAAAATAGCAGCATACATACCAATTATCCGAATAAATACTAAGGTTACCAAATACTTTAAAATAACTATAGTAAAAAGAAAAGACTATTAGGGCATTCTTGCATTGGTGTGGAAAAAAAAAACAGACTGAGTAATTTATTTTAAAAGAGAGGTTTAATTGGCTCACAATGTATAAGCATGGTGCTGGCATCTGCTTGGCTTCTATGGAGGGCTCAGGGAGCTTTTACTTATGGTAGAAGGTGAAGCAGGAGCAGGCACACCATATGGCAAGAGCAGGAGCAATAGGAGTGGGGGAAGCACCACACACTTTTTAAACAACTAAATCTCATGATAACTCACTCACTAGTGAGGAGATCACCAAGTGGATGGTGCTAAACCATTAATAAGAAATTCACCTTTATGGTCCAGTCACCTCCCACATTAGAGATTACAGTTGAACATGAGATTTGGGGGGACAAATATCAAAATTATGTCAATCCATCCCTGGCCCCCCAAATTTCATGTTCTTCTCACATTGCTAAATATAATCATGCCTCCCCAATAGTCCGCAAAAGTCTTAACTCATTCCAGCATTAACTCAAAATTTCCAGGTCAAGTCCCTTCTACCTATGAGCCTGTAAAATCAAAACAAATTATTTACTTCCAAGATACAATGGAGATACAGACATTGGGTAAACATTCCCATTCCAAAAGGGAGAAAATGCCCAAAAGAAAGGAGCTACAGGCCCCTCACAACTGCGAAATCCAGCAGGCCCATCATTAAATCATAAAACTCCAACATAATCTCCTTTGACTCCATGTCCCATATCCAGGGCACACTGATATGAGGGGTGGGCTCCCAAGACCTTGGGCACCTCTACCCAATGGAGCTTTGCAGGATTTAGCCCCTGAGGCTGCTCTCATGGGTTGGAGTCAAGTGTCTGTGGCTTTCCAAATGAAGGGTGAAAGTCTCCAGTGGATCAACCATGTTCAGGCCTGGAAGATACTGGTCTTCTTCCCTTCCCACAGTTTCACTAAGCAGTGTCCCAAGTGAAAATTCTGGGTGGGGCCTCCAACCCCACATTTCCCCTCTGCACTACCTTAGTAGAAGTTCTCTGTGAGGGCTCCACCCATGCAGCAGGCATCTGCCAGGACCCCATGGTTTTCCATACTGATATGGTTTGTCTGGGAGGTAATTGAATCATGGGGGCAGGTCTGTCCTGTGCTGTTCTCATCACAGTGAATACATTTCATGAGACCTAATGATTATATAAGGAGAAGTTTCCCTAAACAAGCTCTCTTCTCTTGTCTGCCACCATGTGAGATGTGCCTTTCATCTCCCGCCATGATTGTGAGGCCTCCCCAGCCACGTGGAACTAAGTCCATTAAACCTCTTTCTTTTGTAAATTGCCCAGTCTCGAGTATGTCTTTATCAGCAGTGTGAAAACAGACTAATACAGTAAATTGGTACCAGTAGAGTGGGGTGCTGCTAAAAAGATACCCAAAGATGTGGAAACAACTTTGGAACTGAGTAACAGGCAGAGGTTGGAACAGTTTGGAGGGCTCAGAAGACAGGAAAATGTGGGAAAGTTTGGAACTCCCTAGAGATTTGTTGAATGGCTTTGACCAAAATGCTGATAATGATATGAGCAATGAAATCCAGGCTGAAGTGGTCTCAGATGGAGATGAGGAACTTGTTGGGAACTGGAGCAAAGGTGACTCTTGTTATGTTTTAGCAAAGAGACTGGAGGCATTTTTCCCCTGTCCTAGAGATCTGTGGAACTTTGACGTTGAGAAAGATGATTTGGGGTATGTGGCAGAAGAAATTTCTAAGCAGCAAAGCATTCAAGAGGTGATTTGTGTGCTGTTAAAGGAATTTAGTTTTTAAAGTGAAAAAGAGCATACATGTTTGCAGAATTTGCAGCCTGACAGTGTAGTAGAAAAGAAAATCCCATTTTCTAAGGAGAAATTCAACCCAGCTGCAGAAATTTACATAAGTAACTAGAAGCCAAATTAATCCCCAAGACAATGTGGGAAATGTCTCCAGGGCATGTCAGAGGTCTTCATGGCAGCCCTTCCCATCATGGACCTGAAGGTCTAGGGAAAAAAAAAATGGTTTAGTGGGCCAAGCCCAGAGTGTCTGTGCTGTGTGTAGCCTAGGGACTTGGTGTCCTGTGTTCCAGCCACTCCAGCCATGACTAAAAGGGACCAAGGTACAGCTCGGGCCATGGCTTCAGAGGCTACAAGCCCCAAGCCTTTGCAACTTTCACATGTTGTTCAGTCTGCAGGTACACAGAAGTCAAGAATTGAGGTTTGGGAACCTCCGAGTAGATTTCAGAAGACGTATGGAAACGCCTGGATGCCCAGGCAGGTTTGCTGCTGGGGCAGGGCCCTCATGGAGAACCTCTGCTAGGGCAGGACAGAAGGGAAATGTGGGGTTGGAGCCTCCACACAGAGTCCCTACTGGGGCACTGCCTAGTGGAGCTGTGAGAAGAGGGCCACCATCCTCCAGAACCCAGAATGGTAGATCTACCAACAGCTTGCATTGTGCACCTGAAAAAGCTGTGGACACTCAACACCAGCCCATGAAAGCAGCCAGGAAGGAGGCTGTACCCCAAAAAGCCACAGAGGCAGAGCTGCCCAGGACCATGAGAACCCATCTCCTGAATCAGTGTGACCTGCATGTGAGACATGGAGTCAAAGGATATCATTTTGGAGCTTTAAGATTTGACTGCCCTGCTGGATTTTGGACTTGCATGGGGCCTTTAGCCCCTTTGTTTTGGCCAATTTCTCCCATTTGGAATGGCTGTATTTACCCAATGCCTGCAGCCCCATTGTATCTAGGAAGTAACTAACTTGCTTTTGATTTTACAGGCTCATAGGTGGAAGACACTTGCCTTGTCACAGATAAGACTTTGGACTGCAGACTTTTGAGTTAATTCTGGAATGAGCTAAGACTTTGGAGGACTGTTGGGAGGGCATGATTACTTTTGAAATGTGAGAACAAGAGATTTGGGAGGGGCCGGGTTGGAATGATATGGTTTTACTGTCTCCCCACCCAAATCTCATCTTGAATTCCCAAGTGTTGTGGGGGGGACCCTGTGGGAGGTAATTGAATCATGGGGGCAGGTTTTTCTTTTGCTGTTCTCATGATAGTGAATAAGTCTCATGAGATCTGATGATTATACAAGGGGAGTTTCCCTGCACAAGCTCTCTTCTCTCGTCTGCTGCCATGTGAGATGTGCCTTTCACCTTCTGCCATGATTGTGAGGCCTCTCCCACCACGTGGAACTGTAAGTCCATTAAACCTCTTTGTTTTGTAAATTGCCCAGTCTTGGGTATGTCTTCAGCAGCAACATGAAAACAGACTAATATATACATTCTCTGAAATCTAGGTGGATACTGCCAAGCATCCTCCTCCCTTGCACTCTGCATGCTCACAGGCTTAAATTAACACCACGAGAAAGCTACTAAAGCTTATGGCTTATGCCCTCCAGAGTGATGACTGGAGCTATGGCTAGGCTGCCTTGAGCTGTGGCTGGAGCTGGAGCAGCTGAGATGTGATGAGCAGTGCCCTGAAGCTGCACAGGACAGCAGGCCCTGGGCCTGTCCAGTAAACCATATCTTCCTCCTAGGCCTTTGGGCCTGTGATGGGAGGAGCTGCCTCATATATCTCTGAAATGTCTGCAAGGCCTTTTTGGCTTTGATGGCTACAAGCACCATTTTCTTGGCTACCAGCACCTGGTTGTATTTTAGTCCTGCAAATCTCTCTAGCAAGTGGTTGCTCCTCAGCCCACTTGTATTACTCCTCTGATAATGCTTTTTCCTTCTCTGCCACATGTCCAGGCTGCAAATTTTCAAAACTTTTATGCTCTGCTCCCCCTGTAAATGTAACTTCCAACTCTTAAGCCATTTCTTGGCTCCCTTATCTGAGCTTATTAGAAGCAACCAGGTCAATCTCAAACACATTGCTGTGTAGAAATTTCTTCTACCAGATACCCTAAATCCTCAATCTTAAGTCCAAACTTCCACAGATTCCTAGGCCATGAATGCAATGCAGTCAAACTCTTTGCTAAGGCATAACATGTGCGACCTTTGCCCCATTTCCCAATAAGTTCCTCATTTCCATCTGAGACTTTGTCAGCCTGAACTTCACAGTTCATATCACTATAAGCATTTTTTGTCACAGCCATTTAACCAGTCTCTAGGAGGTTCTAAACTTTTCCCCCATCTTCCTGTCTTCTTCTGAGTCCTCCAAACACTGTTTGTTACCCAGTTCCAAAGTTGCCTCCACATTTTCAAGTATCTTTACAGCAATGTTCTGCTCCTCAGTACCAATGTTCTGTATTAGGCCATTCTTACATTGCTATTAGCAATACCTGAGACTTGGGTAATTTATTTTAAAAATAGGTTTAATTGGCTCATGGTTCCTCAGGCTGTGCAAACATGGTGGTGGCATCTCCTTGGCTTCTGTGGAGGCCTCAGGGGACTTTTACTCATGATGGAAAGTGAAGCAGGAACAGGCGTGTCACATGGTGACAGTAGGAGCAAGAAAGGGGGAGAAGCGCCAGGCATTTTTAACATTCAGATCTCATGAGAACTCACTCACTCTCATGAGGAGAGCACCAAGGGGACTGTGCTAAAACTTTCATGAGAAATCCATCCCCTAGACCCAATCACCTTCCACCAGGCCCACCTCCAACATTGGGAATAATATTTCAACATGAGATATGGGGAACAAATATCCAAACTATATTATAAAACATGAACAAAATGGATTGAAATATATAGAATTTTAGTATAGAATTGAAATCTATAGGAATGAATCAAATGTACTATTCTTGAACTGAAAAACATATGAAATTAGGCTGACTTAACAGAAGCCTGGACAGAGCAAAAAATAGAATTAGTAAACTCAAAAACACACCTATATAAACTCAACCAGCTGAAATATAAAGAGAAGAAACATAAAGAAAAGAACAGAATGTAAAACACACATGTGATAAGTAAAATAGGGTAACACTCATATAAATGAAGTCCCAGAAGAAGAGAATAAGGCAAAAGCAGTATTTGGGTCAAAGGAGGGGCTTCAAGATTGCTGACTGGTAGCATTTCATGCTCACCTCCTCCACTTAGAAGACCAAAATGGTATATAGTCAGACTTCAAATACAGCATCCAAGAAAAAGCTCTGGAATTCAACAGAGAAGTGACAGGAAACACCAAAAGCAAGGAAGAAGGAAAGGAGGTAGCCTGCTTAGCCCAGATTAGCCGGGAGTAACTTCCCAACTCAAAGGGTGAGTGAGAGATTTCCAGCAGCCCACATCCCCACCGCAGAATAGTAAAATCCTGGCCACAGAATAGTCTCTTGACCCTCCCTATCCCTGAAACTAACATAGGGAGCTGCCAGGAGATGACTGTAGAATAGGATTGCTCCAGGGAGGGATTTCACACTGAGTACCACAACCTTTCTGTGACCTAAGCAGCTACAGCAAGGTGCCATTTTAAAACCTAGCATTTGGTAGACTGCACACTCTCCTGGGACAGCATACCGGGAATGAGGTGTTAGGGAAATTTAGGTTGTTGCTGCTGAGACTAGGGCATGATCTGGGAGTGCTTCTGCAGCCAGGGCTGAGAAGTGAGCAAGGGGTTGGCTGTAGCTGCTGGTGCCAGAAGTGAGTGCTTCCAGGACTGAGACTGTGATGCAATTTGGTGTGAGCTGCCGCTGAGACTTAGTCACAAGATGGATGTGGGTTTCTGCAGCCAGGGCTAGGGTGCAAGCTTAACAGGAGCTGCCAGCCCCAGGGTTCAAGGGGTGAGCCCCTCTGGGAATGGGGCATGAGAGAGATGCATTTTTCTCACCTTGAGGCCCAGGCTGTGGCCATCAAGGCCAACCACACCCTCTCTAGCATTTGCATGGTAGTGACTGCCTCCTCACTCAAACACTCCAGGAAGGGCCTGAGGATCATCAGGCCCCCACCAACTACAACGGGTGCCTGCTCTAACTATTGGGGGGACCTGAACACAAGCCCACCCAGCCCACATTCACCCCACCTCTGAGACAGAGCACATAGCCTGGGGTCCTGGAGATTGCACAATCCAATCCACCAACTTGGGCATCTGAGCACTTCTCCCAGGAACTGGAGGATGGGCCTAAACTCCTGACCACTATCACTTCAGCTGTCACCTACCTGCAAATGCCACCTGCAGGCCTGGAGATGGGCCTGTGCAGCTCATTGCAGCCAACACCAACATCAATGCACACCATTCTGGATGCAGAGAATCATCCTACCACTGCTACTGTCATTGCTCATGCCACATTGGATGCCTCGGTGCCCAAGAACCTATCCACCTGCCCAGTCAACCACTGTCACTACAAGCATCTGAGAAAGACACCTGGAAGCCAAAGAATCAGCCTGCCAGTAACCACCAACACAGGTGCCAGCATATGCCACCTTGGGGCACAAAGTTAATCATGCTCAGACCACCACTGCCACCACTAGGGCCTGAAGACTGGCACAACTGGCATCCCAGTACCCAGGACAACTTCCACTAATAACTGCACCCTAAAAAACTGAGAAAAATCACAGACACCACTAATGCCCTTTGCAGCCAAAGAAAACATTCAGAGACTACACTAATACATGCACTTAAGATCAAAACCAAAGTGCCTTACTGTATTAGTCTGTTTTCACTTTGCTACAAATACCTGAGGCAGGGTAATTTATAAAGACAAGAGGTTTAATTGGCTTACAGTTCTACAGGTTGTACAGGAAATGTGCTGCCAGCATCTGCTCAGCTTCTGATGAAGCCTCAGAAAGATTTTAGTAATGGTAAAAGGTAATACGTGAGCAGGCACATCACATGGCAAGAGCAGAAGCAAGAGAGAGAGGGGGAAGTGCCACACTTTTTTAAACAACCAGATCTCTCGTGAACTCAGAGCAAGAACTCATTCATTGTAGCAAGGGTAGCACCAAGTCATTCCCACCTCCAACACTGGGAATTACATTTTAATATGAGATTTGGAGAGGACAAGCAACCAAACTATATCACCTACCTAACCAACATCATAGGATACAGGGCAGGAAAACATCCTCCTCCTATACACTAGTAAACTCAAATTTGCAAGAAGCAACTATTACACCTGTATTATTCTGGGTTCTCTAGAGGGACAGAATTACTAGGATATATGTATGTCAGAGCCAGTGTCCAGTAGTCCCTGAAATGTTTGATCATTTCCCTTTCCCCAGTGCATATTTACCCTGGGAAAAGGCCAAAGGTCTCCTTGGGGAAGAATGGGAGAAAGATTCACTGCATAAATTATCGGTAATGTAGTGGGGTCCTCCCTCAAGGGGACCTGGTTTTGCCTTCTTTCAAGGAGTTCTGGGTCTGTAAACTGGCTCAAGTCTGGAAATTGATTGAGGGGCCGTGATTCTCTCTTTTTATAATTCAAAGTACTCTTTTGTTCATTCGACCTAGAAGTTTTCTGCTTGTATAAATTAAGTAGGAATGCAGTAGGCTTCCTATCTATTTCACTTTTAGGAACTCTGATTAATTCACCAATGCCAGAGCTCTACACAAGTCAGAATATTCTGATTGCCACTTTGCCTCTGCTGTCCATTGCAGTAGCTATGTCCACCTTGCCTTTGACAGTTGAGTGCCTCCACTTGGCCCCCGCCACCTATGGATCCAACTATTCTCATTGTATTTAAATTTTGTAGTTGAGTGACTGTGGTTCCCACCCTTAGATCTGACATACAGAGAAGAGTAATTACAGGGCTCTTCAAAGATGCAGGTGCTGCCCTCACAAATCTATTTCACAAGGCATTGGTCAAAGGTATATCTTCTGGACCCTCCCTGCTGGGATGAGCAGGTCTAAAGTGACTAATCCATTCCACCATCCTAACTTCCCTAAGCCTTTTGATTCCTTCCTCTACATTAAACCAAGGGAGATCAGGCATTTCCAGCTCACTTACAGTGGGCCATCATTTAATCCATATTTCAGTTAACCAAGCAAATAAACTATTAGAACCCTTTTTAACTCCCTGAACTGCAACATTAAAAGCAGAGTCCCTACTTAGTGGACCCAAATCAATATATTCAGCCTGATCCAACTCTATGTTCCTTTCACCTTTATCCCATACTCCTAATATTCATTCCCATGCCTGTTCTCCAGGTTGATGTTTATATAAATTAGAGAACTCAAACAGTTCTTTTGAGTGCAACACACCTCCTCATGGGTCACACTTTCTACCTCACCTCCTGGGGTCTGCCAGGACTTTAGTTATAGGTCTAGAAGCAAACAGAGGTGTTGGGTGTGGCTCCTAAGGGAGTTGCCTGGCAACTGCATAAGGGGAGGTCATCACTGTTGCCTCAGGCAGCACAGGGTTTATCTCCTCAGACAGAGGTGGAAAGGCTGATAGCAGCATGGGTTGGGGAGGAGACGTTACCACTACTGGGGATGGGGAAGCTGTTTCTTCTGGCAAAAAAGTTCATCAGGGCTTATAAACTCAGTGTCCCCAGCTTCATCAGGGTCCTCCCACACATCTCCATTCCAAGTTTCAGGGTCCCATTCTTTTCCAATCAATGCCCTCACTTTAACAGTGGACACCTGGCAAGTCTGTGCATGCACCTTTCGCTGCAGGTCACCCACTCACATGATAAGAGCTTGTGTCTGTTTTTCTACAATTTCAGCTCTTTCACTACAAGAGATAAGACTCTCACTCAGGGCAATCTTAGCAGATTTGAGGCTCAGTATCTGCTTCTAAAGCTGGGAGACAGAATCCCTGAGTTCATCATTTTCTTTGATCACTTTGTCCACCAAACTTAGGAGCAACCAACCAGCTTCATTATGTTCCTTGATTCTCCACATATGGTTACAGATATTATGTATGTAGCCATTGAACTTCTTGCCTCTTGTGAGCAGTGAATCAGTAGTGTCAAGTGCATTTATTTTGCATAACTCTCTAAAGAGTTAATGCCAAGAACTATCTGTGTTCTCCATACTCTTAGAAATAGAGTCCTTCGCATTTTTGAGTCTAATCATATTAAGCAGCCAACTCCTGAAACCCCAAAACCAATGAGAAAACTCTATCTTTAATATTCTGTTCTTCTAGAACCACTCCCGGTACCAAAATCTGTATTAGTCAGGGTTCTTTAGAGGGACAGAACTAATAGGATATATATATATATATATATATAATATATATATATAGTGTAAGTTAATATTTAATATATATATAGATGTATATAAAGGGGAGTTTATTAAATATTAACTTACACTATCACAAGGTCCCACAATAGGCTGGCTGCATGCTGAGGAGCAAGGAGAGCCAGTCCAAGCCCCAAAGCTTAAGAACTTGGAGTCTGATGCTCAAAGGCAGGAAGCATCCAGCATGGGAGAAAGATGTAGGCTGGGAGCCCAGGACAGTCTCTCCTTTTCACCTTTTTCTGCCTGCTTTGTATTTGCTGGCAGCTGATTAGATTGTGCCCACCAGATTAAGGGTTGATCTGCCTTCACCAGCCCACTGACTCAAACATTATTCTTTCTTGCCTACACCCTCACAGACACACCCAAGATCAATACTTTGTATCCTTCAATCTAATCAAGTTGACACTCAATATTATCCATCACACACCAGATGCATAAATATCAACATAAGGACAAAGAAATCATGAAAAAGCAAGTAAATATGACTCCTCCAAAGGAACAGAATAATTTACCAGAAATAGATATTTTTCTTTTAAAAAAAATTCTTTTTTTTTTTACTGAGGATCATCTTGCTCTAATCAGAAATATATCTTAATTTTAAAAAATCAAAATCCCAAGTAAAGAATTCAAAATATTAATTTTACAGAAGTGCAGTGAGATGCAAGAGAATTCTAAAAAAACAATACAAAGAAATCAGGAAAACAATTCAGGATATAAATGACAAATTTACGAAAAAGATATATACTTTTAATAGAACCAAATAGAAAGTCTGGAACTGAGGAATTCATTAAAGGAAATGCAAAATACATTTGAAAGCTCCAAAAATAGAATAGATCAGGCAGAAGAAAGAATCCCAGAACTTAAAGACAGGTCTTTTGAAATAAATGAGTCAGACAAATATAAAGAAAAAAAAGTATAAACATTGTGAACAAAGCCCTCATGACATTTGGAACAACATAAAGCAACCACATATTTGAATAATCAATATCCTTGAGGGCAAAAGACAAAGAATTATAAAACCTATTTAACAAAATAATAGATGAAAACTTCCTAATGTTAGCAAGAGATTTACACAAATACAAGAAGTTCAGCTATTGCCAAGAATATACAATGCAAAAATGTCTTCTCCACAGTACATTATAGCCAGACTGTCTAAAGTCAAAGATAGTGATTCCCAAAAACAACAAGAGAAAAGTGTGTCTACACATATATAAAAGGAATTGCATCAAACTAACAGCAGATATCTCAACACAAACCTTATAGGTCAGAAGGAAATGGGATGATATATTCAAAGTGCTGAAAGAAAAAAAAAAAACCTGACAGTCAAGAATATTAGATCCAGCAAAATCATCCTTTATAAATGAGAAAAAAATATAGTATTTCCCAGACAAGCAAATGCTGAGGGAATTTGTTGCCACTAGACTGGCTCTACAAGAAATGATCAAGGGAGACCTAAATCTCGAAGTGAAAGAACAACATTTACCTACATTAAAATACAAAAATGTATAAAACTCACTAGTTAATCAATACACAACTGAGGATGAGAAAGAACTCAACTGATACCATTATAGAAATTCACCAAGCCACAAAGACAAACTATAAGAGAAGAAGAAAGGAAGAATAATATATAAAACAATCAATTAACAATATGAAAAAACAAAGCCTCACATATCAATAATAACCTTGAACATAAACAGATTAAATTATTATATTAAAATATTTATAATAGCTAAAAGGATTTTAAAAATTATCCAACTCTATGGTGCTTACAAGAAACTCATGTTACCAGTAAAGACACATATGAAAAGTTAAAGCATCGAAAAAGGTATTCCATGTAATAGATAAAGGGGACATTACCACTAGCCCCACAAAAATACAAAAAAAAATCAGAGACTATTATGAACACCTATATGCACACTAATTACTACAAAACTTTAAATAAATGAATACATCCCTATAAACATACAACCTCCCAAGATTAAACCAGGAAGAAATCGAATCCCAGAACAGTCTAATAATGAGTTCCAAAATTAAATCAGTAATAAAAAGCCTACCAACCAGAAAAAGCCCAGGACCAGATGGATTCATAGCTAAGTTCTACCAGAAGTATAAAGAGCTGTTAGCCTTTCTACTGAAACTATTCCAAAAAATTAAGGAGAAAGGAACTTCCTAACTCATTCTATGAGACCAGCATAATTCTAATATCAAAACCTGACACAGACACACACACATAAAAGGTGAAAACTTGATGTACATAGATGCAAAACTCCTCAAGAAATTAGCAAACTGAATCCAGCAGCACATCCCAAGCTATTCCACCATGATCAAGTAGGCTTTATCCCTGGGATGAAAAGTTGGTTCAACAATAGCAAAGACATGGAATCAACTTAAATGCCCATCAATGGTGACTGGATAAAGAAAATGTGTTACATATACACTGTGGAATACTATGCAGCTATAAAAAAGAATGAGATCATGTTTTTTGCAGAAACATGGATGGAGATGGAGGCCATTATCCTTAGCAAACTTACAGAAACGGAAAACCAAATATGGCATATTCTTATTTGTAAGTGGCAGCTAAAGAGTAAGAATACACGGACACACAGAGAGGAACAACACACACTGGGGCCTATCAGAGGGTGGAGGGTGGGAGGAGGGAGAGGATTGGGAAAAATAACTGATGGGTACTAGGCTTAATACCTGAGTGGTAAAATAATCTGTACAACGAACCCTCACAACACAAGTTTACCTATATAACAAACCTGCATATGTACCTGTGAACTGAAGGAGGGAAGGAAGGAAGGAAGGAAGGAAGGAAGGAAGGAAGGAAGGAAGGAAGGAAAGAAGGAAGGAGGGAAGGAAGGAAGGATGGAAGGAAGGAAAAGATCTCATGTCCTTTGCAGCATCATGAATGCAGCTGGAGACCATTATCCTCAGCAAACTAATGCAGGAACAGGAAACAAAATAACACATGTTCTCACTTATAAGTGGGAGCTAAACATTGAGCACACATAGACACATAGAAGGGAACAATAGACACTGGAGTCTACTTGAGGGTGGAGGATGGGAGGAGGGTGAGGACGAAAAACTACCTATCAGGTACCATGCTTATTACCTGGGTGATGGGATAATCTGTACACAAAACCCCCACAACACATAATTTACCTATATATTAAACTTGCATATATACCCCTGAAACTAAAATAAAATTTTAATAAATAAAAAAGATATTCCATGTAAATGGACACCAAAAGCAGTAAAAATAATGTAGACAATAAAAGTCATTATATAATGTTAATGGAATCAATCTGGCAAGAAGATATAACAGTTCTAAACACTGGATCATTCAGATTCATAAAGCAAATATTAGTAGATCTAAAGAGAGAAGTAGACTGCAATACGAAATAACATGGGTGACTTTAACACCCTACTCTCAGCATTAGACAGAATATCTAGACAGAAAATCAACAAAGAAACATTGGATTTTAACTGGACATTAGACCAAATGGGTATAACAGAAATTTACAGAACATTCCATCAAACAACTGAAGAATGTATACTCTTTTCATCAGCATATGAAGAATTCTCCAGGATAGACAATATGATAGGCTGAAAAGCAATTCTCAACAATTTTTAAAAAATCAAAATCATGTCAGCTATCTTCTTAGACTACAATGAAATAAAACTAGAAATCAGTAACAACAAGAGCTCTGGAAACTGTACAAACACAGAAGAATTAAACATGCTCCTGAATGACCATTGGGTCAGTAGAAAAATTAAAATGGAAATAACAAACTTTGTTGAGGTTGTGCATGGAGGCTCATGCCTGTAATCCCAGCACTTTGGAAAGCCAAGATGGGCAGATCACCTGAGGTTAGGAGTTTGAGGTCAGCCTGGCCAAAATGGCGAAACCCTGTCTCTACCAAAAATATAAAAACTAGCTGGGTGTGGTTGTACACCTCTGTAGTCCCAGCTACTAGGGAGGCAGAGGCAGGAGAATTGCTTGAACCCGGGAGGTGGAGGTTGCAGTGAGCCAAGATTGTGCCACTGAACTTCAGCCTAAGTGACTGAGTGAGACTCCATCTCAAAAAAAAAAATGAAAAACTTTATTGAAACAAATAAAAATGGAAACACAACATATCAAAACCTGTGAGATACAGCAAGAGCAGCGGTAAGAGGGAATTTCACAGCAATAAATGCTTACATAATAAAAGTAGTAAGATTACCAATTAACAATCTAACAATGTACCTCAAGGAACAAGAAACCTAAGAACAAGCAAAATCCCAAATTAGCAGAAGAAAAGAAATGAGAGCAGAACTAAATAAAATGGAGATTAAATAATAGAAATGATTAATGAAACAGAAAGTTAATTATTTGAAAAAATAAAGAAAATTGATAAACTGCTAGCTAGACTAACCAATAAAGTAGAGGAGATTCACTCAAATAAACAAAATCAGAAATGAAAAAGGAAATATTACAACTTGATCTCACAGAAATACAAAAGATCATCAGAGACTATCATGAACAACTATACACTGACAAATTGAAAAACCTAGAGGAAATGGGTAAATTCCTGGACAGATATAACTTACCAAGATTGAATCAGGAAGAAATAGAACTCCTGAACAGACCAATAATGAGTAGCAAGATCGAATCAGTAATACAAATTTTCCCACCAAAAAAAAAGCCCAGGGCTGGATGCAGTCAAAGCCAAATTCTACCAAATCTATAAAAAAGAACTAATATCAATCCTCCTGAAACTATTCCAATAATTTGAAGACAGGAAAATTCTTCATAACTCATTCTACAAGGCCATCGTCACACTGATACCAAAACCAGACAAGGAAAAAACAAGATTAAAAAAACCTACAGGGCGATATTCGTGATGACCATAGACGCAAAAATCCTCAACAAAATACTAGTAAACCATATTCAACAACACTCCCAAAAAATAATACACTACAATCAAGTGGGATTTATTCCAGGGATGCAAAGATGATTCAACATATGCAAATGAAGAAACATGATACATCACATCAACAGAATGAAGAAAAACCATATAATCATCTCAATAGATGCAGAAAAAGCATTTGATAAAATTCAAAATTATTTCATGATAAAAACCTCTTATCAAACTTTCTCTGCCATGTGAAGATACAATAAGAAGGCAATTGTCAGCAAGTCAGGAGGAGGGCACTCACCAAGAACCAAATCTGCCAGCACTTTGATTGTTGACTTCCCAGACTCCAGACTGTGAGAAAAAAAAAGTCTGTTTTTTTTAACTGTTATTTTAAGTTCAGGGGTACATGTGCAGGATGTGCAGTTTTGTTACATAGGTAAACATTTGTCACAGGGGTTTGTTATACAGATTATTTCATCACCCAGGTATTAAGCCTAGTATCCATTAGGTATTTTTCCTGATCCTCTCCCTCCTCCCACCTCCACTCTCTGAAAGCTCCCAGTGTGTGTTGTTTCCTCTATGTGTCCATGTGTTCATCATTTAGCTACCACTTATAAGCAAGAACATGCTATATTTGGTTTTCTGTTTCTGAATAAGTTTACTAAGGATAATGGCCTCCAGCTCCATCCATGTCCCTGCAAAGAACATGATATCATTTTCTTTTTATGGCTTCATAGTACTTCATGATGTATATGTACTGCATTTTCCTTTTTTTAAGCCATTTAGTCTATGGTATTTTGTTACAGCAGCCAGACATGGCTAAGACACACTCAGAATATTTTAGAGTTGAAAGGGAGGAACCAAGATGGCTGACTAGAAGCAGCTAGTGTGTGCCACTGTCACATAGAGGAGAAAGAGTGGTGAGTAAATACCAACTCTTTTACTGGAACATCCAGGTGGACACATTGGGATTCATCAAGGAAACAACTCAATCCATGAAGAATGGAGAAAAGAGAGACAGGACAACCACCCACTCAGGACTGGCACAGAGCTAGGAGAGGTCCCCCCACTGTGGGGAAATTATGAATGAGTGAGTAAGTGAGTGTCCCTGGGAACTCACACTTCTACCATGGAAATTTGCAACCCTGAGCTCAGGAGACTCCCCCATGAGGTCCCCACTGGAGCCTCCTGACTGACACAGAGAGCTATGTGAAGTCTGGGCAGAGCTTCTGCTTAGGCATGCATGGAGTCCTGGGAACCTTATATTTCTAGGAATCCTGACATTAGCAACTGAAGCTCCAGCAACAGGAGAGGTCATGTTCCCTTACACACCTTCATGAAAGGGACCAAATCCAGGAGGCAGAGCAGCAATAAACAGCACACCTCACCTCCACTGCAACTCCCAGGACAAGGGCCTTTGGCCTGAGATCCTAGCATAGCCACACAAACCCCACCTACATTCTTAGGCCAGTAGCAGCTCTGTACTTCCCTGGGATGGAGCTCCCAGAGGGAGAGGCAGGCCATCATTTTTGCTGCAGCCCTCACCACTGTTGCCTTCAGACTCTCCTCCTCACCTGCTCATCACCAGGCAGGGACCCCATGGCTTAGGCTCACAGTGCAGCTGCCCCACCTCAGGCTGACTGCACTGATTGATGGTGCCTCTGAATTTCTCTGGTGTGGATCCCCAAGAGACAAGTGAAATGCTCTCTGCTACCACCACTGTCAAGGTCCCTTCCCTGCTGCCCCTAAGCTTGGGAGGGAACATTAAGCCTGAGCTTGCCCCAGAGCTGTAGTGTGCAGACCAGGAGTGCCAAGCCAAGATGTGAAGCCAGCACTTGAGCAGGCAAGGATTGCACACTTTCAGAAGATTGAAACAGATCATAGCTCCCCCGCCAATGCCCTGTGAAACCAAGGACAAGAATTCAGCTACAAAGAAAGATCCTGCACAAAGCCTTGGCCCTATGAAAACATCCAGAAAAGAAGTCTACTGACTGTATTCCAATTACACTGAAGTTAAATGTATATCAGTCCACACAGATAAGAAAGAACCAGTGCAAGAATATGGCAACTCAGAAAGCCATAGTGTCTTCTTTCCTCAAAACAACTGCACTAGTTCCCAAGCAAGCATTCTTAATCAGGCCTAAATGGCTAAAATGACAGAAATAAAACTCAGAATATGGCTAGCAACAAAGATAATCAAGATTCAGGAGAGAAAGTCAAAACCCAATTCAAGGGAGCTAAGGATTACAAATAAAACAATACAGAACCTGATAGATGAAATGGCCAATATAAGAAATATCTAAACTGATTTGACAGAGCTGAAAAACACATTATAAGAATTTCATAATGCCATAACAAGTATTAATGGCAGAATAGACCAAACTGAGGAAAGAATCTCAGAGCTCAAAGACTGGTTCTCCGAATGAACTCAGATAAAAACAAAGATAAAATAATACAAAAGAATGAAAAAAAAACTGCCAGAAATATGGGATTATGTAAAGTGACCAAATCTTTGACTCATTAGTATCCCTGAAAAAGATGGGGAGAAAGCAAGCATCTTGGAAAACATACTTCAGGATATCATCCATGAAAATTTCTCCAACCTTGCTAGAAAGGCCAATATTCAAATTCAGGAAATGTGAAGAACCTCTGCTATGTTATACACAAAGAGATCATCCCTAGGACACATACTCATAAAATTCTCCAAGATTGAAAAAAAAAATGTTAAAGGTAACTAGAGAAAAGGGTCAGGTCAGCTGAAAAGGGAACCCCATCAGGCTAACAGCAGACTTCTCAGCAGAAACCCTACACGTCAATATTCAGCATTCTTAAAGAAAAGAATTTTCAATCAAAAATTTTATATGCACCCAAACTAAGCTTCATAAGCAGAGGAGAATAAGATCCTTTTTAGACAAGCAAATGTTAAGGGATTTCATTACTACCAGACCTGCCATAAAAGAGGTCCTGAAGGAAATGCTAAACACAAAAGAGAAAGTCCATTACCAGCCACTAGAGAAACACACTTAAGAACATAGACCAGTGAAACTATAAAGCAACTACCCAAACAAATATGCTTAACAACCAGCTAACCTCATGATGACAGGAACAAATATGCACATATCAACACTAACTCTAAATGAAAATGACATAAATGACCCAATGAAAAGGTAAAGAGAGGCAAGTTGGATAAAAAAGCAAGATCCAACAGTATGCTGTCTTCAAGAGACCCAACTCACATGCAATGACACCCATAGTCTCAAAATAAAGGGATGAAGAAAAATCTACCAAGCAAATGGAAAACAGATAAAAATAGGTTTTGGTATTCTAATTTCAGATAAAACAGTCCTTAAACCAACAAATATCATAAAAGACAAAAAAGGGCATTACATATTTGTAAAGGGCTCAATTCAACAAGAAGACTTAACTATCCTAAATATGTACACAGCCAAAATGGAAGCACCTAGACTGATAAAGCAAGTTCTTAGAGAGCTACAAAGAGACGTAGAGAACCACACAATAATATTGAGGGACTTCATCACCCCACTGACAGTATTAGACCGATGAGGCTGAAAACTAACAAAGATATTCAGGACCTCAACTCAACACTTGATCAAATGGACCTAATAGACATCTACATAACACTCCACCCAAAAACTTACCAGGGTGTGTTTCCAGTAGCTTAAAAGGGAGATGAAAGACCTCTACAAAAAGGATCACAAAACACTGCTCAAAGAAATTGGAGATGACACATGTAAATGGAAAAACATTCCATGCTCATGGATAGGAAGAATCTATATGGTTAAAATGGCTATACCACACAAAGCAATTTAAATATTCACTGCTATTCCTATCGAACTACCAAAGACATTCTTCACAGAGCCAGAAAAAACTATGCAAAATTCATATGGAACCAAAAAAGTACCCAAATGATCAAGGCAATCCTAAGAAAAAAGAACAGAGATGGGAACATCACATTATCAAACTTCAAACTATACTATGAAGCTACAGTAACCAAAACAACATGGTACTGGTACAAAAACAGACACATAGACCAATGAAACAGAATAGAAACGCCAGAAATAATGCTGTACACATACAGCCATCTGATCTTTGACAAAGCTAAGAAAAACAATCAAGGGAGAAAGACTCCTTGTTCAGTAGATGGTTCTGGGATAACTGGCTAGTCATATACAGAAGATTGAAACTGGATCAATTGAAACTTTTATTATGCCAAAAGATTATAGAAAAATCAACTCAAGATGGATTAAACACTTAAATGTAAAACCTAAAACTATAAAAATCCTGGAAGATAACCTTGGCAATACCATTCTGGACATAGGACTGGGAAAAGATTTCAATATGAACATGCCAAAAGCAATTGCAACCAGAAGAAAAATTGATGAATGGGACCTAATTAAACTAAATTGCTCCTGCACAGCAAAAGAAACTATTAACATACTAAATAGACAACCTACAGAATTTGAGAAAATTTTTGCAAACTATGCTTCTGATGAAGATCTAATATCCAGAATCTGTAAGGAACTGAAACAATTTTACAAGCAAAAAGCAAATAACCCCATTAATAAGTGGGCAAAGGAACTGAACAGACGCTTTTCAAAAGAAGACATATATTTAGCTAACATCATATGAGAAAATGCTGAACATCACTAATCACAGAAATGCAAACCAAAACAGCAATGAGATACCATCTCACACCAGTCAGAATGGCTATTATTAAAAAGACATAAAATAACAGATTCTGGCCAGGTTGTGGAGAATAGGAAACACTTACACATTGTTGGTGGGAATGTAAATTACTTCAGCCATTGTGGAAAGTAGTTTGGCAATTTCTGAAAGAACTTAAAGCAGAATTACCATTTGACCCAGCAATCCCATTATTTGGTATATACCCAAAGGAATACAAGTCGTTCTACCATAATAACACATGCACTTGTATGTTCATTGCAGCACTATTCACAATAGTAAAGAGAGAATCAACCTAAGTGCCCATAAACTGTAGACTGAATAAAGAAAATGGGGGACATATAAACCATAGAATACTATGCAGCCATAAAAAAGAATAAGATCTTGTCCTTTGCAGCAGCATGGTTGGAGCTGGAGACCACTATCATAAGTGAACTAATTCAAGAACAGGAAACCAAATACCAAATACTGCATGCTCTTATAGTGGGAGATAAACTTTGAGTACAAAGAAGGGAATAACAAATACCAGGGCCTACTAACAGGAAACAGAGCATGAAAGTTTGAAAAATGTTCATCTTAGCCATGTTGCAGAGAAAGAAATAGCTTTTTTGGGAAATGGATTCAAGCATTCTGTGGAGAAAAGACTTACTGGAGATGTTTACATAATTAAAATGGAACCAAGTGCTGATAGCCAAGAGAAAGTGAAAAGGGTCTTGAAGGCCTTTCAGAGACCTTTGCAGTAGCCCCTCATATCATAGGCCCAGAGGCCCAAAAGGACTAAATAGTTTCAGAGGTGTCACTGCTCTGTGCCACCCCAGGAGGCTGCTTCCTACATGTCAGGTGCCCCAGCTCCAGCCCTACATCAAAGGTGCCCAGGTATAGCTTGGGCCTCTGCTCCAGAAGGTGCAAAAGTAAGCCTTGGCAGTTTCCACATGACGTTAAGCCTGCAGGTGTTCAGAGTGCAAGAATGAAGGAAGTTTGATGTCCTCAGCCTAGATTTCAGAGGATGTATAAGAGAGCTTAGGTGCCCAGACAGAAGGCTGCCACAGGGGCAGAGGTCTCACAGAGAACTTTTACTAGGGCAGTGCAGAGGGAAATGTGGAGTTGGAGGCCCCATATAGAGTACCCACCTGGGCACTGCTTAGTGGAGCTGTGAGAATGGGGCCACTGTTCTCTAGACTCCAGAATGGTAGCTCCACTGGCAGCTTGCCTGAATGCCACAGGCATTCAACTCTAGTCCATAATGGCAGCCTCAGGGGCTGAACTCTGCAAACCCACAGGGGCAGAGCTGCCCTTGGGAGCCTACCCCATGCACCAGTGTGCCCTGCATGGGGGACATGGAGTCAAAAGAAATTATGGAATTTTAAGATTTAATGACGGCCCTGCTGGGCTTTTAACTTACACAGGGCCTGTAGCTCCTTTCTTTTGGCTGTTTTCTTTCTTTTGGTGCAGGAATATTCACACAATACTTATAGTCTCATTATATCTTGGAAGTAAATGACTTGTTTTGAAAGCTCATAGGTAAAAGCAAATGAGTCACAGATGGGACTTTGAACTTGGACTTGGAAATTTTAATTTAATGCTGGAATGAGTTAAGACTTTTGAGAGACTATTGAGAGAGATTATTGTATTTTGAAATACGAGAACAACATAAGAATTGGAGGAAAGGGGAAGAATTATATAATTTGGTTATTTGTCCTCACCCAAATCTCATGCTAAATTATAATCCCTAGTATTGGAGGTGGGGCCCAGCAGGAGGTGATTGGAATATGGGATTTGATCTCTCATGAACTGCTTGGACCAACCCCTTGGTGACAAGTGAGCTCTTGCTATGAGTTCACATGAGATCTGGTTTTTGAAAGTGTGTGGCACCTCCCCTCCTCCACTGTCTCTCATCCCTGCCTTCATTATGTGAATTGCCTGCTCCTGTTTTGCTTTCCACCATAAGTAAAAGCTTCCTGAGGCTTCCTCAGAAGCAGATGCTGCTATGCTTCCTGTATAGCTTGTAGAACTATGAGTCATTTAAACTTCTTTTCTTGTATATATTTTTAAAAAGCATAATTATTTTGAAAATGTTTTTGAAAATTATCCTGTTGCTGCATGTATCAATAGTTCATTTTCTTTTATTACTAAGTGGTAGTCCATTGCATGGATATACCACAGTCTGTTTTTTCACCCATCTGTTGATGAACATCAAAATTGTCATTTTTATTTTTGTTTGGTGCAGTAACTCTTCTCTTTCATGTATTATGATTTTTATGTAGAATGTATTTTATGTATTACATAATTTTAAATTGACAGACAAAATTGTATGTATTTGTCATGTATAACATGTTTTACTGTATATATACATTGTGAAAAAATTAAATCTAGCTAATTAACCTATGCATTGCCTCACATAGTTTTGGTTGTGATAATGCTTTATATTCACTGTGTTATTATTTTTCAAGAATACATTATTAATGTATTGTTGAATATATTATTTATATACATTAATATATATATTATTAGATGTAACAACCATATTGTACAATAGATTTCTTGAACTTATTTTTCTTGTCTAACTGATATTTTTTATCTTTTGACAAACATCTTCCCAATGCCCACCTTCAGCCACCAAAACCCCAAGAACTGCTATTCTACTCTCTACTTCTATGACATCAGTTCTTTTGGAGTCCACATATGCACTACTTGTCTTTCTGTTCCTGGATTATTTCACATAATATTCACTTGACAACCTCCAGGTTCATCCATACTGCCACAAGTGACACTACTTATTTTTTGTAAGGCTGTTCCATTGTGTGTGTGTGTGTGTGTGTGTGTGTGTGTGTGTATACACACTATATTTTCTTTATTCACCTATTAATTGTCACTTAGGTTGATTCCTTATCTATTGTAAATAACATTGCAATAAACACGGGAGTGCAGATATCTCTCTGGCATACTGATGTATTGTTATTTCTTATACCCCATAGTGGAACTGCTGGATCATATGATAGTTCTATTTTTAATTATTTTTGAAATTTAAAAAGTTGTTTATAATTGACACATAATAATTGTACATGTTTATGGTGGTATACGTAATGTTTCAATATATTATATGAATACATGTGTAATGATCAAACCAGGGTAGCTGGCATATCCATCACCTCAAACCTTTATCACTTCTTTGTTGTGATAACTTGCAAGATTTTTATTTTTAATTTTTTGATAAATTTCTTTCTCTTTTCCATAATGATTGTTCTAACTTACGTTTCTATCAACAGTGTGCAAGGGTTCCTTTTTCTCCACATCTTTGACAACAATTATCTTTGGTCTTTTTGTTAATAGAATTTGAGCAGATGTGAACTATTTCATTGTGGTTTTAATGTGTATTTCCCTGATGATTGGTGTTGTTGAGCATTTAAAAAATATACTTATTAGTCACTGTATGTTTTCTTTTGATAAATGTCTATTCAGGTATTTTGCCCATTTTTTCAACCAAGTTATTTTCTTCTTATCAAGTTGTTTGAGCTCGTTATATATTTTGGATATTAACTTCTTATCAAATGTACTGTTTGCAAATATTTTCTGCCATTCTGTAGGTTCTCTTCATTCTGTTGATTGTTTTCTTTGCTATACATAACCTTTTTCATTTGATATAACCCCATTTGTCTGTATTGCTTTTGTTCCCTGTGCCTTTAGGGTCATATTAAAAAGTCATTGCTCAGAGTAATGTCAAGGAGCTTTTCCTCTGTGTTTTCTTCTTATAGTTTTATAGTTTTAGGTTTCAAATGTATGCCTTTAGTCCATTTTAATTGATTTTTATATATGGTGTGAAATAAGAGTCTAATTTTATTCTTCTGCATGTGGATATCTAATTTTGCCAATATCACTTATTGAAGAGACTGTTCTTTCTCCATTGTGTGTTCTTGGTAACTTTGTTGAGTGTTAGTTGGCTGTAAATATGTGTATTTATTTCTAGGTTCTCTGTTCTGCTCCATTGGTCTATGTGTCTGTTTTTATACCAGTACCATGCTGCTTTGGTTACCATAGTTATGTAATATATTTTGAAGTCAGGTAGTGTGATACCTCCGGCTTTGCTCTTTCTGCTTAACGTTGCTTTGGCTATATGATGTATTTTCTGGTTCTGCATAAATTTTAGGATTCTTTTTTCTATTTTTGTGAATAATGTCATCTGTATGTTGATAAAAATTGCATTGACTCTTGTATTAGTCTATTCTTACACTGCTGGAAAGATACAACCTGAGACTGGATAATTCATAAATAAAAGATATTTAACTGGCTTACATTTCTGCATGGATGGGAGGCCTCAGAAAACTTACAATGATGGCAGAAGGGGAAGCAGTCACCTTCTTCACAAAGTGGCAGGAAAGACAAGAGCAAATGGGGAAGTGTCCCTTAAAAAGCCATCAAATCTCAAGAGACCTCACTCACTATATGAAAACAGCATGGGGAAAACTGCCTCCATGATACAGATCCCTCCTGTGATGACACATTGGGATTGTAAGGATTAAAATTCAAGATGAGATTTAGGTGGGGACACAGCCAGACCATATCAACTCTTTAGATCACTTTGGGTAGTATGGACATTTTAATAAAAATAATTTTTCAAATCCATGAACGTGAGTTATCTTTCCTTTTGTTTGTGTCTATTTCAATTTCTTTTATTATGTTCAATAGGTTTCAGTGGGAAGATTTTTTAGCTCCTTGGCTAAATTTATCCTAAGTATTTATTATTTTTTGTAGCTATTTAAAATAAAACTATATTCTTGATTTCCTTTTCAGATCATTTGCTGTTAGTGCATAGAAACTCCACTGCTTTTGTATGCTTATTATTTTTATCTTGAAACTACTGAATTCACTTACCAGTTCTAACAATTTTTTTCATTTTCTTTTGTTTTTGAGACAGGGTCTTGCTGGGATACAGGTGTGTGCCACCACTCTTTTTTACAGGTGTGTGCCACCACTCAATTTTTCCTGCCTAAGCCTCTGAGTCTTGATGGGAGAGGATGCCATGAAGTTCTCTGACATGCCCTAGAGACATTTTCCCCATTGTCTTTGTGATTAACATTCTGCTCCTTGTTACTTATGCAAATTTCTGCAGTGGGTTTGTATTTATCCTCAAAAAATGGGTCTTTCTTTTCTAGTGCACCATCAGGTGGCAAATTTTTTGAATTTTTATGCTCTGCTTCCTCTTGAACACTTTGCTACTTAGAAATTTCTTCCACCTGATACCCTAAATCATCTCTCTTAAGTTCAAAGTTCAACAGATCTTTAGGGCAGGGGCAATACGCTGCCAGTCTCTTTCTTAAAGCATAGTAAGAATCACTTTTATTCCAGTTCCCAACAAGTTTCTCATCTCCATCTGAGACTACCTCACCCTAGACTTTATTGTTCATATCATTATCAGCATTTTGGTCAAAGCCATTCAATCAACAAGTCTCCAGGAATTTCCAAACTGTCCCACATCTTCCTGTCTTCTGAGCCCTCTAAGTCTCTGGGATGTTTCAAACTCTGCCACATTTGTCTGTATTCTTCTGAGCCCTCCAAACCATTCCAACCTCTGCCTGTTACCTACTTCCAAAGTCACTTCCACATTTTCGAGTATCTTTACAGCAGCACCCTACTACTCCCGGTACCAATTTACTGTATTAGTTTATTCTCATGCTGCTATGAAGAAATACCTGAGGCTTGGTAATTTATAAAGAAAATGAAAGATTCTCCCTCAGGGCCTGAAAGTTCGGGGGAATGAATAACTCCTCCCTCCTTAGGCCCAGTCCCAAGGTGCAAGGCCACTTGCACCAGCAGTGTGCATCAGCAAGATAGCAGAAGCAGGAAGAGAGCTGGCCGGAAGACACTTACCCACTGGAGATCGAGAGAGAGAGGCCGTCTGGGTAACATGTAGCAGTTACATCAGACTGAGACACTTCCTGTTTACAAGAGACTATAAAACCCATGCCCCGTCCTCACTTGGGGCTGATGTGATTTTAGGCCTCAGCCCATCTGTACCCAGGCGCTCATTAAAACAGTGTGTTGTTCCACCCACCTTGTGTTTTTTGTTGGTGCATTCTCGGGGTTCAAACCAATACAAGAGCCTTGCATCAGGTGCTGAAACCTGAGACGGGCTCTGGTCCATGTGCCCTGTGGACCTACCCCTCCACCCCAGAAAGCAGGCCACAGCAGCTGGACAAAGGAAGCTCCTCAGCCTCCAGTCACCTCTCTGTGCATGCACATTGGTCACTGATCTCACCTACTGGTAAGTTTCCTGGGAGCCTGGTTAACAGAGATAAATCCACACGGCCTCTCTTGGTTTCTCTGGTCCAGAAATCCAACGTTGGTCCAAGAAGGCTCCGCCGGCATGTGTGAAGCACTCGCTGATCATCTGGTCTTAGGGGGATGCCTCTAAGCCATTTGATCCCGTTCTAGGAACGAAAAAGGCAGCAGTGAGGATTGCTCTTTTATCATCTCCCTGCGGCCATCCAGGAAGGTCTCCTTTTCCTTGTTCTCCCGAGTGTACCCTTTGTTATGGGAAATTCCCTGTCTTCCACTCCAAAGGACAGCCCTCTAGGCTGCCTCATAAAAAACCTGCAAACCTTAGGCCTCGGGTAAGATATCCACCCTAAGTGACCTGTCTTTTATATTGCAATTCAGTTTGGCCACAGTACGAATCGGATAATGGGTCCAAATGGCCCCCAAATGGAACATTCAACTTTACAATTTTAATTGACTTAAGCAACTATTGCTGACGACTGGAAAAACGGGGAGAAATTCCTTATGTCCAGGCCTTTTTCACACTCAAATTACAACCTGACCTCTGCAATTCTTGCTCACCTATTCAAATCCTCCTTCTCCATCATAGCCACCCTGAACGCCTTTCTCCTCCCGACCCTACCTCTTTTTCCTGGTTTGATCCAGCAGACTGCTGTCCACCCTTCCCAGCCCCTACCTCTCCCTCTCAACCATCTTCTTTAATCCCCCAAGCCTTCTCTTTTTCTTCTCAGCTGCCATCTTCCCAGCAGTCATCTTCTCAGCCACCACCTTCCCAGCTGCCATCTTCCCATCCAGCACCACCTCCAAGAGTATCCACTTCTTTTCCTACACTGTCCTCTCCTCAGGACAATTCTAGCACTGCCTGTACCCATTCTTCTCCCTCATTGCCCTCTCCTGAGGCCCATAAACCCATCCCACCACCTTAAACCCCTATCTATTCTCCACTGCTTATTAACTCAACCCCCTTTCCCCTTCAAACCCTCAACAGGAACCATTTCCAGGTTCTTCCTTCTCTCCCGTCCATACTCACTCAGGTGCCATCTTTGACCCATGCCCCACCCTTACTTCAGCACCTGTGCTAGAGTGCCCCCTTTGGGAAGTAGCAGAAACTGAAGGTATTGTTAGAGTTCGTGTTCCCGTCTCCCTCACTGATCTCTCTCAAATTAACAAAAGACTCGGTTCATATCCAGAAGATCCTACATCTTATATTAGGGAGTTTCAGTACTTCACCCAGTCTTATGAACTAACTTGGCATGACCTCTACATTATCCTCTCTTCCACCCTCACCCCAGAAGACTGGGACTGTATCTGGACCTTAGCTCAGGCACATGCTGATACAATTCCTCACCAGGCTCCTACCCAGCCTACTGGCACAGAAGCAGTCCCCAGTCAGGACCTCCACTGGGGTTATCAAGATGGGGCCCCTGGACACTGCTATCGAGACCACATGATTGTGTGTCTCCTTGCAGGACTCAAAAAGGGTGCCCATACAGCGGTAAACTATGAAAACTTTCAGAAATCACCCAAGGTCCTGATGAAAACCCAGCCCTTTTTCTCTCTCATTTAACTGAAGCTATGAGAAAATATACCAACCTAGACCCAGCCAGCCTAGAAGGAACCACTATCTTAAATGTTTGATTCATCTCCCAATCCACCCTTGATATCCGGTGCAAGCTTCAGAAGCTTGATGACGGCCCTCAAACCACACAATGAGACCTTCTTAATTTAGCATTCAAAGTCTTTAACAATCATGATGAGGAAGATAAAAGGCAAAAACAGGCAGAATTTCAAATGCTTGCCTCTGCCATCAGGGGCCCTGCAGGCCCACGGGGCCACAGCTCCACACGGAAGCCTCCTAGTAATCCACCTCCACCTGGCACCTGTTTCAAGTGCAGCAATGAAGGCCAATGGTCTAGAAAATGCCCTAACCCAGGTAAGCCCATCAGGCCATGCCCCATCTGCGGAGGGCCCACTGGAAGTCGTACTGTGAGTGGCTTCTGCAAGGACCACCCCCATCTCTTCCTGAGCTGGCCAAAACCTCCTACTTGGATCTCATTGGCTTGCCACTGAAGACTGATGTTGCCCTGGAATGGATGCCCTGGCAACTACCATCTCTTCATCCAAGCCAAGGGTAACCCTGATGGTGGCAGGTAGGCCAGTATATCTTTTAATTGATACCAGGGCAACCTACTCTGCTTTACCTAATTTTTCAGGACCCACCCAGTCCTCCAAAGTCTCTGTTGTGGGTATTGATGGACAAGTCTCCAAACCCTGAGTCACCCCTCCACTCTTCTGCTCCCTTCACATCTTTTCCCTCACTCACTCTTTCTTAATCCTGCCCTCATGCCCAACTCCACTCCTAGGCAGAGACATCCTTTCAAAACTCCACACTACTCTCCACTTCCACATTCCCCATGGTAACCAACACATCCACCAAGACCCCTCTGGTGCTTCTAGCTTTCTTCTACTCCTCCAACCTCCCACCCTAAAATATGCAACCTTTGCTTATCCCCCATCCGTAGTTAACCCTGCTGTTTGGGATACTTCCACACCCTCAGTTGCAAAACACCACACCCCCATCCGCATTACCCTTAAAAACCCCACCCAGTTCCTTTCACAGAAGCAGTATCCAATTACCCAAGCAGCTCTTGCAGGCCTAAAGCCTATCATTTTCATCTCCTTCCAGTCACCTATTCTGCCCAACAAACTTCCCTTTTAACACACCAATTCTACATGTTAAAAAACCAGATGGAACTTATCACTTAGTCTGGGACCTCAGGCTCATTAACCAAGCTGTGCTCCCAGTATGTCCAGTAGTTCCTAACCCATACATTTTACTTTCCACAGTTCCCTCCAGTACCACCCATTTTTCCATCCTAGACCTAAAGGATACTTTTTTTTACAATTCCTTTGCACCCCAATTCTCAAGACTTCTTTGCCTTTACGTGGGAAGACCCCTACACCCACCTTTGACATCAGCTCACCTGGTGCATACTACCTCAAGGTTTTAGAGACAGCCCCCACCTTTTTGGACAGGACCTTGCCCACGACCTCTGTACCTTATCCCTAAAACTGTCCACTTTCCTTCAATATGTTGATGATCTGCTCCTGTGTAGCCTCTCTCAAAGATTGCAATACCCATTTTATCTCTTTTTTAAACTTCCTGGCAGAGCAGGCGTATCGGGTCTCCCCTGAAAAAGCACAAATATGCACTCCCTCAGTCACCTACCTAGGCCTAGCCTTTACCCTGCAAACCCAAGGGCTCAAAACTGACTGAATATCCCTCCTCCAGTCCCTCCCACCTCTGCAAACTAAGGAAGAAATTCTCTTTTCAAGGATTAGTGGGATATTTTAGGCTTTGGGTTCCCTCCTTCGCTCTACTTGCCAAACCGTTATACCAAGCTGCTAAAGGCCGTCTCCATGAACCTTTAAACCCTGCACAGCCTATTATCCAACCTTTCTGTCTACTCCAAAAGCCTCTCATCTCAACCCCCATCCTCACTCCCCCAGACCTCACCAAACCTTTCTCCTTCTATACTGACAAATGATGTGGAGTGGCACTAGGTGTTCTAATCCAGTATAAGGGACCTGCCCTCCGGGTTATCACCTACTCCCCCAGACCTCACCAAACCTTTCTCCTTCTATACCGATGAACGACGTGGAGCTGCACTAGGTGTTGTAACCCAGTCTAAGGGACCTACCCTCCAGGTTATCACTTACCTCTCCAGACAGCTTAAAACCACAGTTCTCAGATGGCCTGCTTGCCTCCAAACACTGGTGGCAAATGCTGTCCTCACCCTTGAAAGCCTAAAACTATCTCTTCATGCCAACCTAACAGTTTATTCAACCCATAACATCAAAGACATGCTAGCTCACCGCAGTGTACTAAGTCTCATCTCTGCCCCATGGCTCCTCCAACTGTATGCTTTATTCATAGAAACTCCCCAAATCACTGTGCTAACCAGCTCCTGTTTAAACTGGCCATGCTCTTACCTGCAGCTACTGCCTCCCAAGACCCTGCACACTTCTGTGTAGACACTGTTCAAACCTTTCTTATACCTTTTCCAAACCTAACAGGCCAACACCTTCCAGATGCCTCCTTTATTTGGTTCGTAGATGGCAGCTCCTTCCTATATCAAGGATGCCAACATGCTGGCTATGCTATAGTGCTACGCCCCACACAGTATTGAAGCCAGTCTGCTCCCCCTAGGAACCACCTCCCAAAAAACTGAACTCATCACCCTCACTCAAGCACTCATGCTAGCAGGCGGACAACAAATTAACATATATTCAGATTCTCATTATATGTTCCACATAGTGCACTCACACTTGTCCATCTGGAAAGAATGGGGTTTCCTAACTGCAAAAAACACTCCTGTCATAAATGGCTCATCAGCAAACTCCTTCAAGCTGCCAGACTCCTGCAGAAAGTTGCCATCATTCATTGCAGGGGCCACCAAACCCCAGACAATCCTATATTGGCTAGAAATGCTCTAGCAGATAATTTAGCCAAACAAGTAGCCCTACAACCTGTGTAAGGCCAGTTTCTGTCCCTGTCCTTGTTCTCTCCTCTTTACTCCTCAGAAGAAAAGGAGGACTTCCAAGCCCAAAACCTTCAAAAGCAAGGACCACGGTATGTCAAGGAAGGGTGTTTCATTCTTCCTCACTCTCAGATAATCCCTATCCTCCAAACCCTCCACAACTCTTTCCATGTTGGTTACAAACCTCTCTTGCAACTTCTCCACCCTATTCTCACTTGTCCTCTCCTTTCCAGCCGTGTTTGAGAAATTACTCAGTCCTGCTCTATCTGCCACTCAGTGTCACCCCAGGATTCCCTCTGGCTGCCGCCTTTTCATATCCACCAAGCCCAGGGCCTGGTGGGTAACTATATGTATGATGAGAGTTTCTGTTATGACATTTGCACCTTCTGAAGTTGTTGGGAATGCTTCTACCCACCAGGAGAAAGTACAAACAAAGACTAGAAGATAGCAGAGCCATTTATAGGGCAGCATGTGAGTGAAATCTACTTGCAAATCTTGCCCGGGTAATCCTCCCCTCCTTAATCCAGACATGATCTTTCATTCGTGAAGCTGCAAATGAGGTCATGCCTCTCCCTGTTGACACCTCCTTGTCCTCTCAACATAACTGTCTTGCAGGCACAGAAGTATTTATTTGCCAACCTGACCCTCACAAAAAGCTACAACTGAAGTGGACAGGCCCCTACACTATGATACTCAGCATGCCAACTGCAGTGAGAATCCAAGAACTCCCTCGCTGGATCCATCACACCAGGGTCAAGCTCACCCCCAAGGCTACTTCTTCCTCCAAAACATTAACAGGAAAGTGGTCATCCTGGCCAATTTCTCCTACCAAGCTTAAATTAACCCAATTTTTTTTTCTTAGAGCCAAAAGATGAGGAAGACTAATCACTTGCTTTAGAAATGGCCTATATCTACCCAACTGCCTGCTGTACCTCACTTCCAACCAAAAGTCTTAATACAGGAATATCTCTCATCACAATCCTAATATTGTCAGTAGCTGCCCTGCTGTCCACAGCAGCCCCTCCGAGCTGCCATGAGTGTTATCAGTCTTTCCACTGTGGAGGAAAAATGCAACAATCCTTTACTTAACATACTCGTATAGAAAAATCCTGTTATGGAAACTTAATTGAGGAATGTGTTGAATCAGGGAAAGGTTATTGTAAAGTAAAAAATCCAGGAGTATCTGGCAGTTGTAATGGGACTATATGTCCAAAAGGTAAGCAGTGGCTTTGCTTCACCAAAATTGGACAATGGGGAGTAAATACTCAAGTGCTAGAGGACATAAAGAGAGAACAGATTATAGCCAAAGCAAAAGCCAAAATAAACAACTCCCCCCACCACCCACCCAAAATCACCCATGGTATTTTCATGCTTTTATACAAAACTACAAGCAGATGTATCCCTTCCCAAGTCAGGAAAAAGCTGTTTGTAGATCTAGGAGAAAGCATCACACTTACCATGAATGTGTCCAATTGCTGGGTATGCAAGGGAGCTCGTATGAGTGAAGTGAACAGTGGCTGTGGTATGGGATAGACATTCCCCCTTAGTTACTAGCATCCCAAAACCCCAGCCTCATTTTCAGTCCTCAGGAACACCCACAGTCCTAGACACTTACGAACCCAGTAAGAGGGGTGGTGTGCATATTCCACAAGTGGACTGATGAAACCCATCACACTGTAGGTGAAAGCCCCTGTCACCAAACCCTAACAGTCAATGCCTCCACAGCAGAGTGGTGGCCAAGGTTACCCCAAGGAGCCTGGTCTCCTTCTAACTTAAGCTACCTCAATTGTGTCTTGTAAAAAAAGGCCTGGTACTATACAAACACCACTAACCCTTAAGCTGCATACCCCTGCCTAAGTGCACTATGGGACAATCCTATGAACACCAGCCTACAATGGATTGCCCCTGAAGGATTCTTTTGGATATGTGGAACCCAGGCTTACTCATGGCTACCTTATCACTGGCAAGGTACTTGCTTCCTAGGCATAGTTAAACCTGGATTCTTTTTACTTCCAAAGCAGGTGGGCAACACCCTTGGAGTCCCTGTATGTGATAACCTAAACAGAGAAAAACAATCCTTAAAGGTAGGAGGAAGCCAAAGATGGCGAGAGGACAAGTGGCCTCTGCAATGGATCATTGAATATTATGGCCCTGCCACTTGGGCTGAGGATGGTTCATGGGGTTATCACACTCCCATATATAGGCTAAATAGAATAATTATACTACAGGCTATTCTAAAGATAATCACTAACCAAACTGCCTCAGCCCTGGAAATGCTTGCACAACAACAAAACCAAATGCACACGACAACTTATCAAAACAGACTGACACTAGACTACTTATTAGCAGAAGAGGGTGGGGTCTATGATAAGTTTAATATCTCCAATTGTTGTCTTAACATAGAATATAATGGAAAAGTGGTTCTAGAGATTGCCTCAAACATCAGAAAAGTAGCCCATGTACCAGTCCAAACCTGGAAGGGATGGGACCCGATAAACCTTCTAGGAGGGTGGCTCTCTAATTTAGGAGGATTTAAAACGCTGGTAGAGACAGTAATCTTCATCATTGGGTTCCTCCTGTTTCTCCCCTATCCCACTGATAATGAAAGCCACTAAAACTTGTTGAAACTACAGTTAACTGCCAGACAATCCAGACGATGCTCCTGCTACAATGACACAATGGATACCAACCCGTCTCTCAAGAATACCCCAAAAATTAAGTTTTTCTTTATTCCGAGGTGCCCATGGCACCCCCTATGTCATACCTGAAGTAGTTATTGAGAAAGTTGTCCCTTTTCCCTTTTCTATAACCGAATAGACAGGAATTAAAGATTCTCCCCAGGGCCTGAAAGTTTGGGGGGATGAATAACTCCTCCCTCCTCAGGCCCAGTCCCAAGGCACAAAGCCACTTGCGTCAGCAGCGTGCATCAGCAAGATAGAAGAAGCAGGAAGAGAGCTGGCTGGAAGACATGTACCCACTGGAGATCGAGAGAGGGAGCCATCAGGGTACCACGTAGCAGTTAGGTCAGACTGGGACACTTCTTGTTTACTGGAGACTATAAAACCCCTGCCTGCCCTCACCTGGGGCTGACACCATTTTAGGCCTCAGCCCATCTGCACCCAGGTGCTCACTAAAACAGCGTGTTTCTCCACACCACCTTGTGTTGTTTGTTGGCACGTTCTCAGGGTTTGAACCACTAAAAGAGCCTTTCAGAAAAGAGGTTTAATTGACTCACAGTTTTGCATGGCTGGAGATGCCTCAGGAAACTTACAGTCATAGTGGAAGGCACTTTTACACAAGGCAGCAGGAGTGAATGAATGCCAAGCAAAGGGGGAAGCCCCTTATTAAACCATCAGCTCTTGTGAGAACTCACTCACTATTATGAGAACTGCATGGGGGAAACTGTTCCCATGATTCAATTATCTCCACCTGGTCTCACCCTTGACATGTGGAGATTATTACAATTCAAGGTGAGATTTGGGTTGAGACACGGAGCCAAATGATATCAGACCCATTGTTTGGTCAGGAGTATGTTGTTTAATTTCCATGTTCTTGTGAATTTTCTGAAGTTTTCTCTGTATTTATTTTTAGTTTTAATACCATTGCAACCAGAAAACTTACTTAATATCAGTCTTCTTAAATTTGTTTAAATTTGTTCTGTGTTATATCACATGACCTATCTTGGAGAATGTTTCATGTACTGTTGAGAAGAGTGTGTATTCTGTAGCTGTTAAATGGAGTGTTCTTTATGTGTGTCTGTTAGATCCATTTGATTTAGAGTGTAGTTTCAATTCAGTTTACCTTATTGATTTTTGTCTGAGTGATCTGTCTATTGATGAAAGTGTGGTGTTGACATCCCATACTATTAGGCATTGCAGTCAATGTCTCCCCTCAGATCTATTAATAATGCTTTACATATTTATGTGTCCCAATATTGAGTGCATGTATATTCGTAATTGCTATATCCTTCTACTGAATGGACTTCTTTATCATTATACAATAACCTTTTCTGTCTTTTAAAAAATTTTTTGACTTAAAGTCTATTTTATTGGATAAAAGTATTATTACTCCTTCTCTTTTTTGGTTTCTATTTTCATGGAATATCTTTTTCATCCCTTCACTTTAAGTCTATGTTTGTCTTTACAGATGAAGTGAGTCTCTTATAGGCGGTATATAGTTGGGTCTTGTTTTTATCTCTAATCTATTCAGCCATTTTGTGTCTTTTGATGCTAGAATTTAATCCACTTACATTCAAGGTAATTATTGATAGGTAAGAACTTACTACTGCCATTTTGTTATCTTTTAATTGTTTTATAGATCCTTTGTTCCTTCCTTTCTCTGTTGCTCTCTTCCTTTGTGTTTTAAGTAATTTTTCTGGTAGTATATTTTGATTTATTACTTTTCTGGGGTAAGTATCCTCTATAGGTCTTCTACTTTGTGCTTACCTTATGGCATAAAGAAAAATCTCATAGCTATAATAGATTATTTTAAGCTGATAACAACTTAACTTTATTGCAAAAAAAGCCCACTTCAATTTTACTGTATTTTCTCCCCAATATTTTGAGTTTTGATGGTATAATTTAGATCTTTTTATACTGCTTATCACTTAACAAATTATTATAGCTATTATAAAATTATTAATAGCTTACATTATTGATTTTCATGCTAAAAATTTCAATGATTTATACACCATAGTTAAAATATTTTAATATTCTGAATTTGACTGTATACTTACTTTTATCAATGATTTTTAAACTTTCAGATATTTTTATCGTACTCATTAGAATTCTTTTCTTTCTGCTTCAAGAATTCTCATTAGCTTTTTTTGTAAGACATGTCTTGTGGTGATGAACTTTCTTAGTTTCCGTTTGGGGAAATTTTTATCTCTCTTTCATTTCTTGAGGACAGCTTTCCTTAATATGTTAGGGTTGGTTGGCTGGTTTTTTCCTTTAGCACTTTGAATATATCATCTCCCTCTCTACTGGCCTGTAAGATTTTTGCTGAAAAGTCTGCTGCTAGATATATTGAAACTTTCTTTTACGTTATTCATTTCTTAGCTCTTGCTGCTCCCAGAATCCTCTCTTTGTGCTTCATTTCTAACAGTTTGGTTATAATATGCCTTGGGGTAGTCTTATCTGAATTAAATCTGGTTGGAGACCTTTGACCTTCCTGTACCTAAATAATTACATCTTTCTTTAGGTTTTGAGCTCCTGTTTTTAAAAATAAGTTTTCTACCCCTTTATCTTTCCCTTCTCCTTATTGAACTCCTGTGATTCAAAAACTTGCTCTTTTGATGTTGTCTCAAAAATCCTATAATCTTTATTTCTTTTTATGCTTTTTTTTCTTCTGGCTGTCTATTTTCAAATAATCTATCTCCAAGTTCACTGATTCTTTCTTCTCCTTGATTAATTTTGCCATTGATGCTATTTTTTGCCTTTTTAATTTTGTTCATTGTATTTTTTTATCTCCAGGATTCCTGCTTGTTTTCTAAATTATTATTTTAATCTCTCTATTAAATTTCTTATTCTGGTCACATATTATTTTTCTAGTTTTATTATATTGTTTTTCTGTGTTTTCCTGACATTTACTGAGCTGCTGCTGCTGCTGCTGTTGCTGCTGCTTTTTCTCCTTGTTCTTCTCCTTCTTCTTCTTCTTCCTCTTCCTCTTCTTCTTCTCCTTCCTCTTCTTTTTCTTTTTGAGACAGGATCTCACTCTGTCACCCAGGCTAAAGTGTAGTGATGTGATTATGACTCATTGCAACCTCAAACTCCTGTGCTCAAGCAGTCTTCCTGCCTCTGCTTGCTGAGTAGCTGGGACTACAGTTTCACACCACCATGTCCAGCTAATTTTTGTATTTATTGTAGAGACAAGATTTAGCTATGGTGTCCAAGCTGGTCTCAAACTTTTGGGCTTAAGCAATCTGCTCACTTCAGCCTCCCAAAGTATTGAGCTTCTTTAAGATAGCTATTTTGAATTGCTTGTCAGCCATTTCATATATCTTCATTTCTTTAGGGTCAATCACTGGCAACTTAATCTGTCTGGCAATGTTATGTGTCCCTGATTGTTCTTGATCCTTGTATATAGATGTCTGTGCTTTCAAAGAAGTAAGTAGTTATTCTAGTCTTCACAGACTGACTTTGTCTGGGAAAGCCCTTCAGCAGGCACAGTATTGGGATAGGTAGGCCAGAGGCCAGGGCATTTGCAGCTAGTGTACTGCTATTAGAAACCTGGGGCTTGCTATTGCAGGCATGGTGCTGGAGAATGCAAGAAGTTCAGGGCAGGTGCAGCCTGTGTGGCACTGGGGCATACCAGAAGCCTGGAGCCTCTGGGGGATGCCTGCCATTGAGACCTGCCTGAAGGTGACCTGGTGGGAAGTGGGCTGAAGATCGACTCTTCCACTCAATCCTGAATCCTGGAGATTTGTAGTTCTGCCTGACACCAGGTTGGGTCAGTAGAGGCTCAGTCTATGGATACTGGCTTGGAATATGGATCTATGGGGGTCTGTCTAGTGCTGGATTTTACTATGGTTAACCCAGTGTTGGAGTCTAAGGCAAAGTCCTGTGCTCACTTTCCTCTCTTTCTCCCAGACAGATGGTATCTCTCTTTGCACTGTGTTGCCTGGGCTTGGGGAAGGGGCTATGAGGATAATGTATAACTGGCTTTCCTACCCTTTTAAAGGGGTCTTTTCTTATTATAGTGACACAATCAGGTACTATAGTCTCTCATTTGGCTTCCTTATCTCGAGGGAAATCATTTTCATGCATGGATATTTATTATTTGTTCAATAGATGTTGATGTTTCTGTGGTGGTACAGTCACTGGAAATTCCTTTTTTTAAAACTATATTTAAAGTTCTAGGGTACATGCGCACAACGTGCAGGTTTGTTACATATGTATACATGTGCCATGTTGGTGTGCTGCACCCATTAACTCGTCATTTACATTAGGTATATCTCCTAATGCTATCCCTCCTCCCTCCCCCCACCCCACGACAGGTCCCGGTGTGTGATCTTCCCCTTCCTGTGTCCAAGTGTTCTCATTGTTCAATTCCCACCTATGAGTAAGAACATGCGGTGTTTGGTTTTTTGTCCTTGTGATAGTTTGCTGAGAATGATGGTTTCCAGCTTCATCCATGTCCCTACAAAGGACATGAATTCATCCTTTTTTATGGCTGCATAGTATTCCATGGAGTATATGTACCATATTTTCTTAATCCAGTCTATCATTGATGGACATTTGGGTTGGTTTGAAGTCTTTGCTATTGTGAATAGTGCTGCAATAAACATCTGTGTGCATATGTCTTTATAGCAGCATGACTTATAATCCTTTGGGTATATACCCAGTAATGGGATGGCTGGGTCAAATGGTATTTCTAGTTCTGGATCCTTGAGGAATTGCCACACTGTCTTCCATAATGGTTGAACTAGTTTACAGTCCCACCAACAGTGTAAAAATGTTCCTATTTCTCCACATCCTCTCCAGCACCTGTTGTTTCCTGACTTTTTAATTATTGCTATTCTAACTGGTGTGAAATGGTATCTCATTGCGGTTTTGATTTGCATTTTTCTGATGGCTAGTGATGATGAGCATTTTTTCATGTGCCTTTTGGCTGCATAAATGTCTTCTTTGGATAAGTGTCTGTTCATATCCTTTGCCCACTCGTTGGTGATGTTGTTTGTTTTTTTCTTGTAAGTTTGTTTGAGTTCTTTGTAGATTCTGGATATTAGCCCTTGGTCAGATGAGTAGATTTCAAAAATTTTGCCGCATTCTGTAGGTTGCCTGTTCACTCCAATGTTAGTTTCTTTTGCTGTGCAGAAGCTCTTTAGTTTAATTAGATCCCATTGGTCAATTTTGGCTTTTGTTGCCATTGCTTTTGGTGTTTTAGACATGAAGTCCTTGCCCATGCCTATGTCCTGAATGGTATTGCCTAGGTTTTCTTCTAGGGCTTTTATGGTTTTAGGTCTAACGTTTAAGTCTTTAATCCATCTTGAATTAATTTTTGTATAAGGTGTAAAGAAGGGATCCAGTTTCAGCTTTCTACATATGGCTAGCCAGTTTTCCCAGCACCATTTATTAAATAGGGAATCCTTTCCCTATTGCTTGTTTTTGTCAGGTTTGTCAAAGATCAGTTGGTTGTAGATGTGTGGTATTATTTCTGAGGGCTCTGTTCTGTTCCATTGGTCTATATCTCTGTTTTGGTACCAGTACCATGCTGTTTTGGTTACTGTAGCCTAGTAGTATAGTTGGAAGTCAAGTAGCGTGATGCCTCCAGCTTTGTTCTTTTGGCTTAGGATTGTCTTGGCAATGTGGGCTCCTTTTTGGTTCCATATGAACTTTCAAATAGTTTTTTCCAATTCTGTGAAGAAAGTCATTCGTAGCTTGAAGGGGCTGGCATTGAATCTACAAATTACCTTGTGAAGTATGGCCATTTTCACAATATTGATTCTTCCTACCCATGAGCATGGAATGTTCTTCCATTTGTTTGTGTCCTCTTTTATTTCGTTGAGCAGTGGTTTGTAGTTCTCCTCGAAGAGGTCTTTCACATCCCTTGTAAGTTGGATTCCTAGGTATTTTATTCTCTTTGAAGCAATTGTGAATGGGAGTTCACTCATGATTTGGCTCTCTGTTTGTCTGTTATTGGTGTATAAGAATGCTTATGATTTTTGCACATTGATTTTGTATCCTGAGACTTTGCTGAAGTTGCTTATCAGCTTAAGGAGATTTTGGGCTGAGACGATGAGGTTTTCTAAATATACAATCACGTCATCTGCAAACAGGGACAATTTGGCTTTGTCTTTTCCTAATTGAATACCCTTTATTTCTTTCTCCTGCCTGATTGCCCTGGCCAGAACTTCCAACACTATGTTGAATAGGAGTGGTGAGAGGGCATCCCTGTCTTGTGCCAGTTTTCAAAGGGAATGCTTCCAGTTTTTGCCCATTCAGTATGATATTGGCTGTGGATTTGTCATAAATAGCTCTTATTATTTTGAGAGACATCCCATCAGTACCTAAATTATTGAGAGTTTTTAGCATGAAGGGCTGTTGAATTTTGTCACCACTGATCCCACAGAAATACAAACTACTATCAGAGAATACTATAAACACCTCTACACAAATAGACTAGAAAATCTAGAGGAAAGGGATAAATTCCTGGACACATACACCCTCCCAAGACTAAACCAGGAAGAAGTTGAATCCCTGAATAGACCAACAACAGGCTTTGAAATTGAGACAATAATTAAGAGCCTTCCAACCAAAAAAAGTCCAGGACCAGATGGATTCACAGCCGAATTCTACCAGAGGTACAAGGAGGAGCTGGTACCATTCCTTCTGAAACTATTCCAATCAATAGAAAAAGAGAGAATCCTCCCTAACTCATTTTATGAGGTCAGCATCATCCTGATCCCAAAGCCTGGCAGAGACACAATAAAAAAAGAGAATTTATACCAATATCCCTGATGAACATCGATGCAAAAATCCTCAATAAAATACTGGCAAACCGAATCCAGCAGCACATCAAAAAGCTTATCCACCACGATCAAGTGGGCTTCATCCCTGGGATGCAAGGCTGATTCCACATATGCAAATCAATAAATGTAATCCAGCATATAAACAGAACCAAAGACAAAGAACACATGATTATCTCAATAGATGCAGAAAAGGTCTTTGACAAAATTCTTAGCCTTTCATGGAAATTCTTACTCTGCTGTTTTACTCCACCCTTCCATTATGTTGATGCAAAAGTAATTGCGGTTTTTGCCATTGAAAGTGATGGTAAAAACTGCAACTACTTTTGCACCAACCTAATAATTCTGTTGTTATTTTAGTTTACATTTTCTGACTGGCTAGCTTCAATTTACTTCTACAAAGAGCCATTTGGTGGGTTAGTTCTTTCTCATGATTAGCTCATGTGTTTCTGGAGGTGTGGGGACCAGAGCATATGACTCAGATCTAAGTCATTCTGCACATGGCACTGCTCCATTCACTGTGATTCACTTAACAACTGGAAATCTGACTAAATAAAAGTCAGTGAAATGACCCAAGATTTTACTAACACTTCATTGACTCAAAATGAGAGAAAATATACGTTTAAAATTGTGGCAACCATCTTTCCACTGTAAAGAGAGATTCTATATGTGAATAGATCCAGGACAGATTAGGCATATGATAGAAGTAGGAAATTGGGTTGCAGTGATATTGTTTGAGGGCCTGGTTAAACTGTATGTGAAAAGACAATAACATAAGTTAAAGTAGAAGCAACTCGAATCACAACTGAGTGGTTGGCCAACTTTTGAACAAGGACTAGACTTCATAGCTAGTCTGGCCAAGCTCAGGAGGTCACATGAAGAGCAATGTGGGCCTCAATTCCAGTCTTGGAAGTTGGCAGATTTTATTAAGTGTAAGCAAAACAACTGCTTAAACTGTTCTCTGTTTAAGCAATGGTTTAAGCAGCATGTCCTGTGGTCACACTGAATAAGACCACAAGATGTGAAACTTTGTTTTGAATTCAGCATTTAGAACATCAAATAAGGTCAAACAATGAGAAAGTTTTAAACCAGATCCATTTTATTTAAAAATAAAGAGATTAGAGAATATTGTTTTGGTGTAAGCTTCCACTTTGTTTTCTTTACTTTTCTTTTCTTTTCTTCTGTCTTTCTTTCTCTCTCTCTTTCTTTCTCTTTCTCCTTCCTTCTTTCCTACATTTCCTTCCTTTTCTTTTCTTTCTTTCCTTTTTCTCTTTCTTTCTTTCTCTATCTCCTTCCTTCCTCTTTCTTTTCTTTCTCTCTCTCCTTCCTTCCTTTCCTTCCTTTCTCTTCCTTTCTCTTTCTTTCTTTCCCTTCCTTCCTTTCTCTCTTTCTTTTCCTTCCCTTCCTTCTTTCTTTCTTTTCTTTCTTTCTCTTTCTCTTTCTTTCTCTCTCCTTCCTTTCCTTTCTTTCTCTCTTTCTCTTTCTTTCCTTCCTTCCTTCTCCCTCTTTCTTCCTCTCTCTTCTCCTGCCTTCCTTCCTTCCTTCCCTCTCTCTCTCTGTCTCTCCCTTTCTTTCTTTTCTTTTCTTTCTTTCTTTTCTTTTCTTTCTTTCTTTCTTTCCTTCTTTCTTTTTTTTTTCTTTCTTTCTTTTTTTTTTTTTTTGAGATGGAATCTCTGTCACCCAGGCTGGAGTGCAGTGGTGTGATCTCTGCTCACTGCAACCTCCGCCTCCCAGGTTCAAGAGATTCTCCTGCTTCAGCCTCCCCAGTAGCTGGGACTATAGGCACGCACTACCACGCCTGGCTAATTTTTATATTTTTAGTAGAGATGGCGTTTCACCATTTTGGGCAGGCTGGTAACTCCTGACCTCATGTGATCCGCCCACCTCGGCCTCCCTAAGTGCTGGGATTACAGGTGTGAGCCACTGCAACCAGCCTCATTTCTACCTGTAATTTGAAGTCTGAGATAGCTGTAACTACAGTAGCAGGGTAGAAAAGCCAAAAATTCTCTGCCCTAAGCTAGTATTTGATTCAAGCAATATTAGAAGTGGGAAACTTAGCAAGAGATATGACTGGTAGTTAGAAAAATCATATCCTAGCTTCTCAAGCCCCTCCCATATTCTTCCAATTAAGTAGTCATTGCCTGACAATGGGATGAATTACTCCCATTGAGAAAATACACTCCAGAGGCATAGATACAAAGAAGAAGGAAATTCAGCTCGGGGCTAAAGAAATTGGCAGTGCAGTGTCGATGTACTAGTTTCCCAGGACTGCTGCAACCAAGTACCACAAATTTGGATGGCTTTGAAAAACATACATTTATCATCTCACAGTTCTGGAATCTAGAAGTCTGAAATAACATGCCAGCAGACTTTCTTCCTCTGGAAGCACCCGAGAAAGAATCTGTTCCATGCCTCTCTCCTTGCTTCTGGAAGTTGTCGGCAATCCTTTGAGTTACTTGACATGTAGACACATCACTTTAATCATTCACATGGCTGTCTCCCTCTGTGTGTCTGTTTCTGCTCCTGTTATAAAGACACAGTCATATTAGATTAAGAGCTCACACTATTCCCATGTGATATCACCTTAACTAATCATTTGCAACTACCCTATTTGCAAATTAGGCCACATTCTTGAGGTACTGAGAGTTAGGATTTCAATCTGTCTTTTAGGGGGCCACGACTAAAAGTACTATAGTAGCCATGGCCAATTTCTTGAAGACAGAAAATCCAGCCATGTTGTCCAGATTTAAATACTCTGATTCTTCATGATAGTTCCCTTTGTTTACTACCCCATGAATAGAGAAAATGCAAATAGGTTAAAAATATACCAAGAGTTCAAGTAAGTTTTACTGTTAGACAAATCTCAAGCCTTACAAAAAAGAGGCTAAATTTTCTCAAGCTTTAAAATAATCCTCAGGCTCTAGAACCTGAGGTTAAATGAAGTACACTGATAAATAATTACGGGATGCCCTTCGGATATGGTCATAGACAAGAATTGTGTAAACTCAACAGATTGAATTGTCAAAGCAGGTGCACATAAATTATAGATCTTACCTGGTATCAAATTTTATTAATTATTTAAAGGCTACTCACAAACAGCAGGTATAAGCAAAGTCCATAGATTTCAGATTTGCCTACAATAAGAAAAATAGACCAGAAATATCCTACTTTGTAGATAGGAAATCCCTGTGTACAAGGAGATCTGGTGGAAGTCATTCTTTTCCCCTGTTATCTCCACTAGGGAAGAAGTGGTCCACTAAACTGCCATTAACCATTTCCTTCTCAACAATAGAAGTCCTTAGAGAGCAGAACTATATTTCACTCCTAGGTCAAGGAGCCCTTTCTTTCCCTGTCATGCAAGACATTATATGAATTATGTATCAGCAACCACTTTAATGTTGTTTACCTTCCCAAAACAGCAGCTTAAAAGTGTGTATTGAATGTTTTGGGATTTATTAAACACAGTATATAGCATTAGTTCTCTAGGTGAAGAGGAGTTAGAGATGGATCTGACTGAGAGGACTGTACCTCGAATAGCCCTTTTGAACCCAGAACTCTGTGTGGTCAATGAATGAGATTTTTATTTCTCATTATTTCTTTGGGAAAGCGAAGGAGGATGTGTTTTCTGTGGGATGTGACATAAGTTTATTATGTAGACAGATATTTTTGAGGGTTTATGAATGGGAAGATGAAGTAGCCAAATGATTGGACATTTCTTTGGTTGTTTGTGTATTGTTCAACATCAATTCACCCTAATTCCAGTACTGCCATTGTGGATTGATTCAGGGATGCTCTATTGATAGAAACATATAATCCATGGTGATAGAAATAAATATATTCCATCCCCTTGGCTAGTCATTTATAGCCAAGTTCAGGAATTTGAGTGTGACACAATCAATATTAGTAAGGTGTTAGGACAGGCCAGAAAAAGCATCTTGCTCTTTTCCCATTAGATTTGATTAGAGATGATCTAAGTCTGAATTAGAGCAGCCTTCTCCAAATAAAAAAGACACAGAATCTGATAGTAGAGGAACATGATAGATGAACAGAAAAATATCGGTCCAATTGTCTTTGGAATTGGGTATCCTCTCAAATGAAATTGAATAAAATCTACTAGTACATAATTCTTAAAAATTTAAATATATTTTCAGTGGTTTGTAATCCAATAAAAACTTCTTTCAAAGCATCATATTTTTCTGGAGTCCATCTGAGATTAATTAAAGACAGATTAGAATGATAAGATTGCATAATGGGAGGAAATACCAGGGCTGTTATTTTGTATTCTTTTTTTCTTTTTTTTTGAGATGGAGCCTCACTCCATCACCCAGGCTGGAGTGCAGTGGCACAATCTTGGCTCACTGGAACCTCCACCTCCTGGGTTCAAGCAAGTCTCCTGCCTCAGCCTCCAGAGTAGCTGGAATTACAGGTGTAAGCCACCACACCTGGCTAATTTGTGTATTTTTAGTAGAGACAGGGTTTCATCATGTTGGTCAGGCTGGTCTTGAACTCCTGACCTCAAGTGATCCTTCCGCCTTGACCTCCCAAAGTGCTGGGATTACAAGCATGAGCCACTGCTCCCGGCCCTAGATTTTGTATTCTGTTTTGAATATATACAAAAAGTAATGTGCTTTAAAAAGTCTACCTGATTAATGTGCTTCAAAAGGTCTACATGATTCTTCTCCTGGCTGACCTCCTACCTCTCCCCTCCTCATCCATTTCGCTCCAGCTCAATCAGCCTCCTTGCTGAACTCCCACCTCAGGGGAACTTTGCCCCTCCCAGCCTTTCTTCCTCAATGCTGTTCTCTCAGGTATCCACATGAGTTCCTAAACTCATTTAGATTTCTTTTCAAACAAAATCAAACATCAACTGCAATTTAAAAATTTAAGGAAATCATAAGGGTAAAATGCTGAAAAGGTAACAATTACCTATAGGTAAGAACATGATGCTAGATGGATAACCAGGTTTTCTTTAAAAAAAAAAAAAACTTACTAAAAATGAAAAAGGAAATAGATTAATGGTCGTAAAGGCCATGTCTTCAAGTCCAATATATATGGTTCTGCCTTCCCAGAATTGATGTACTTAGTGTTGGCACATAGTGTGGCAATTGTGGTGGGTTGTGGAGATTTTGGAGAGTGGAATAAAGGATTGTAATTCTGCAAAATGTATTTTAAAAGTAATTCTCCCCTCTGTATGGTGCTTTTTTCTTTTTAGGGTGTTTACTCTTCATCATTATTTCTTTGTTCTTATCTTTCTTCCAAGATAGTTTACATACGTGATCGCATCTAAACACTCCTGAGGTCTTTGAAAGTCTTGAACAGCCAAGTATGAGCAAGGTATAGTTCAGAGGACAGGGTCATTATTTTAAAGCATAGCTGGCATGATGAGGCATAGAAGTATAAGCCTGAGTTTCCACACAGAGGCCAGTGGGAAAAGAGCCCAAAGGAGCCCTCATGCCTATAAGCAGAAAAAGGCAAAGAAGGCCTTGAGACTTTTAGTGTAGTCTGGGTCAAAGATGTACTGGAGTCAGAGATAACTTGACAATGACTCAGCGAAAAGAAATCCAGACTTCTTTACTGTGGCTTGGCAAGTTGGCCAAATTAAATATTTGGTGAAATAGAGAAATTGATTTAATAAAACCACAGTTGTTAAATGAAAAAACATTAAGCCACTTATATGTAGAGTTTATTGCATTTTCCAGTCTCAGAAGATCTGGAACGTGAAGATGACTATGTTGTTGCTAACACTAAGAACTGTGCCACTCCATATTCCCTTGAATTCTTACAATAAACTTCCATCACTGAAGGTACATTGGAAGTTTTACATCCATGTTTGTGTATGTGCACTTACATGTCATCATGAATAGCCTGACTAGGACACATACTGAAAATTTATTAGTAATAAACAGTTTGTAAGGGACCACAGATCTTTATATGTTTCAGAAACCTAGGTGACAGAATTGTAAGAATTGTATCTTTTAATCTATGATAACTATATTCATTATTCAGAAAGTTGTTTGCTAAATATATTTTAATTAAGAAAATATTTATTTAAATAATAATAATTACTATTCACTGACCAACAGTATTCGAGGAGCTCTAAGTATATTTTCTCATTGGATCCTCACATCTAAAGAGATATAATTTTAATTTCCTTTTTCGAAATGACAAAATTGATGTTTAGAGAGTTAAAGGAAAAGTTTTAAGAATACAACTCATGGCAAATTCAGGATTTGAAGTTAGATGTAACTGACTCTGAAGTCTGTTCATTCCACTAGCCTGCTCTCTCTCATTATATGTTGTCAGTTTATTGGTGAACCCTCATTATCTTTAAAGAAATACTTATTTGCATAATAATAACAGCTATCATATACTGAGCACCAACTACAAGGTATTGTGTTAGGCTAAGTTCTTGTCATACTGCCTTCACAGCATAGAAATAGGTATGTAAATGAATAAATGCAATAATATCTGAAAGAATACGTTTATTTAAACAGTTGATCCCATAGGAAAAGTAGATTTAAGGAATACATTTCATAGTCACTTTCACATGCTCATTGGGTGGAATGACAAATGAAATGGCAGAGATTATTTACATTATTTCTCTTTCTCTCTTTAAGCATACAAATTAATTGAAGTAACTATAATGTGACTAGAATGGAATGCCAATGTGCTGCACACATGCACAAAAGTATTTATCTTTTTTGCACTGAAAAGAGTCACTTTTTAGTGCAATGTCCACAGTGTTCTTTTATAACGGGGTGGTAACAGCCCTTTAAACTTCTTATTTAATCCTCAGAATATCCCTATATGTAAGTAGTTCTATTAGTTCTATTTTACAGGTGAAGAGGTTAACACATGCCCAAAATGTGCACCTGCATAATAAACCCTCTTTATAAAAGTAGCAAGCTAGATGTCAGTAAATAAATTCATGAGTCATTTCAGTATCTTCCCCAGTTGTTATGAGTTCCTCTAGTACTATGATTGTGGTAGGCTAAATAATGGCTCCCAAAAGATGTCCACATACTAATTCCTGGAATTTGTGAATATGTTACCTTATATCAGGAGTCCCCAACCTCCAGGGAACCTGTTTAGGAACCAGGCAGCACAGCAGGAGGTGAGCAGTGGGCAAGTGAGTGAAGCTTCATCTGTATTTATAGCTGCTCCCCATTGCTTGCATTACTGCCTGAGCTCCACCTTCTGTCAGGTCAGCAGAGGCATTAGATTCTCATAGGAGCACAAAACGCTATTGTGACCCATGCATGCAAGGGATCTAGGTTGCATGATCCTTATGAGACTATAACGCCTGATGATCTGTCACGGTGTCTCATCACCCCCAGATGGGACTGTCTAGTAGTAGAAAACAAGCTCAGGACTCCCACTGTATCTACATTATGGTGAGTTATATAATTATTTCATTACATATTACAATATAATAATAATGGAAATAAAGTGCACAATATATGTAATGCACTTGAGTCATCCGGAAGCTATCCCCCCAACCCGTCTGTGGAAAAATTGTCTTCCATGAAACCAGTTCCTGGTGCCAAAAAGGTTGGGGAGCACTGCCTTATGTGGCAAAAAGGACTTTACTGATGTGATTAAGTTAGAAATTGTGAAAAGGGAAGATTGTCCTAGACTATACAGGTGGGCCAAATGTAATCACAAGGATCTTTATGAGACCCACACACACACAGATTGAGAGAGAGAGAGAAGGAGATAGAGACAGAGAGAGAGAAGGAGACAGGAATGTCAGAAGCAGAAAGGAAACTGACAGTGAAAGAGGTTGTTACGTGCTTTTAAGATGGAGGAAGGGGGCATGAGTCAAGGAATGCAGTGGCCTTCAGAAGCTGGAAAAGGAAAGGAAACATTTCTAAGTCCTCCAGAAAAAATATAGCCCTAGGAATTGCTTGACTTTATATTTCTGATCTTTAGAACAGTTAAGAGAATACATTTGTTGTAGGATACTAAATTTGTGAGAATTTATTACAGCAGCAATAGGAAATTTACAATAATTTTGTCCTATTTACCTAGGGAATAAATAGAACCAGGGTTCGAAATCCAGGTCTGTTTCATTCCGAGTCCATTTCTTTTCAAACATGAAGCATTTTTCCTGTTTATATTATCAGTCTCTCTTGGGTAGTCTGTATAAATATTGACAAATTTAAATGTTCAATTCCTCTTCTCAAAAATCTATTAGCAAACACATTTGCTTTGTGTTATGTGTCAAGTGATGTCATTTAAGTGTTTTTGTTTTTAAAGATCCAACAAGAGGACAAGATTCCAATCTTACAGGCTATACCGAAGAGTAATGGCATAAGACTATGAAACACTTGCCCTTTGACACTGAAATTAATGCGCTTGATATAAAGATGGGTGAGACTAGCCATTAGTAGATAAAAACTAGATTTAATATGTTGCTAATGGCATATTGCTATTAGACCAAGGTGTTTTCAGAATCTAACAAAAAGTAAATGATATTTTAAATACTTTGATGTTGACAACCTGGTTAAATCCTCAGTAAGATGTGATTGCATGTTTAATTGATTAGGAACTAGTACTGAATTGGTTATCCATATATCTTTATATCCTAACCATTTAAAGGTAAGGAAGAGACTAAACAAATATTTTTGAGTGATTGAATAAAACTGTTCTATCAGATAATCAAAAGTACTTAAAGTTACAAAATAACTAAATCTATGACTTGGGTACAAAAATAGACACAATAATCAATGAAGATAATTTAAAAAACCCAGAACAATAAACTAACATAAAAATAACAACAGTATCATGCACCGATGCTTATTGTGAGCCAAGCATTGTGCTAAGTGCTTTAAATGAATTATCTTATTTAATATAATAATCTAGTACTATTTTCATCTCTCTCCCTTAAGGAAGTTAAGACTTGAGGAGATCAAAGTGGTAAAAAGAGGTTTTCTGTTATGCTAAGTGCAATGAATTTACCCACTCTGCTCTACTGACTTTTACAATTTAAAACATGATAAAGGTAGCATTTTAATTTCATAAAGAAAAGCTAATTTTAAGTAGATGATGTTAAGATGGTTGTTTAAAGCTCTTTGTCACGTTATTCATCAAAATTAATTTAAGACATAAAAGACAAAAATCACTAAGTTGACAAACATCTTGATGAACGTTACTATCTAAAAATTAAAAATTTGCATTTTAGGAACATTATAAATAAAATGAAACCCAGAAGAATATGTAAAATATATGTTGTACTTGAAAGTTGACTCACCTAATATTTAAAGCATTGTTGCAAATAAAAAAGAAAGAATAATTATTCCAACAGAAGAATTCAATAAACAATGTCCCCAAAGATGTAAAACAAATGACCCATAAGTATATAATATGTTTAGCTTCAGGAGTAATCAAAAAGTACAAAATAAAATTATAATGAGAACTTTCTCACAAATAGTCAAAAATTTTAAAATGGTAGCACAAAATGTTGCAGACATGGGAGGAACATACATTCTCATAAATATTAATTGAGATGTAAATGGATATAGCCTTTTAGAGGGAATAATAAGAAAATGGAATCATAAGGTATAAAATATGAAAACTCATTGATCCACAGTTCCATCTTTGTGAATTCATTTTAGAAAAATAATGAAATAAATACGTAAAAATATGAATACAAAAAACATTATCTCAGCATTGTTTATGATACTGAAAAATTGACAATTATGTGAATTTACTGGAAAGAGGTTTACAGTATATTATCAGGTGAAAGAGGCAAAAAGATATGCATAAAAGAATTCATTAGAAGGTATAATTGCATATAAATACTATACATATATTATGTGTATGTTTATATTTATCCTAACTCATGAAAAAAGTAACAAAATATTAATCTCTGAATGAATGGGATTATGGGTGACTTTTAGTTTCCATGGTATGACTTATCTATATTCTATAATTTCAAATATAAATAGGTATTTTCTGATAATCAAAAAAAGAAAAGCAGGAAAAACTAAAATTAAAAAAAGAATAAGGTTACACTCATCTACACTCCACATCTGATCCTGTACTCACTACCAGCTTAAAAAAACCTCTAATGAGTCATTTTTATTTATTTATAAAAATCCAAACACTTGAACTTGGCATCCAAAATCATCTCACATCTAGTCTTACCATACAATATTGATTTCATTATCCACTTCTGCATCCCATGGGCCTTATAAATACTTTTAAAAAATGCCAAACCCTTTTTTTCTCTTCTGCTGAAGAACCTCTAGCCTTCTTTCATTGAAAACAAAATCTCCTCCCTGAAGACTTTCCAGTTCCCTAAGAAAGTTAGTGCTCTCCAAGCTTTGTCTTGAAACATTTTTCTTTTCTTTTTCTTTTTTAAAAGAATTTTAGAGATGGGGTCCCACCATGTTGCCCAGGTTGGTGTCATACTCCTGGACTCAAGCGATCTGCCCCCGTTGGCCTCCAAAAATGCTGAGATTATAGGCATGAGCCATGGTGCCTAGTCCTTGAAGAATATTTCTAAGTGATTTGTCCATTGTCTTCCTACCTTCTGCAACTGCAGACCATGTGCTTGCATTTATTCCAGATAAATACAAATAACATATATGGCAGCTATGCTTTCCCTATCTCTTAGGAGTTGAAGGATTTGGCACTAGAAGAAGTTGCGAGTTAAATGGAATAAAGGAGAGATTTGTAAAAGTTTGCAATAAAGTCAATATAAGATCAGCACAAGTGTAACCAGATATTCTTTGCATGTAATTAGGATTTACTGTAATTAATTATTTGAATGAAGTTCAAACAGACAATTTAAAGCTCTTTTAAGGCAATAGCTCACGGGCCTCTGTGCTAAGAGATGTAACAAAAAATAGACGGATGGAAGGATGGATGGAAATGGATGATAGATAATATTGTGTTGCTCTCTTTAATTATGGATTATGAACCTATGGTCATATAGTATTCTGAAAGTATGTTATAAAATTGCCTCTTTCAGGCCAGGCATGGTGGCTCATGCCTATAATCCCAGCACTTTCGGAGGCTCAGGTGGGCGGATCACTTTAGGCCAGGAGTTTGAGAATAACCTGGCCAACATGGTGAAACCTTTTCTCTTCTAAAAATACAAAAATTAACCCGGTGTGGTGGCCACACCTGTAATCCCAGTTACTCTGGAGGCTGAGGCATGAGAATCACTGGAACCAGGGAGGCAGAGGCTGCAGTGAGCCGAGATTGTGCCACCACACTGCATCCTGGGTGACAGTGTCAGACTCCGTCTCAAAAAAAAAAAAAGCCTCTTTCAAACTCTTTTTCTGAAAAACTTTTGTATGTCTTAGAAATGGCACTTCGTTTTTGAATAACATGCTAACTTATCAATTGGTAGTAGCTGCTTGGAATTCTGTGTTGGCTTATCTTCATTCAGGAGAAAGGAAGACTATGATCAATTGGCAATTGGAAAGGGATAAAGGTTTGGCAGTATATGTCATCCCTGGGCATATGGACCTCTGAAACACTTATATAATAGGAAGTTAAGAGTTGGAAGACTGTATAAACTTTCTTCTTTTGCTTTTTCATTCTCTGCTTCCTGTCTCTTCATGTAGGATCTGTGTTCTTGGATAGCATCCCAAAATGATGTTTTTCTTCATAGTCAAGTTCTATATAAACTCATGTTGATAAATTAAAACACCTTTAGCCTTTAGCTACTTCAACATAAATAAAAAGATTGGATTATTATGGTTCATTTTAATGATTCAGTAGGTAAAATCACTTAAAGCAACTCAGTTTGTCCTAGTGGCTTAATAAGCAATGTTTCTTGGCTCATGCTATAGTTTGGCTACCAGCTTATACTTATGAGCTGTTTTAAGAGTAAGAAATTTGGGAAGTTATTTGGCTGGGGGTATGCAAAAACAAGATGTCATTCTAGGACTTGTTAAAAGTTCCTCTGTGACAAATTCAAACATACACAATATTATTAACTGTGTCTTGGCAGCTCATTTTCTTCTTTTATAAACAGTCAAAAAAGCAGCTCTGGTTTATTTAATTCCCAGAAAAGAAAAATTGGAACCATTTAGCCTGCTTAATATCAAAATCTACCTGATCCAAAGGAGAATCAGGAGGAATTTCACTGAACACTTTATTTTAGTTACATCATCCTGTACACAAATTCTTTGACTGCAAATAAAATATAACTTTTTAAGAAGCCCTTAAACACATTTTATAACATTCATTTCTTCTATTATTTCTCCCTTTAATCCTGTTTCTTCTTTGTTTAATATCCACATTCAGGGATTTCCAGAAATTACTTCCTTGTTCCTTGCTCCTTTCCCTTAACATTTATCTTTCTCAGAAGCTCCTCCATTCTTTTTGTTTGTTTGTTTGTTTGTTTGTTTGTTTTAGATGGAGCTTCCCTCTTGTTGCCCGGGCTGGAGTACAACGGCACGATCTTGGCTCATGGCAACCTCTGTCTCCCGGGTTAAAGTGATTCTCTTGCCTTAGCCTCCCAAGTAGTTGGGATTACAGGTGTGCACCACCACGCCTGGTTAATTTTTGTATTTTTACTAGAGATGGAGTTTCACCATGTCAGCCAGACTGGTCTCAAACTCCTGACCTCAGGTGATCCACCTGCCTCGGCCTCCCAAAGTGCTGGAATTACAGGCATGAGCCACCGCGTTTGGCCCCTCCATTCTTATGGTACGAATTTACCTACTTTGTATGAATTGATTGATGGATAAAAGTCTGTCTTTAGTTTTAAACTCTCCATAATTATCTGCAGATCAATCATACTCATATTAAATATTGAACTCTTATCTTTCTGCCCACAGGATGATACATTTCAAAGATATTCATCCACTCATTCTTCATCGTATCTTTACCAATTATCTCTCATTTAAATCTTTTACCAGGACCTACAGACTTCATAATGTAATGAAGTTCTAGTCATTTCCTGAACTCCTCTCCTATTCTGTCAAAACTTTTCTTCGTTTCACTCTTTTTTTAGAGCCCTGAAGAATTGGGTCACTGAACCAAGTAAATTTTGACTGGTGAATAGTAAGTAGAAGATAATGAGAATCATGATTTTAGAAGATTGCTCTGGCAATAGTGTATACAATAGACAGCTGGGAAGTATCTAAGGACAATTGTAATTATTTAGTAAAATTAGGGATGAGAGAAGAGAAAAAGGTGTGGCTCATAATTGCATGTTAGGATATGATAATGGCTTTCTACCTAATGTCTTCCAGAAGACAATCATAGTTCAAGTGGCTCAACTAAAGGAAAGGAAGAAAAAAGAAAAATACTTATACTAGTGCCCATGCAACATGGTGTGTGATACTCAATAAATATTTTCTGGTTAAATGAGTAGTTGATGGGTTGGACTAATGGTGAAAATTAAAGTCGTTTTGGAGGACTGCCAAGGGATAAATTTTTCCTCTCAAAATTTTTCTCAGCACATCTCCATTTGTATTATGCACCTGGCAACCCAATTTATTTCTGGATATGGGTGCCCACCTCTTGTCTTTACTGATTAATCATAATTTACTCCTACTTTTTTCCTACATCATTTTGATATTGTGCATTTTTTAGAAATTGTTACGTAATAATTCTATGCCATTTCATTTGCACTTGTCTTGACTTCCCAGAGAGTCTTTAAACTCCTTAATGTCAGAGACATGGTTTCTGAATTATCTCACAATATCTAACAGAATGCTCTTCAGAATAAAGATCTAAATGTGTTTAATGCTTTATTTCTGAATTCTAGTTAAGTATGCTAACAAATACCTTGTTATAGAAAATATTCAGTTTATACTATGTTTTAAGCATTTCATATGGGATATGTTAGGTTGTTTTGTTTTATGTTTTTGTACTTAATTCACATTTCTCACTTTATAGGAAATTACCTTTGGTTTCCAGGAAGCAAACATTCCCACAAGATTAATCTCTTATGGTTTTGTTTTCATTGCACTATCTTTCCCCATGATATGAACTTCCAGATGTTGATGTGTTTTCTTCAATATCTGTTTGTGAATATTAATATTTGATTTTATTCATATACCAAAATCTTGGAATTAAAATGCACTTATTACATATCACAAACAGCTTTTATTCAAACACTACCTAAAGCCTTGTTAAGAATATTTTATCATTTGGGACATGGCTATGATTAGTACAAAGATAAATTAATTTGGTGATAAATTTTTTGTGATGTCATAATTTTTAAGGATTATGCAATAACATGTCACAATTATACAATATCTCATGTCACAAGGTGACATAATTCTTAAAAATTACAAGGGTTAGTCTTTGCTATGTAGAATTATTTTTTGGCCCAATAAACAACACTTTTTTTGTATTTTATTTTATATTATTAATTACTTTATTTAATTTTTAGAGACACAGTCTCCCTCTGTCACCCAAGCTAGAGTGCAGTGGCACAAACATAGCTCACTGAAGCCTTGAACTCCTAGGTTCAAGTGATCCTCTTGCCTCAGTGTCCAAAGTAGCTGAAACTAAAGGTGCACTCCACCATGCCCAAGTAATTTTTTTAGTTTTTATTTTTTGTAGAGATGGAGTCTTGCTTTTTTGTCCATTTTGGTCTTGAACCCCTGGCCTCAAGCTATCCTGCCTGGGCCTCCAAAATGCTTGGATTACAGGCATGAGCAACCATCACCGTGCCAGGCCTTTTTTGAATTTTAGAGCTTACTGGTATGAAGATGGCTGTTTGCCTTGTTGGGAGTGAAGATTTCTTGTGTACAGAATTATTGATTCATAGACTGTCATATGAAAAACTGAGACATTTTAGTTACTTAACCCTTTCCATCGTGGAAAATATTTTCATCGGCATAATTTCTATTTTAACAAAGTTGGAACACTAAAGAAATGCAGAGATTATAAAATATACTAATGTTTGTGTGTTAGTTTTCTATTGCTATCATAAGAAATTATCATCAATGAGTGGAATAAAACAACACAAATGTATTCTCTTACAGTTTCATGGGTCAGAAGTTCAACACGTTTTTCAGAGGGCTAAAAAACAAAGTGTGAGCAGGGATGCGTTCCTTTATGGAGGTTCTAGGGAAAAATATATTTTATTACCTTTTCCAACTTTCAAAGGCTACCCACATTCTTTGACTTGTTTTCCTCTTCCTCCATCTCCAAACTCAGCAATGCTGGGTCAAGTCTTTGTCATGCTGCATCTCACTGATCCTCTTTCTGTCAGATCTATCTCTCTCTGACCATAGCCAGAAAAAGTTCTCTCGTTTGAATGACTCATGATTATACTGGGCCCCCAAATCTACAAGCCACCAATAATATAGTCTTTGTCCTCGAGAAATTAAATGTTCACATGTGAAATTTTTAAAATTATGATTTAGTGTACTAAAAAGCCCCTGCCTTCAATATACATCAGGTATCAAGAAGATATTAAATTTAGTCTTAACCTAATCCCATTCCTTGAAATCTTTAAAGATTCCCTCCTATCTGTAACGGCCATTTGATATTAATAATATTCTCCTTGAAAATGACTGAGAAGAAAAAGTATATTAAAGCTAATGAGGTAGAAAATTTGTTTTCTCAGTATTTGAAGAGACAAAATATTATCTTTCACCATGCCCAGAGGAAGTTTTCAGGCTATAAATCAGGATATTAGTTGGAGGTGTCAAATGAGTAAGTACAGATAAAGCAAACTGTTGAAAGTTGTTAAAATAACCCTACAACGTGTGTTTGTATTTGCATGCAGTATTATTTAGGTAGACTTTTATGCATATGCAGAGCTTTTCTTTTCTACCCATTGAAATTTTTAGTATAAATTTTTGAAAAAATTATTGTAACATTTGATCCTGTCTGTTGCCATGCTCAAACCAACTTACCTGACAATAGTTTTTAGCTAGAAAATATAATGTGGAAAAAATGTATTTAATAGAAAATATGATGTGGAAAATATAATGTGGAAAAAAATCACACACAATAGTTGACAAACCCAAAACATTTTGTTTTACGTACAAATGTCAGTGAGACAGAGGAAGAGGTATAATTTTCTATCGCTTTTGAGTGGATATACATTATGCTCATGTATATCTAAGAGCTCTCACGTTTAGCTTTTATTTTGCCAAAGTCTCAAAGAAAACAAAATTATCATCAAGCATGCCTAATTTAGATACTGAAAGCCTGTCTGAAAGATGAGCACCTAATTCTCCATCATCTTCCTAAGAATTGCTTCCTTGCACTGTCTTCCACCAATGGCCACCCACTGTCAAGTCCACTCTTTTCCCCTTGGTAAGTACAGTAAATATTTGTTATGCTTTACACAGCAAACTGTACTTATCTATTTTCAGATTGTTTATTTTATTTATATAAACATATAAACATATTTCCCTTGCTCAATTGACATATATTCCTATCTGTGAAAATAATTTGCATATTTTGAGTTGGGGAAAATGCATCATAGATTTCCCCATTAAAATAGATTTTTTTTTCACTTAACAACTTCTCACTCAGCAATAGGAATTTAAGAAATAAATTACAACTATTAATTGAGGGTTAGATGTAAGTAACATAAGACATACTCAAGGTTTTAAAAATTTTCCTCCCAAACACCGCTTTTCAGGAAATAAGTGGAGGTTGGGTTCCAGAAAGTAATGAGGATGCAAGCAAAGAAATATGAGATTCAAGAAACAAGTGTTCCAACTCAGGAAGGGTGATAGGAATTCTCAAGATGATGTTGAAAAGGAAGTGCTAGAATAATTGTGGAGCAGGCCTGGCTAACATCTGGCCCAAATTAGAGCACTCTCCAAAACTGATGTCTTTAGGCTATGTTACTCATAAACTTATGTTTCTTGTCTTGGCCAGACTTTGCTGGCCTTAGTTAACTTCATTTCTTCCTGACTGCAGACTCAAGGGGCTCTTTCACATTCTCTGATTCTCTGTTGTCCCAGGAATCAATGCCTAACCTCTGCCGGGGGTCATCTTGCCCCTTTTAGTAGGCCCTATGGCAGGAGCTTTGCTCTCAACTCTCATCTATACCATTGAAATCTGGAAACCCGACTAAGAAAGTTAAGCCTAAGGGTCCCCTCTCTCCAGTCTCATAGAATATCAAGGAAATGTGGCCAAGCACTAGGTTGGTGCAAGAATAGCCCACAAGGTGAATTCTTTCTAGAGTCCTAAATAGGACATTGGGAACAGCCACATGCCCAGTGTAAGCTTCCTTTCTTAAATCACCTTTTCTTCTCTCTGAAACTATGCCTGGTAGGAAGTTGTCATACATGGAATCTTACACTTTCCTTTCTCATTATCTCTTTGCATTCTCCCGTGGATCTAGAAAATGAACATTTCCCCTGCTTTTCTTATGTCATATTTTCCTTCTGCCATTGAATAGCAGTAAATTTGTCCAGAGTCTTGCAGAAATGAAAGAAAAAAAATACTTTTTTAATAAAGAAAAGTAATAGCACACTTGGCTGCTTTTTTGTTATGGGTAAAGTAGTAGCTCTGTACTGTAGGGATCTCTGTGGACTGGCTTCTCCAAGCCTTTGATATTTTAGTGGAGGAAATGAAGCAATTTGGATAATCTTTCTTGACTTGCTCTCTCAACTGTAGTCTTGCTTCTTGGCTACTTACTGCATACTTCTCATTTGCATATTAGTAGCTGAATCTAACTTTTTATATTTCTCTAGTAACAAGTTCTGATCTCCTTCCTGTTAAATGGATACCTCACAATGACTTGAACAAATAAAAAGAGAAAAACTCAATAACTTTTCAGTTACTGCACCATATTATTGGTTTATATGAAGATTTTTCTTAATTAGCCTACTATAACATACACATATACACACACAGAAAGCACATATTTTGAGAAACTGTTACACTTTTTTCTTGCTTCTGTCTTTGCCAAAGAATTTTTTTGTCTTTAATTTTTTTTTGCCAGCAACCTTTAACCATTTTAAAGAAGAACAAGATTATGTGACAAGAAACTAAAAATTATAGGACAATTAAAAAATATTTTATTTTCTAGTTTTAAAAAATGTGATATATAAGGAGAAAACTATAACAGCTTGAGTAAAACAAATTCAGTGTATGTATAAGAGGGATGCTTGCCTAGCTGAATTATGTAGGGATAAGGCCCTTTGGGCATCAGGTGGGTAAGACACTGCTAGTTTGGCTGCCCACGTTAACTTCTATTACAGTGTGAGGTTAATGAATGATGTTATTTTGGCTAAGACTATCAGGTTTAAGGATATATACTAATAATGACAGCTACTATTGAGTATGGGCTAGACATTTTATGTACATCTATAATTAATTTTTTAACTTTTTAAACATTTCTAGATACATAGGTATTATTATCCCCATTTTTTGAATGAAGAAATAAAGTCTCAATGAAGTTGAGCACAAATTTCCATGGTTAGTGCTGGGCCTGGGCTGGAATTTGAGCCTAGTTTTCTTGGGTAGACTCCAAAGACTGTGTTCTTCCTTTTATATATTAGAAAGCCCTCCATGATCTCCTGGGAAGGTTTTCTTTTCTACTCTACAACACTCACAGCTTTACCACCCTTATATCTATATTTCTGAAAAGACTTCAAAATTCTGAAGGTAACTCAATAGAATATACTTAGCATAGTTTACGGATATTGACATAAGCAAAGTATCAAGGATTGTAACTTATGGGTACCTGTAAGGGTGAAGTATAGGTTAGATGGCATTGTGCAGGGTCAAGTTTCACAGGAGAGGATATTCTGGGCAGGAAGAAAAGTTTTTGAGATGGGGTCTCATTCTGTCGTCACCCATGCTGGAGTGCAGTGGTGCGATCTTGGCTCACTGCAGCCTCTGCCTCCCAGGCTCAAGCAATCCTCCTGCCTCAGCCTCCTGAGTAGCTAAGAACTACAGGCACATGCCACCACGCCTGGCTAATTTTTAGTACAGACAGGGTTTCACTATGTTGCCCAGGCTGGTCTCAAACTTCTGGGCTTAAGCCATCCACCCACCTCAGCCTCCCAAAGTGCTGGGATTACAGGTGTGAGCCACTGTACCTGGTCAATTTAAAGACTTTCAAGACTGATAAGGGGTGGGAGGAGGGGGGAGGGATAGCTTTAGGAGATATACCTAATGCTAAATGACGAGTTAATGGGTGCAGCACACCAGCATGGCACATGTATACATATGTAACTAACCTGCACATTGTGCACATGTACCCTAAAACTTAAAGTATAAAAAAAAAAGACTGATAAGCCTCAATGGTGCACACGTTTATACAGTTAGTAAGCAAAAAACAAACAAACAAACAAAAAACACAGTTGGTGTCTTGATTGCTACTTAGGCAATAACTAGAATGTGGCTGCTTCCCCTTTATTTCCTCATTTAAGTATCTATTCATACAAGGCTGTGGCAGGTAGAACTTGTACTGAAGGCTTGGGAGTCATGGAGGAAGGATCTCATTAACTAATACTTAAATAACTTAACATTAAGTAAAAGATACCTCTGTTTTAAAAAGTCTTTGTGCCTACTCCACCTCATAAAACGTCTCAATGAGTTCCCCTCCATAGGTAATAGCCTGGCCCCTTAATATTTTCCAAACTCCATTTTCTCTTTTTCTCTCCTCATTCATCTCTTTTACTCACACCTCCTGTAGGAATGTGCCATTCACCCCATTGCATTTCAATTTCTTCTCTTTCTATCATGCAGAGCAATTAGAGCAATTTAGCTTTCTTCAGACTCTTCTCAATTCAACACTCTACAACCAATATTTTGTATCCTATATCCCTTATGGATTTTGGACATGTGCATTTGTGGATTTGGATATATAAATCTCACAAGGGATTTAGCCATAAAAAGGGCATCAATTCTAGCAGTCTTCATACTCTTCTTCTTAAAATTTTATTTTAAAAATTATTTCATTATTTTAAAAATATTTTTAACTGACACATAATTGTACATATTTATGGGGTACATTATAGGTATGATGTTTTGACACATATAATGCATAGTGATCAGATCAGGGTAATTAGCATATCCATCTCTGCAAACATTTGTCATTTCTTTGTGTTAGAAACATTCAATATCATCCTTCCAGCTATTTGAAACTATGTAATATATATACTATACTCATCCTGTAGTGGTATAGAACTATAGAACCTATACTTTTCATACTCTTGATCATGCATCACTACCAGCAAGAAAGTTTGGCGTATAAATTTTATACATATAATATCAACTCATGTTTTAAATATGAATAAACTTTCTTTCTTTCTTTTTGAAAGACATACAATTAACAGAAGTGTAATTATTCCTCTATGATTATCATGTTTTGCAGACTACTGATTTACCAAAACTTTATCAACAGAAAGGGCCTGGAAAGACCTAAGATTATCTTTACTTTTTAATAAGAAAACAAAAAGACTTTTCACAAAGGAAGTACATACCTTTTATTCAGCAAATAACATTTTAGGTAAACAGTAAGCAATTGATAGAAAAGAACATAGGAAGAGATATTTTTCTTTTAATATTTATTAGAATGATATTCTTATCAGAAGGACTTATGAAAATGCTTAAGGATGCAATGCATTCTATCTATGTTACTAAGGGAAAATATATCCAGTTTTCTCACTAACAATAAAAACATTGACTTTTATCTAGTTTGGCTTGACTTGATATTGAAATACATATTTCAAAAGAAGAAATTGTGTTTTTCATTATTTGTCCTATGACATAAAAATAGTTGGCTATGAAACATAATTTTTCCAGTTATTCTCAAGCATCTTTTTAATGAATACCTTTCTTCATTTTGCTCCTCTCAAGGATATCTAATCATGAGTCTGAGTCAGAGTCTATTTGAACCAAATTAAAGACTTATTTCTCTAAAATGTATCTTTAACATATTTATTCCAAAGAAATAACTATAACCCCAAACCTTGCACTCAAAATATGATATACATTTTTTTCCAGATACCACCAAAATTTATTTTTAAAATCTGTAGATTACATTTAGAAAAGTACATAAATTCAAATAACCTGTTAATTTTTAAAACATTTTCCATAGCAACACCATCCTGAGAAACCAGTCAATTCTTTCAATTAATTTCCTTCAAAGATTATTTTATCCTCACCAATTGGTTGTTTTAATTTTATTACATCTTATTTGGTTTTATGGAGACAATCATAATCTTTATTTCAAAAGATAATCTAAGACAAATTCTCATTCTATGGGCCACAAGGCAAAAATAATAGAGATAATTTTCAATAACAACACATCCTCAAAAATACTGGGAAAAATAATCTGTAAGCTGTGTTAAAATATGGCACTAAATATCAAATGATAAGTTTTAAAATAAATCATTGCTTTCCACACTATGTTTGAAAACTGCAAGAAAGTGTTGCAGTCATATTATGAACTCATAATAGAAAAATAGTTTTTCTTTCAAGCAAAATCATCAATTCTCAAAAGATAAAATCAAAAAATATTTTCCCAAGCCAAACACATGAAAGGAAAAAAGTATTGTGCAATTAATGGACATCTTTTCACCAGACCTGTTCTAATCAAATTATATCTGTAAAACTTACTTTTAAATAATGACTTTAAAAAAGATGTTTTAGAAAATGTGGCACAATGATATTCATAGTAAATACAGCCAAAGGAGTTGGTTTATATCTTAGCCAACTTTATCAAAGTTACTGTTTGCTCAACCCTGTTGTCACTATAATTATCTGGGGAGCTTTTTAAAAAATTATAGACCAATCAAATAATAATCTCTGAGGGTGATTCTGGACTTTGTTATTTTGTTAATGATCCTCATGGGCATTAAGAATTGAGAACATTTAATCTAAATGAATAATAGTAACTGATTATAATAACCATTCTCATTTGTTGAATGCTCCGTGCCAGATACTGTGTTACGTGTTTAACATACATCGTGTGACTTAACCCTTACAGTAAAAATTGTATTGCTTTACATGTTAGAAAACTTAAGCAAATCCCCTATTATTCAGTGGCAGTGCCAAGACTCAGACCCCAAGCTGTCTTTCTGTAAAACACCATTTTCCTCACAATGTCCCTCAAGCACCTTTTCCTCTCTTCCAACTGTAACTGAAGGCAAGTAAAGGATTAAGCAGACATGGGATCAGTCAGCAACCAGCTAGAGAAAAAGCATTTTCTTAGCTCTTCAGAGAAATTCGGGACAACAACCACCCTTCCCCCACAACCCACACAAACGTATTCGAATACTTTTGAAATATTTTGCATGCAGTCCTCAATTTGGATGTAGTAGGCAGAATAATAGTCCCCAAATATGTCCACATCCTAATCCCTATAATATGGATATACTTTACATGGTAAAAGAGACTTTGCAGATGTGATTGAGTTAAAATCTCGAAAAGGGAAATTATTCTGAGTGGGCCAATCTAATCACAAAATTTCTTATAAGACGGAGTCAGAGAACACGTGATGGCAGAGGTAGAGTTTGGAGTGATTCAGAGACATAACTCAAGCAATAAGCATAGCCTTTAAATGCTGGAAAAGGCAAGGAAATGAATTTGTCTATAGAGTTTTCAGAAGAAATGCAGCCCTGCTAGCTCATTTTGAACTTCTGATCTCCAGAATTGTAAGATAATACATTTGTGTTTTTTCTAGCCACTAAACTTGTGATAATTTTTTACAACAGCAATGGGAAACTAATACAGAAGATATTCCATTTGCATTCAAAATCATAAAATTATGTAAAACTCTACCCACTGAGTCAGTCTGGTCATGGTAAAGGATACTCCAATTATAGCACTGTTTAATGATTGTTGCAAAACAGAAACTACAATTCATAGATCGCACTGATTGGCAAGATATTTGCAAAACAGAGGGAGAGAGATAAACCACAAAAATTCAGGAGTCTGCCACCTCAGTGATGTTTCTGGAGTCCAGTGGTTTGAAGCCTATGAACATATCTCTTCAAAGGTAAAAGACACATTGCTGCACCTTTCACCACCCCCACTAACAGAGGCTCAATGTTTGGTGGCCTTTATGGATTTTGGAGATAGCATATACCTTATATAACCCATGAGGCTTCTGGTTTTGATAGGGACCAAAGCAAGAGAAGGCTCTGTAGCAAGTTAAGTCTTCAGTACACACTTCTCTGCCAACTGGGCCTCATGATCTAGCAAATCCAATAGTACACAGTGCAGTGTGGATCCTCTTGTGAGCACCAACAGGAGAATCTCAGGCCTCTAGAATTTTGAGGTAAACTCATGCCTTCTTCTGCAGATAACTATTCCTCTCCAGAAAATCAATCCTGGAGTGATCCTGGGTCCTGGTAGAGACTACATGCCTAGTTGTGGGACATCAAGTGACCGTATGATGTGAGCTTTCCATTTTGTATTGGGTGTTTTTTGGCCCGTTAGGACATGAGGTTGGGTGTGCACAGCAACAACCTATCATCAAATGGAAATTTTATGTGGGCTCAGGCTCCTTTGTCACTGGCTCCAGCTGCATTGTCTTTTCTATCTCAATACACCCCTGTGACCTTATAGGGTGCTCCTTATGACCAGTTGACTGAAAAGGGAAAAACTCTGATGGTTCTGCATAATTTTGCTAGCAACAACCACAAGTGGATGGCTGTAGCATGACAGTCTCTCTCAGGTGTGGCCCTGAGTGAAAGAGTAAATGGAAATCATCCCAGTTATATCTTCATCCTAGACAGGACATTGAGTGGAAGACTTTATTGTCCATCTTATCTGGACAAAGAGATGACCAGAAGAATGAATCTACATTGATTTCTGGGCAATCGCTGATGGTTTGGTTTTTCGGTCAGAGATAAGAAGAACAGCACTGGAAGGTTGCTGGCAAGGTAATCTGATAGAAGATATAAATGAATGGACTTACACAATTTGGCATCTAGTGTAAAAATAATTGTGTCTCATGTGAATGCTCACCAAATGGCACGTACTGTAGATGACATCTACTGTAGAAGAGTGTCAGTAATTAGGTGAATGAAATGACATGGTCTCCAAATGTTAAATGCCTCTTTCTCCAGCCACCCCAGTGCTTGCTCAAGGAACTCATTGCAAAGTGGCTATGGTGAATAGAGGCTAAACGTGGGCTCAATAACTTAAACTTCATTTCACAAATATTGACCTGACTACTGTTTCTGTTAGTTTCTACCTATCAACTACAAACAAAACTACCATGTTCTTGATATGGTCATATCTATATCTATAATAAAGGATCTCAGTCTATTAGTAGATATTGGTTTTATAATTTTTTCACACTATGACTGGCCTAATAATTTTCTTTATGTTGTCTTTTTATATGTAGATATTTTTATTTTGATAAAATCTAAAGTAACTTTTTTTTTTCTTAAAGCTATTCCTTTCTTTATCCAAGAAACATTTGGCTACCCTCAGGTCACAGAAATATTTATTTCTATATTACCTTATAGGAATTTTATAATTTTGGATTTTACATTTAGGTGTATGATTCACCTCCAAGTAATTTTTGTGTATGGTATAAGTTAGGGGTCAGAATTCATTGTTTTTATATGAATTTCTAGTGGTAGGACCACTTGCTAAAAAAAATTTAGTTTCTCATTGGATCGCTGTGGAGCCTTTATTGAAAACAAAACCAAACAAAAACCCTGAATAAATATCCGTTGATTACTGATCTATTTGTTGAACCTTATGCCAGGCTTACACTGACTCATTACTATAGTTGTAGAGTAAATCTTGAAATCAGATGGTATAAGCCCTCCAACTTTAGTCTTCTTTCTTATGACTGTGTTGGACATTCTGAGTTCTTCACATTTACATACATATTTTCAAATTAGATTGTCAATTTTGACAGAAAAAGCCTGCTGAAATTAAAATTGCAACTGATGTTATCTGTCCTTGATGTTTTGTTAGTGAATGAGGAGTGCCCTATTTTTCCCAATACGAGTAACTATTTCATTACTAAATGTTACAAGACTTTAACTGTTAAATTAAACTTCAATGCTGATTCAGTACCTTCCTTATATTGTCATCCTTTTTGTCTGCTGAGGATGTCACTGATGGTGTTGCCTTCTGTGTGTGGCCCAGGCTGAAAATATCAGTGTAATCCTAAAGTAATTCTTTATCTTCTGCTTCTTGCCAAAAATATCATAGTTTCCATGCAAACAAACAACAGGAAAAACACTACACAGAGGAAACTATAATAAATGTGCTAGAAACAAATGTTTATAAATACAGAAAAAGAAAACCTTGTTTCTGGCCAATCTAGTGGTCACCATGTGCTGATGATCATTGGCACTTGTCCATAAGTGAGTTAGGTTTTAATAAGCAGCTTCAATTAGGGCACTTCAGACTACAACCATGCCAGTAAAAGACTTCAGGACTCCCTGTGGTCAATTTGACATTGTTTAATCACAATATGTTCTTTTATATTTACAAGGACTGTAAAGATGAACTCCTTTAACAATTTAGTCACAAGCCCTTTGAAACCCCTTATCAGGCACTCGGACCTTGATTTATCCAGCAAGGTGCTTCAGTAGCTGCTCACGGTTTTTTGTTTGTTTGTTTGTTTGTATCTTAAAGTTGATCTGTTTCCTAATGAATCATAGTGCTTTAAAATATAGTCTAAAAACTTGATCCAGACATATAATCTGCTTCATAAAACAATTCATAATTTATTACCCAAACTGTAGAAAGGCATCAAATTCTGAGAGTTGCTTAAAGAGCCCTTACAGAAGGGAAGTCTGTTTAATTTAAGTGAGTGGATATTTTCTGAGTTTTTTTGGCTCAACATAATCTACAGAGGACTTTGAAAATAAAACGTACATGGAGCATGATCTAAGAGACCAAAAATAAATGAACTGAACGTAGAATTTTTATGGCTAAAAAATGTTGTCTGTTGCAGCTGCTGGTATATTCCATAGTCACTGTGTGGTGAAACTGGCTGTGTGTGCGTGGTTCCACCAAACCCATATTTAACCTGTGGCTACTCAGTTTTAGACTTGTATTAAGCCCTGGGGATGAGCATACTAATAAAAAGCTGTCCATGCCTTAGATAATTTCACAGCCTAGTGGGAAAGGAATATGTAACAACTAATTCTAGTAATAAAATGTGACAGAGTTATGTACAAAGTGTTCTGAGAGTCCTTCTACAGAACAATGAGTACTGCTTGCCAGAGAAGGTGTGTATATTTGCAGGAAGAGGACAAAGAGATTGACCAAAGAGGTGGTATTTGAAATAGATTTTAAAGAAATGAGTAGGAGTGGCTAGTAAGTCTAAAATAGGAGACAACATATGCACCTTAAGTCTAGAATAAATTTTAGGATGTGTAAGTTCTCAGTACTACCACTGACTTAGTTAATACCTTGTTAAAATACTTTTTAAAAATCTATATTCTGAATCTGTATCTTTTAGGATTACATTAAGTTGTGGTAATTAATATTGCCACTGATTATTCCTTCTGTTACAGTTTTGATCAGGAAATCAGAAATTCTGTCATTGATAAAGGAGGCAAATAAACATTTTAGCTTATTGGCAATCAGAATTATTGCAAAAGGTTTTCTTTTATCCACCAAATGGTAGTTGATTCTATGAAAGAATTGCTGCCCAGGAACTGTCTGCACATCTCAGTAGGAAATCAGTTATACTGAAGCACCGTTAAGAGACTCTGTGCTTCCCTAGCCAATCTATGCTCTGAATGTTGCTAGAGGTGGTTTTGCATGTTTTGAATTACATAATTGTCCTTCATGAAAGTTAAAAGAGCTATTTTACTTGACGCTTATAATCCAAGCACTGTAGGAGGCTGGGACAGGCGGGCTGCTTGAGCCCAGGAGTTCAAGACCAGCCTAGACAGCATGATGAAACCCCATCTCCATGAAAAAACACATAACTTAGCCAGGTGTGATGGTGCACACCTGTAGTCCCAGCTACTTGGAGGCTGAGGTGGGAGGATTGCTTGAGCACAGGAGGTCAAGACTGTAGTAAGCTGTGATCACATCACTGCACTCCATCCTGGGTGACAGAGCAAGACACTGTCTTAAAAAAAAAAAAAGAAAAAAAAGAAGAATATCTTACGAATAACTAAATACACAATAAAACTTAAAAAAAAATACATTACTATATAATAACCCTAAGAATAACTATTAATAGAACCTGCTCTAGGAGCCTCTGTCCTGGATTCTCTGGTGAAACCCTTAGGCGTGTGTGACCAGGAAAAATCTCTAAAGAGATTGGCCTAGTTCTATTTGGTTTTCCTTTTTATACTATCATTTAATTCTCTTCTTTGCCTTTTGAGTTTGGGCCCTTCCTTGTCTAAAGTGGAATAGCCACTCTCCTTGTAGCAAGGCTTTAAATACGATTATTCAGTACTCTCAATGTCCCTATCAGGAATTGTTTAGCATTCAGACCAAAACAGAGAGTTGGCATTATGTGTTCCTCAGCAACATTTATCGCAGCAACAAAGACAAAATCAAGATTCTCTCTATTCTGTAAAACCTTGACGGTATCTTTCATCAACCAAAAATTTCTTTTGAGGATGTCTACCCTATCTCTTTTTTATTTTGGTTCAAAAAGCCATGGCTAAGATTTTCTCAAACACTTTCGATTTCCTATTACTTTCATACCGTCATCAGGGAGAGGTAAAATATATGAAGTGGGTGCTTAATGGAACACAATGAGGCCACCATAGTGGGTAGAGTTTTAGAATGAAAGAAAAGGAAGTCATAATTTCCTTTCTCCTTATGGTTTATCTCTCCTGATGGAATATTATGATTGGATAGGTAAGGCCTTCTTGAGAAAACTTATGTGACAGAGAACCAGTACCTCCACACAGGGTGAACAACAGTCTGGCAGATCCTCAGCTCTAGATGGCCATTTGGAACCAGAAGGAAAAGGGATCAAGGAGAGTTAGGCTAACTGTGAACTAGAATTTAAGGAATAGATATTAAAATGAGAGGGATCTTTGATGTCTATGACTTTTCTATCCAAGTTTATTATGGTAGGAATTTGGAGGATAAGCCCTAGTGTGAAACACTGTACACACAGTATCTCAAAGAAATGATCCTTTATCAACTTGTTTACATAAATTATTCTCTGTCTCCACCCCTGCTCCCCCAATCATTTTATAGACAATAGATACATAGTTTGTATTCATTGACAATATTCCAAATATAGAGAATGCCTCCTCAGGACAAGCTAAATGGATTCCATCTCTGTCTTTTCTTACTAGTGCCCTTTCTTAAGGCTTTGGAAATCTATTAGCACATTTTGGAGCTATGTTGATATGGTTTGGCTGTGTCCCCACCTAAATCTTATCTTGAATTGTAGCTCCTATAATTCTCATGTGTTGAGAGAGGGACCTGGTGGGAGATAATTGAATCATGTGGGTGGATTACCCCATACTGTTCTAGTGGTAGTGAATAAGTCTCAGGAGATTTCCTGGTTTTATAAGGGTTTCCCCTTCTGCTTGTCTCTCATTCTCTCTTGCCTGCTGCCATGTAAGATGTGCCTTCTGCCATGATTGTGAGGCCTCCCCAGCCACATGGAACTGTGAGTCCATTAAACCTCTTTTTCTTTATAAATTATCCAGTCTCAAGTATGTCAGTATCAGCAGCATGAAAACGGACTAATACAGTTATAGAAACAGATAAGGTAGATTACAGATTGATCTTTTCTGAAGACATACTCCAGTATGAAGATATTTTAAGATTTGTTAACATAATGAGGAAGTTTCTCTAGCTTACTTCTGTATGTTAGTATTTAATACAATATTTGTTGAATGAACACATGAATGAATGAATAAAAAGAGTTTAGAAGTTTGGACTTGCTCAATATAAACAAAAAGGCACCATAATGCTTTTTTAAAAAAGGAAACTTTTAAGCCTATAGATCTTCATTATTTTACTAACAGAGAGTTCTCTTGACTCCCAAAAGGTCCTGCCAGGTTGCTTCTGATTTAGAAATAAAGAAATCTCTCTTTTTAATGCCTGTAGTCCCTTACCTGAGTGTTTGGATGTTCTCTGACCCAAATCACAAGAGTACAACTTCCAATGGAGATTCATAATTACGGAATATTGGTATCAACATAAGTATTTTAGTAAATTCAATGTCTTCTCTTCAATCAGCTGTTGACTTACTACTGTATTTATCACTGAAGTAAACAATATGTGCAGCTTAATAAAAATAAACAAGAACACTGAATTAAATGGTGTGGGGTGTTGCAAGGGGGTGTAAACAGTGAGTGAAGGGTAAGGATAGAGCCCTCCCAGTAAGGCACAGAAAATGCCTTTTTTCTTATCTCAAGCGTTAAAATGATTTCAAAATTGGGAAATGTTGCAATTTTTTAATTTTACAGATGAAAAAGGTGGAAGATAAAATAATTTAAGAAGTCTTATTTTGCTAGCATAGGCTAAAAGAGAACACAGCTTTGTGAATTTTTAATGACCCGTCTATTAAGGTAGAAGTCAAACTATTCCTATGTTAAAGCTTTAGTTTAACTAATCAAAATGAAATGATCAGGAAACAGATTTTTATTTTAGCTGATTCTTATACTGTTATTTTACTTTACTCTTTAGTTACGAGGAGGAGGACATAAAAAATCTTGAATTTCACTCCTGTTGCTCAGTGACAATGTTCAGAGAAATGTGGCATTTTAACCATCATTTTGGTAAACTTGGTTATTTTTGCATGGCCATCTGTCCCTAAACTACATTATTAAGGATGTTCTTAACTCTGTTCTTTCAATGTAAAAATAGAAAAAAGCAAAACAAAAAAAAACCCAAAAAACCAATAACAAAAAACTCCAAAGCACTGAAATGTTTTTCTATGCTCTACCTGGGCTGGTGGAAGGGGGAGGATGAGGAGAGAAAACACAAAGGGATATGCCTTAAATATTATTGAATTTTAAAATAGGAATTAAGAATTTAACTTTTACCAATTTTTTGCTACTTAAAGGACATAACACTCTCAGAAATGTTCTGTCAAATCTTCTAAAACTATGTGTAGAGTTCATGTGATTTGCTCTCTCTGTATTGCCTTATTTTTAACTGGTATATAGGGAATGCTAATTTCCTAATAATAATTATCGAGTAATATCTTGCCATAAAAGCAATATATGTCCACTAGAGTGTGAGACATGACAGATGAAAAACAAAAAAAGAAAAGAAAAATCATTAGCAACTCCACCATCTGGAGACATTTCTCTTTTTATTTAGAATATATTCTTATTGTTAAAAAAGGTAACAATTGAAAAGTCAGCATAACAACATTTGAAAATGTTAACAACGTATGAAGTGAAAAATAATCAGATTAAAAAAAAAACAGTTCTGGCCAGGTATGGGGGCTCATGCCTGCAACCCCAGTGCTTTGGGAAGCCGAGACAGGGCAGATGACTTGAGGTCAGGAAATTGAGACCAGCCTGGCCAACATGGTGAAACCCCATCTCTACTAAAAATACAAAAATTAGCCGGGTGTGGTAGTACGCACCTGTAATCTCAGCTACTTGAGAGACTGAGGCAGGAGAATTGCTTGAACACAGGAGGCTGAGGTTGCAGTGAGCCGAGATCGAGATCGTACTACTGCACTTCAGCATGGGTAAGAGAGCAAGACTCAGTCTCAGAAACAAAACAAAACAAACAAATAAAAACAGTTCTGGATCAAGTACACATACCTCTTTCTATTCCTCCTACTTAACACATCAATCTTCTGCTCTCTCTGGCCAAAGGACCAGGAAAAGAGTAATCTAGCAAAATAGAAAACTTTGAGACAATAACCACCCTGTTCTAACCAAATGTCACAGAAAAAAGCACTGCTCTGTCTTCGTCCCAGTGAGAAAGGCCCATCAGGGAATTCAGATATCCACTCCTATCGATGTGTAATGAGGTGTCCCAACCTCTCCAGTAGGGTGGTGTTAGAGAAGGCTGAGTCAGGAGCTGGGACTTTTAATTTCTCCCTGGTGATTATCAGACACTACTCCCCCGTATATTCAGTGGAGGCATGTGAGGATGCTGGACTACCATCGCCATCCAGTCATAAAAAAGTACTCTCTCTTCCCACAGGTGTCAGAGAAGACTAAGTGGGGAGTAAGGAGGCTTCCCTGACTGCAGTGTCAGTGGAAGTTATGTGGGAAGCATTAACGAAGTGCTGTTCCCACTCCAGGCAGGGTGGTGTCACCAGATGGCTAGTGAGGAGCATGAAATACCATCTCTGCTCAGCAGTAACAAAGTACTCCTCCCAGTTGGGGTGCCAAAGAAGGACAAGTGGAGAACTGGGACTTTCGCTCCCACATATCAAAGAAGGTTTGCTAAAACAGAGATTTAAATAAGGCCTAGAGTTGCAAACACAATACACAAGATGTGCAAAGCACAATAAAAAAATCACAGAAAAATCTCACCTTGAGTGAGAGAAAACAATAGATAGATGAAAATGCCAGGATGACACAAGTGTTGGGATTAACTGATAAGGATTTTAAAACAGCCATCCTAAAAATGCTTTTGTGGGCAATTAGAAATAGATTTGAAACAAAAAACAAAAGTAGTCCTCAGCTAAGGAATAGAAGACACTAAACGAAAACTTCAGAACTGAAAATACAATAACTGAAATAAGAAACTCAATGAAGAGGCTCAACAGCAAAATGGAGAGGACAGAGGAAAGAATCCAATAATTTGAAGATATAACAATAGAAATTACCCAATCTGAACAATAACAAATGTAGACTGAAAAAAAAAAAAAAGAACAGAAACCTAGAGACCTGTGGGACTCTAATAAAAGATATAACATTTGTGTCATTGGAGGGTTAGAAGGAGAGGAGAAAGGGGATAGGACTGAAAAAAGTATTTGAAGAAATAATGGCTCAACATTTCCCAAATTTGGAAAAAGACATAAATCTACAGATTCAAGAAGCTGAGTCAACCAAACAGGCTCAACCCAAAACGTTGCACAGATGTGGCTGAGCCTTAATTATAACAGCGCTTTTTCTTTTGTTGAATGATTTTAGCAGAGATTTCTAACTTTGACTAAATTATGATGCATATACAAGTAAAAGTTATCTAGCTAGTCTGGTGGATTAAAGATGGGTCTTAATCTCTCATTTTCTTCATTAAAGAGTGGAGTCTATTTTGCCTCCATTTAATAAAGGCCTATGGCTGCTTTTTCTAGAAAATGCAATGGATGTGACACTGTTTCAATTCCAGATCTAGCCTTTAAGAGTAGCAGCTTCCAGTTCCTCTCAATTGGAATACCAGCTATTGGAACACTCTCTCAGAACCCAGTCACCACGCTGTGAGAAGCTCAAGCCCCATGGAGAGGACACAGCTGTTAACCAACGACCTGCATATTCTGCCAGCCATATGAGTGGTCCCCTTGGATTTTTCTAGCCAAGTTGAATTTCTGATGACTGAATCCCCAGTCAATGTGATGTGTTACAGCAGAACTGCCAAGCTGAGCCAGTCAACATACAATAATAAGACATAATAAAGGAATTATTCTAATGCAAAGCTTTGAGTTCCTCTACTATTAGAATAAAAACTATTTCGAACAGATTTAGATGGCATGGGAAAATGTTGATTTTAATGTTAAAACAGATGACAAAAGTAACAACCTGTGACTGATATTGTTTAAAAACATGTGGTAAATGCAGTATAATTTAGCACTTCATTTATACATGTAGGACCTCAAATAATCATCTCATATTTTCATAATTGTATGATTAGAAGAGTATACAATATGTTACCAGTAGTTGAATAATTTATTTCCTCAAATTTCTTTATTTTTCACAAATAACAGGTGATGCTAGTTGTAGAGAAAACATTTTAAATATTTGTCCTATCATTAACAATACACAGAATAAATCTGGTAGTTTAAATATAAATAGTAAATATAATAATAACTCTCAGTTTGGAAGATAAATTCAGAATATTGAATTATATAATACAGTAATGTAATTTTTATTGACCAATAACAATTATTAGAAGAGTCAATAATGTGGGAAAAATGTTGATTTTAATGTTAAGTTAAAACAGATGCCAAAAGTAACAACAGGTGATTGATGTTGTTTAAAAACATGTGGTAAATGCAATATAATTTAGCATTTCATTTATACATGTAGGACCTCAAATAATCATCTCATGTTTTCATAGTTATAAAGTTGTAAATAACATTAATTCTAATTAAGTTTTGCTATATGCTAATTCTGATTCTAATTTAGTTTTGCTATAGTAACCAAGTAATTTTTAAATATTGAAAGTGCCAATCAATAAATATTGCTCTTAGTGCCAAATCATATTTCTTGTTTTAATCCATGATTAAATGACTTCTGTTTTTAAGTTAAAATTGTTTTAGAAATAGATGTTTTAAATGAAATTTGTTTTTATTATCCCTGTTATAGACTCAGAATTTCTAAGAGATGTATTGCATGGAATAATAGATAGAGACTCAGAAGGGACTATAGTGTTTATCTAGTTAACCTCTTAACTATGGAGATAATAATTTAATGTACAATAATCTCTTCTGCTATCTGGAATTAATCAAATAGCAGAAGAGATTAAATTTGATCATTGAAGTTGGATCATGGAACAGTATCTGGCCTTCTCGAAATCGTGAAGTGGTGGTAGGGGGTTGGCTGGGGGGCTTGAGGTTAGAGGCAGATAATCCCACTACAGAGGAGGTTCAGTTTAGAGACAACGTAAAACATTGAGAAAATAGCAAGATGGATAATTTTCCTTACAAAGTAGGTTATCATTAGGAAAACCACTTTATCTACTTTTGGAGGAGATTTTTGAACATTACATCGCTTTATACAGCATAACCAAATTAAATGTATAGGTTTTTAGGGGTGAGAACTCTAAATATTTTCCCCATATGCCACATTATCTTCTTGAATACTCCAGGGATTTTTCTAGCGTTAAAGTAAAATTCGTTAATTCTCTGTTATAAACCCATAATTTACAAGGCACAAGATTTTTATTGAATGGTGAGAATATTCTGGCTCTCAACAACTACTTCTACTAGGAAAGACTAACAATTATTTACTCATTTATCCAACAAATATTTTTTACTGAGCACTTTCGTGTTATAGTCACTTTAATAGGTTCTGAGGATACACCAGTATATAAAGCAGGCCAATTCCCTACTCTCATGGAATTTATATTTTAGAAAGAAAAAAAGATAAAAATACAAATAAATACAGTCATTCACCACCTAACAATATTTTGGTCAATATGCAATGTGGTCTCACAAGATTACAATACCATATCTTTACTGTGCCTTCTCTATGTTTAGATATTTTATTTTACTTATTTATTTATTTATTTTTGAAACAGAGTCTTGCTCTGTTACCCAGGCTGGAGTGCAGTGGCGCAATTTCGGCTCACTGCAAGCTCCGCCTCCTGGGCTCACGCCATTCTCTTGCCTCAGCCTCCCGAGTAGCTGGGACTACAGGTTCCCACCACCTCGCCCGGCTAATTTTTTTTTTGTATTTTTAGTAGAGACGGGGTTTCACCGTGTTAGCCAGGATGGTCTCGATCTCCTGACCTCGTGATCCGCCCGCCTCTGTCTCCCAAAGTGCTGGGATTACAGGCGTGAGCCACGGCGCCCGACCGTTAGATATTTTAAAATACACAAATACTTACCACTGTGTTACAATTGCCTACAGTATTTAATAAGTAACATGATGTACATGTTTGTAGCCTAGGAGCAATAGGCTATACCATATAGCCTAGGTGTGTAGAAGGCTGTACCACATAGATTTGAGTAAGTACACTCTATGATGTTCACACAATGATGAAATCGCCTGACAACACATTTTTCAGAACGTATCCCCATCATTAAGTCATGCATGACTGTATATAAAAAAAATCAGACAGAGATAAATGCTAAAAACAAAAATAAATTAAAGGGACTATTTTAAATAGAATTATTTAGAATAATCTTTATAAGATGTTTACATTTGAGCAAAAGCCAAGATGAAAGGAAAAACATATAATGAATAAATAACTAAAGGGCTATTACATTTTTTTTTGAAAAGGAAAGTGATAAGACCTGTAGTTTATATTAGGAACATGCTTTTCAAGTAAAGACAAATAAATATTGAAGAGTTATAAGTTAGGAGGTTATTACAAGAGATGAGTAAGTGCTAATATTGGTTACATCCAGGTCAATGGAAGAAGAAACAGATATAGTGGGCCTTGCAGAGGTAAAATTGGTTAACTTTTCATGCTAATGAGTTAAATGTTGATTCATCATTCCCATCTTCATCATCATTAATATCATGAGCAGCATAATTTTAATAGGTGGTTATCATTGTGCTAGGCACTTCACATGTGGTACTTCATCTAATCCAAAACTGATTATTGAACAACAGCTATTTTAAAAATTATTTTTATTTTTAAAATAAGGAAACTGAGATTTAGAAAAGTGTAGAAACTCTCTGTGAGTCACACAACCAACAAGTGATATGGTGGGATTCATCCTCCAGAGTTTACACTACTAACATTTTGCATTGCTGCCCCCTTTACTATGCCAAATTCTTACCATTCTAAGTATTCCTCAGACTCACAAGGAACACTAAAACTCACTTTTTATCTGTGTCTTTCTGCCTTAAAAATATTTCATAGATAATATCTTGTTTCATGAATCAATTCTGTGATCTTGGGTATTTTTACTAAAATAATGTAAGTAAAATATATTTTTCGTTATAATTATTATGTGAAGCCTAATTTAATTTTTAATGTTTATAAAGGGTCCTATTTGGGAGAGTTCTTCTATTTTTCTTCTTAATAATTGTTTCATTTTCTCTAAGCTCCTACAATATCTTCTGTTTAGTTATTAACCTTTTTATTTGTCACCATCTTTCATATTTCTTCATATCATTCATATTTCTTTTTTTTGGTTCTCATACATTTTTTATTTATTTATATATATTTTATTATACTTTAAGTTCTAGGGTACATGTGTACAATGTGCAGATTTGTTATGTATGTATACATGTACCATGTTGGTGTGCTGCACCCATTAACTCGTCATTTACATTAGGTATATCTCCTAATGCTATCCCTCCACACTCCCCCCACCCAGTGTGTGATATTCCCCTTCCTGTGTCCAAGTGTTCTCATTGTTCAATTCCCACCTATGAGTGAGAACATGCGGTGTTTGGTTTTTTTGTCCGTGCGATAGTTTGCTGAGAATGATGGTTTCCAGCTTCATCCATGTCCCTACAAAGGATGTGAACTCATCCTTTTTTATGGCTGCATAGTATTCCATGGTGTATATGTGCCACATTTTCTTAATCCAGTCTGTCATTGATGGACATTTGGGTTGGTTTGAAGTCTTTGCTATTGTGAATAGTGCCGCAATAAACATCTGTGTGCATGTGTCTTTATAGCAGCATGATTTATCCTTTGGGTACATACCCAGTAATGGGATGGCTGGGTCAAATGGTATTTCTAGTTCTAGATCCTTGAGGAATTGCCACACTGTCTTCCACTATGGTTGAACTAGTTTACAGCCCCACCAACAGTGTAAAAGTGTTCCTATTTCTCCACATCCTCTCTAGCACCTGTTGTTACCTGACTTTTTAATGATTGCCATTCTAACTGGTGTGAGATGGTATCTCATTGCGGTTTTGATTTGCATTTCTCTGATGGCCAGTGATGATGAACATTTTTTCATGTGTCTGTTGGCTGCATAAATGTCTTCTTTTGAGAAGTGTCTGTTCATATCCTTCACCCACTTTTTGATGGGGTTGTTTGTTTTTTTCTTGTAAATTTGTTTGAGTTATTTGTAGATTCTGGATATTAGCCCTTTGTCAGAAGAGTAGATTGCAAAAATTTTGCCCCATTCTGTAGGTTGCCTGCCTGTTCACATATCATTCATATTTCTTCTTATATCTCTGTTATTTTCTTTTGCATTGTTTCCTTGAGTAGATCTTGCATTGCCTAACTCGATTTTATGCGACATTATCTATATTATTTACTCTATCTAATGTGTATTTGTAATTTTCTCTGGTGGAATTAAGCCCGTTTAACTTTTAACAACCACTTAGTCTTTCACTTTTAATTTTTTTTTTTTTAGATGGAATCTTGCTCTGTCACCCAGGCTGGAGTGCAGTGGTGCAATCTCGGCTCACTGCAACCTCCACCTCCTGGGTTCAAGCAATTCTCCTGCCTCAGCCTCCCGAGTAGCTGGGATTACAGGCACCTGCCACTACGCTCAGCTATTTTTTTGTATTTTTAGGAGAGACAGAGTTGCACTATGTTGGCCAGGCTGGTCTCAAACTCCTGACCTCAGGTGATCCACCTGCCTTGACCTCCCAAAGTGATAGGATTACAGGTGTGAGCCACCATGTCTGGCCTCACTTTTAATTTTTTATAAATGGCTTGTATTTTCTGAAATTTTCATCTATATGTTTGAAGGAATCTACTTTATTGATAATTTATTTTTATGATTTTGTGTGATTAAGTTAAGCCTTAATTTGACCAAAATCTAATTATTATTATATAGCTCCCAGGCATGAATGAGTGTATTAATGTCTTTATAATCTCCTCTCTTCCCATCCTCTGCTTCTTTCTCTTTCTGTCTGTCTCATTGTTTCATTTGGAGCAAGGATACTTTCTTCAATGGAATATATATAATAATATAAACTAAAAATAAAATCCTAAATCCCCAACAAATGAATGGATCCCCTGTTGGCCAAGGAGAACCCAGAAAAATCTTAAAAGCAGAGTAGGACAGGAAGTCAGTCATGGCTTATACCACCTCACTTTTGTAATTTAGACACAACTGACCAGCATTAATGTTAAAGTAAAGGTCATAAGACTGACAGAACAGACTCTGCCATAGTAAGATACCAAATCATTAATAGCACCCAAGGTCATGCCAGGTAAGAGTTAAGTCACACACCCCTACACTTAAAGAATAAACTATGTTCTAACTGCTAAGGTTTTTCGATAAGCAATATTAAAAGAGTTAGAGCTTGCCACCAGACACTGAGTGAACTCTCCTGTTCCACACACCATAACTACAGCTTTAGTTGGACAAAAGACTGATTTCAGTAACTTTCTCCTGATAAGACCACCGACCACGGACTGGTTCTAGCCAGTTTACAGAGGCTGTGTACAGTTTACAGAAGCTGTGCCTTTGTGTCTCTGCTTCACATTTTGATGTCTTGGGCCTAATTATACTACATTTAAATGTTGTGTCTCCACCCCAAGGTGAACACGAGTCATATCTTGCATGCGTGTTTGTTCAATATGCATCATCAGGACTACCTTCACGAATATGCATAGTCTCTCCTGTACTCCTATAACCTATTGAATATGTATATATAACCAACCCGTTCAGCATAAAGCTCCTACCCTAAACCCTTCTCGTGCTAAGTGTCTGTCTCTGGTCTTTGCCAGAAGCCGTGCTTCTCAGGATGCATGATGGCGACCTTGCAGGCTGTAACACTTTATAAGAAATAAAGCTCTTCTTTTCTAAATTTACATTGTGTGATTTTTTTTTTTTTTTAGTTAACAATAATAATAGCATTGAAGAAATTTCAAGAAGTCATGTAAGCCCACAGGAATACTTCTTGGATATACAAATCGTATGATCATTTATTTTGACATAATATTTCCAAAGATTTATTTTCCAAAGATTTATATTCTGTAGCCAATCTCTGTAAGTTAGTTGAGTGCCAATTCTCTTTCAGTAGAGAAAAATCTTTGTAAGGTTTAGCCAATTTCTCATGTGAGATGAATTAATTTTCTTGTACTTGCTAGTTGATATATACCTCACTTAATAAAATATTTATGTTATTCCGAAGTTACTTACAAATTCAATCAAAATTAAGATATTCTCACTGACAAAAAATAGAGAATGAGAAATATGTCACTACTAAGAAAAATTCACCCAACTCAGTAAAATAATATTTAAAGGTGTGGTATAATTTTATAAATCATAAACAAATGTTTTGTGATAAAAATTATCCCTTTCAATGCCCTCTCTCACCACTCCTCTTCAACACAGTATTATTAGTCCTGGCCACAGCAATTAGGCAAGAGAAAGGAAAAAAAGCGCATCCAAATAGGAAGAGAGGAAGTCAAACTATCACTGTTTGCAGATGACATGATTCTATATTTAGAAAACCCCACAGTCTTGGCCCAAAAGCTCCTTCAGATGATAAACAACTTCAGCAAAGGTTCAGGATACAAAATCAATGTACAAAAATCACTAGCATTCCTATACACCAACAACAGCCAAGCCAAGAGCCAAATCAGGAACACAATCCCATTCACAATTGCCACAAAGAGAATAAAATACCTAGGAATACAGATAACCAGCCATATGAAAGAGCTCTAAAATGAGCATTAGAAAACACTGCACAAAAAAATCAGAGATGACACTAACAAATGGAAAAAAATTCCATGCTCATGAATAGGAAGAGTCAATATTGTTAAAATGGCTATACTGCCCAAAGCAATTTATAGATTCAATGCTATTCCTATCAAACTACCAACTATGTTTTTTACAGAACTAGAAAAAACTACTCTAAAATTGATATGGAACCCAAAAGAGCCCTAACAGCCCAGGCAATACTAAGAAAAAAGAACAAAGCAAGAGGCATTACACTACCCAGCTTCAAACTATACTATAGGGCTACAGTAACCAAAATAACATGGTACTGACACAAAAACAGGCACATAGACCAATGGAACAGAATACAGAGCCCAGAAATAAGGTTGCACACCTAAAACCATCTGATATTCAACAAAAGCTGACAACAAACAAGCAATGGTGAAAGGATTCCCTATTCAACAAATGGTGCTGGGATAACTGGATTGCTACACGCAGAATGAAGATTGAAACTGGACCCCTTCCTTACACCATATACAAAAACTCACTCAAGGTGGATCAAAGACTTAAATGTGAAACCTAAAACTATAAAAACTCTGGAAGACAACTTAGGGAATACTATTCTGGACTGTGGGGTTTTCTAGATATAGAATCATGTCATCTGCAAAGAGTGATAGTTTGACTTTCTCTCTTCCTATTTGGATGCCCTTTATTTCTTTCTCTTGCCTAGTTGCTCTGGCCAGCACTTCTAATACTAATGCTATTCTTATATTTCCTAGGAACTGGAAAAGATTTCATGACAAAGATGCCAAAAGGAATTATAACAAAAGCAAATATTGACAAATGGGACCTAATTAAACTAAAGAGCTTCTGCACAGTAAAAGAGACTATCAACACACTAAACAGGCAACCTACAGAACAGGAGAAAATATTTGCAAACTATGAATCTGACAAAAGGTATAATACCCTACATCTATAAGGAATTTAAACAAATGTATAAGCAAAAAACAAACAATCCCATTAAAAAGTTGGCAAAGGACATCAACAGACACTTTTCAAAAGAAGACATACATACCACCAACAAACATGATAAAAAAGCTCAATATCACTGATTATTAGAGAAATGTAAATCAAAACTACAATGAGATACCATCTCACACAAGTCAGAATGGCTATTATTAAAGGTCAAAAAATAACAGATGCTGTCCAGGTGGCAGAGAAAAGGGAAAACTTATACATCATTGTTAGGAGTGTAAATTAGTTCAGCCATTGTGAAAAGCAGTGGTGATTCCTCAAAGAACTAAAAACAGAACTATTATTCTATCCAGCAATCCCATTATTGGTTATATGCCCAAAGGAATATAAATTGTTCTATTATAAAGACACATGCATATGTATGTTCATTGCAGCACTATTCACAATAGCAAAGACAAGGAATCAACCTAAATGCCCATCAATGGTAGACTGGATAAAGAAAATGTGGTATATACATACTATGGAATACTATGCAGCCACAAAAAATGTGATACTGTCCTTTGCAGGAACATACATGGAGCTAGAGGTCATTATCCTGAACAAACTAAAGCAGGAACAGAAAACCAAATACCGCATGTTCTCACTTATAAGAGGGAGCTAGATGATGAGAACACATGGACACAAAGGGGAACGACAGACACTGGGGCCTACCTGAGGATGGAGGGTAGGAGTAGGGAGAGGAGTAGGAAAAGTAACTAATGGGTACTATGCTTAATACATGTGTGATAAAATAATCTGTACAACAAACCCCTGTGACATGAATTTACATGTATGATAAACCTGCACATGTACCCCTGAATCTAAAATAAAACTTTAAAGAAAATTTTAAAAAATCCTTTTCTAATTTTTCATGTTTCCATTTATTTTGTGTTTATTTTTCTTTTCCTTTGAAAATAATAATAGTGGTAATAATTTTAAAATTTTCATATAAAACAGCATTCTTTAACTGCCTTCCCATGAAGGGTACTTCACATTGGAAGAAGAAACCCTATAAGATATGAATATTTCTTTGAATATTTTATAAGACATTAGATTATCTTTCCTCATAAATTTTATTCTACATCACAATTAAGTGTACATTTAAAAACCCAAAGCCATATCCCTCAATTTTTGTCTATCAGCTTTCAGTTTGTATTTAGTTCACATTTAAAAAAAAATTTGATCTAGGTTTGTCTGAGGCAATGTTACATATTGTTTGTTTTCCTGTCGTTTTTCAAGTTGAATTTTTTTTCTTAAGATAGAGTATATATCTTCAAGTGTTTCTGAGAGCAGATATACCTGTTCAAATAATTTAGTGGTCCCTAATCTGTGAGTTATGGTATTTTCATTAAAACTGTAAAGATTTTAAGAGGAAGTTCTCCGAAAACAATTGTTTCTATCAAATTTTACAAAAAAAACCTCTAAACATTCTCAAAGAGTAGGCCAAGAAAATGTGAAAACGAGTTTTAATTTTGACCATGCGTGCAAACTACTAAAAACTGCATGAATCAACTCATGTGCCAAATAAGGTTCAAATACTTTCAGATGTTATTTTCTGGTTCTCTTTTTTCAAACCTAATAATTTCCAGAAGATATTTTTTCAAATCTACTTTATCTTTCAATTATGGAAGAAAGTAAAATTCTTATCATCTGGCATAATTTTTTGCTTTAAAGACATAACTGGCTATTAATTTTATATTTGGTAAAAACGGTGTAATGTATTTGTATCTTAGCATATGACAAAATTCAGTTCAAGTGACTGCATTGATGCAACTCTGCTAGATAGAAAATGATACAAACTTGGAAAGCAATTTTCTTACTCCTAGGTTTGTTTTTTCTACTATATTATCAGGTGAATTAGAAAACTATACAGGAAATGAAATTATCATCACCATTCACCTTTTGTTGAGGGCATTCTTTGTTGCAGACCTTGACCTCACAACAATATTTTCATTATATCATTTAATCCTCACAAGGATTCCATAAGGTAGGTTGCTGTCATTATCCCGGTCTTGAGAGGAGATAGCTGAGGCTTCAAAAGATTAGTTCCCAGTGCCCAAGAGACAGAGCTGATAGCTAATTGCCTGGATACACTGGAAGTCAGACTTCTAATTAGAATAGTTTATATACAATACTTTTTACTCCCTCTTGTTTTTCTTTTTAAATCCAAAATGGTTGGATTTATCATTTCAATCATACTTAGTTTTTTGCATTTGCTTACCTTGTTTTGTCTTCTTTTTGATGCCAAAAGGGTCAGGGCTCAGTATTTAACTTTTTTCTGTTTGATTGTTTTGGTCAATTTTTATTTTGAGATAAAAATTGGCTCATGTAGAAAATTCATCCAACACATTTAGAAAAAATTAAGCTATGTTTTACATGTTCTAAATGAGTTTTAATACTCTCTACCAACTCAATAAATTCCTCAAATCACACTTTTTTTCTCTTATTTTTCTCTTCCAATTCAAACTTTTAGAGAGAATAGGTTATACCCATTCTTTCCAATGTTCGTTCATTCTTTCATTCACTGCTACTAAACAACTACTATTGGACTTCAGCTTCTAATACACTGCAACTTTTGTCATCACGAACAATCTTAGAACAGCCAAATCCAGCTAGACCATCACTGTCATTCACTTTTTTTCTTTGTGACCTTTGACATGGTTAAACATTCTAATCTTTGAAACACCCAAATCCTGCTTATCTTCATTTTCCTTTACAACCTTTTCTCCACATTACTACTAGAAAGAGCTTTCTAAAATAGACATATGACCAACTTTTTAAAATCATTCAGCTGCTCCTCATAGTTGTCAAAATAAAGATTTCATTCTTTTGAAGTCTGTGATATCATTCTTTCCTGGATTTCCCTCCACGAAGCTCTCCTGTGTTCATTGTAGTCTTCCTTTTTGCTTACCCTGTGACTATTCATGTTTCACACAGCAGCATCCTAAGCTTTTATTCTTTTTTCCATTCTACACTCTCCTTGTGGAAACTCAAACATATCCATACATTTTATTAAAGTTTATGAGCCAGTAACTACCACATCTGTGTCTTTAATGCAGATCTACCTGCTGAGCTCAAAATGATTAGTGGATTTCTCCATTTCAAACTCATCTTAAACTCAATATTTTCAAACCAGAATTTAGCTCTTCTAAATCTTCTCTTCCTCTGAATTAACTATCTTGATGAATGACTCCCACATAGACCTGGCTGTTCAACTCACATATAGAAAATCCCTAGAGGATTTTCTTATCTTTATATATACCCAACATATTCATAATAGTTTTCATGTTTTAAAAATTCTCCCAATTTAATATATTTTACAGCTGCTTTAAACTGTTCGTCACTACTAATACTATCCTAATTCAGAATTTCCAGAGTTTATAAAATTCTTTAAGACCAGTAGAATATTTTTGAAAACAAAATGGCCCAAAGAAACCCACATATAACAGATAAAAGCACATTTGTTCTGTTCAAGCAGAAGTGAAAGAAAATTCAAAGTTCTATTTATTTTACATTCCTCTTGCCTCCTGATGGGACTTCTGAGATACCCCTGTGGAGTTTTGGGATACAGAAAAAAATTTTTAATTTTTCTAAATAAAAATATATTATTGTATATAATAATTATTATTATTTTTATTATTATTATTTTCCTAAGTGAAAGAAGCCAGACCCCAAAGACTACAAAGTCTGTGTTTCCTTTATATGACATTCTAGGGAAGCAAAACTATAGGAATGAACAACAGATTATTGGTTTCCAGGCATTAGACAAGAAGAGACTAGTTGATTACAAAAGTGCCACACAACAGAATTCTTAGGGTGATGGAACTGTTGTGTATGGTACTATGGCAGTGGATACCACTTTTCTTATTATCAGAGAAAGAATTTACAAATAAGCAAGGGGAAGACTAGAATGAACCTTGTGGTACTAGAGTAGAGTTGGAGGTAACAGCGTGAACTCATGTTAATGTTAATATACAGATAGACACAGAGTAAGTATATAGATATGTATGTATAAGCAGTTAGTATACAAACACTTACTTCCAAGTTCTGTCTGCTGAGAGAACCTAGAAGCAGTGATATCCTGGTATCAATGAGCACATCTAATCTAGATCTTATTTTTAAATACCATTCTCCAAAAAATAGTACCTATGCTCCTTGGAGAAATGGTTGATACCAGAGCTGAGCAGGAAAAATATAAAATGATCCTAGAGCACAGTGTAGAGCCAGAAAGTAAGGAAATGATAAAAGGAAAGAATGAAAAGAAAAAGACAAGGATATAGATAGAGGCATATCGAAAGGACACAAGAGCCTACCTGAAAGAGTTCCCAATAGCCAAAGCTGAAAAAATTTAAACACAATAAATAACAACACTATTGGATTATAACCCAAAGAAAAAATAAGTGTCTATTTCTTATCTTGCCCTTATTAACTTATATACTCAATCATTCACTTTTATCAGTATGAATAAGAATAAGGGAAGAAATAAATTTTCCTTACAGATGAATTCCAAATAGTGGATATGGAAGAAATGAGAGACAGAAAATTACCACTAAAACATCATATTAATACTTAGTAAAAACAATATCCACTAATGAATGCTATACTTTGTGGGTAAAACTTTAAAGAGAAACAGGATATTTGCACAGCCTCAAAGAATTTCTTCAAAAAATAATAATTACTGTGGTGGTTTTAACTACCTAAAAATTAATTGATATCTCTCCCTTTAGGAGGGGGAGCTTACTTGTCCTTCCCTTGGGTTTGGGCTGTCAAACTGATCTACTTCTAATACACAGAGTACAATAACAGAGTATAATAACAGAGATATCACTTTGACCAGGTGATCAAATTTAATATAATCAGTTATGTCATGTTGATATCATGTATGCCTTGACATGATAAGAAGGGCACTTCACATATGTAGTATTTCCACAGTTGAACCATTTAAAAAAGTCTCAAGTCTAATAATAAACAAATATTAACCTAATCCAAATTGAGAGACATTGTATAAAATTCCTGACTAATGCATGTAACCCCAGCACTTTGGGAGGACGAAGCAAGAGGATCACTTGAGTCCAGGAGCTTGAGACCAGCCTGAGCAACATAGTGAGATTCATCTCTACAAAAAAATGAAAATAAAAAATTAGCCGTGTATGGTGGCATGCACCTGTAGCACCAGCTATTCGGAAGGCTGAGGTGAGAGGATCACTTGAGCTCCAGAGGGAGGTCGACATTGCAGTGAGCCATGATTACACCACTGCACTCCAGCCTGGGTGACAGAGCAAGAGCCTGTCTCAAGGAAAAAAGAAGAAAAGAAGAAAAAAAGAAAAGAAAAGAAAAAAAGAAAAAGAAAAATTCCTGACCAGTATATTTTAAAAGTGTCAAGGTAATGAGAAACGAGAAAAATCTGAGAAGCTGTCACAGATTGTAGGGGACTAAGGAGACATGAGGACTAATGAAGTATCAGGGGTTGGATCCTGGACCAGAAGAGAAACATTGGTGGAAAAATTGATGAAATGCACATAAAAGTCTGGGTTAGTCTGTCTTAGTTAATGGGTGGTGCACCAATGTTAATCTCTTCATTTTGATAAATGTATCACGGTTCTGTAGGATGTTAATATTAGGGAAAGCTGAGCAAAGGGTATATGGAAACTCTTTATTCTATCGTTGTAAGTCGTCATAATTTAAAGAATTTAAAAATAAAAAGTTAAAAAATACCCAAAAACATTGGTTTAAATTATTGCTTCCTAGTTTACAGTAATAACCTCTCTATTGGTCTGTGTATCTTCATTTTTCCTTACAATCCATTCTCCACTTTACCACCAGAAAGATATTTCTAAAATGAAAAAATGACCATCTTTTAAACAACGTTCAGTTGCTCCTCATAGCTTTCAAAATAAAGGTCAAATTTATTAGTTTATCCTTTTCTGTAGGATAACTCCCTTTCTTTAAAATATCACTATCGTTCCCAAGCACACACTTTGCTATTGTCTTTAAGAATTGCCAGAAGTTCCCCAAATATGTCAGGATGCTCCATAGCTTCGTATTACCACACATGCTGTTTCTTTTAAGGAGAATGTCCATCTCCTTTTATTCGTTCATTGCTTGTTCTTAGAAACTCTGCACAAACTTAACTGCTTCTTTAAAAGGTTTTCTTATATCAGTCTAAATAGTTTGTTCCCTTATCTGTACTCCCTTTGCAGATAGTCCAAAGTTGTATCATAAAATGTTTGCACTCTACTGTAATTATTCATTTACTTTTTTGTCTCTCTCCCTGAAGTCAAGGACCACGTATTTTTTAAAGTCAGTTTTATTGAGATATAATTTATATACTGTAAAATTCACCCTTTTGTGCATTGTTTTATTAATTTAGACAAAAGTATATTGTGCTCTAACCACCACTATAATCAAGATATAGAAGAGCTCCATTATCCTCCAAAATTTTCTCATGATGCTTTGTAGTCAACCCCTTTCTTCACTCCCTTAACTATTGATTTTTATTTGGTGTCTATAGTATATGCTTTTTAGGATGTCATACATAGCTAGCCTTTGGAGTGGAGCTTCTTTTGCTCAATATAATGCATTTGAGATTCATCCATGTTGATTGGCACATCAATAGATTGCTACTTTTTGTTTTTTGTTTTTTTTTTTTGAGACAAAGTCTCACTCTGTCACCCAGGCTGGATTGCAGTGGCTCGATCTCAGCTCACTGCAACCTCCAACTCCTGGGTTCAAGTGATTCTCCTGCCTCAGCCTCCCAAGTAGCTGGGATTACAGGCGCCCACCACCACGCCCAGCTAATTTTTGTATTTTTAGTAGAGACGGGGTTTCACCATGTTGGACCAGGCTGGCCTCAGGTGATCCACCTCCTCAGCCTCCCAAAGTGCTGGGATTACAGGCGTGAGCCACCACACCCGGCCACTTTGTTACTTTTATTGCTGAATAACATTTCATCATATTAATGTTAATAGTTGTTTATTTACTCATCAGTGGAAGAACATTTGGGTTGTTTTCAATTTTTGGCAATTATAAATATAACTGCTATAAACATTTATGTATTGACTATTGTGTGAATATAAGGTTTTACTTCTCTTGGGTAAATAGCTAACAGAAGGATTTCTGGGTCACATAGGAAGTTTGTTATCTTTATAAGAAATTGCCAAACTCTCAAAGTGCTTATAGCTTTATTTTTTTTTTTTTTGCATTCTGCTCAGCACTATGTTGCTGTGCATCCTCACCACCTCTTCATATTGCCAGTCTTTTACATTTGTATTTCCCTAATAACTAATATTAAACATATTTTCATGTGTTTGTTTGGCATCTGTACATCTTTTTGGTTGTCTATTGAAAGCTTTAGCTGTTAAACATTGACTTGTTTTCTTATGATTGGGTCTTGAGAGTTCTTTACATATTCTGCAAAAATTTACACTCTCAGATATGTACTTTACAAATATTTTCTCAATATTGGATGAGTTTCAGACATGCCAAAGTTCACACGTTGATAATCTGTAGTTAGGAATTTATATATAGCACAGGATTCCATTGAGACTCAATCTGGGATTCAATTGGGAATTTGACAAAGGCTAAGGAAGGAAAAGTGGTTTATTTACTGTACAGTAAACAACAGGATCCATTAATGAAGTTTAGAGCATAGACCCCTGGTAGCTGGATATGAGGTGGGTATACCTCAGCCTCTCAAGTCCACAATAACTGAGGTTCCAGTTTATAAAAAAAGTTTTTAAATCCCAGTCAGAGTACCATATAGCTCAAGATTCATGTTGGAATCTGGAATGATTAGAGGTTTTTTCAGAAATTTGCAGTAGCCTGTGAATGGGCTTCCTAAGAATGGTTTCCAAGATGAGTACTTAGAATTTGCATTTTTGTAGTTATATTTGGCTTTATATCTATATTTCCTTGAAAGTGACTTGCACATGGACCACTGGATATTATTAGAGTTTCCTGTACAATAGTGAAAAATTTTTAAATGACATAAATCATGGAATCAACCTAAACGCCCATCAGTAACAGACTAGATAAAGAAAATATGGTACATATACACCATGGGATACCATGCAGCCATGAAAAAGAATGAGATTATGTCTTTTGCATGAACACAGATGGAGCTGGAGACTATTATTCTTAGCAAATGAATGCAGGAACAGAAAACCAAATACCACATGTTCTCACTTATAAGTGAGAGCTAGATGACGAGAGCATGTGAACACAAAGAAGGAAACAACAGACACTAGAATCGACTTGAGCATAGAGGGTGGAATGAGGGAGAGGAGCAGAAAAAATAACTATTGGGTACTGGACTTAATACCTGGGTGATGAAATAATCTGTGCAACAAACCCTGTGACATGCGTTTACCTATATAACAAACCTTCACACATACCCCGAACCTAAAATAAAAGTTAAACATAAATAAAATGACATAAATTCTTAATAATAGAGTTCTATCATATTATATTTATATGTTGAAATGTGCAGCCGGCTATTCAAAAACATTTTTATCTAAGACTACTAAATTATACTGGAAAAAATCATGATAAAATAAAGATGCAAAAATAGAATACAAACTGTATATGCACTATGAAAGCAATTTTATTTTTTAAAATGCGTGTATAAATACATACATATAAAGAAGACTGGAAAGTAAGTTAATAATGTTTATCTTGAGTGATAGTTTATCTTGAATTGCAGGTGATTTTTCTTCTCTATTATACTTATCTGTTTTTCCCAAATCTCCTTCAATCCATGTGTATCTGTTTTGTTGACATAAAAAAATAAAATAGCAATAAAACAAAAATAGCTTCAGTGGTTCAAATTGTCTAAATTCTTCCCCATCTGGGTCTGTGTTGGGCTACCCTGTGTACCAACCAAGTCTGGTGCTGGAAATGAATCCAAAGGTCCAAAACCAATGAATACCATTCTACAAGAGAAAGTCTAGAATGGGAAGTGTCACGGGATTGGGTATCACTCAAGCGTCAAAAAAAAAACTTTGAGGAGAATTGATAACTAAAAATCACTGATGAATGTAGATGTCCAAATCTAAAAGGTTAAAAATGTAGCTTTAAATAGCAGACAGGGATAAGAGTCAGAACCAGTCAAATAAAGGATGAGAATAGGAGCAAGTTAGGAGGAAATTGGTGGGACCCTTGAGGATTGCCATGAATTCTCCAAAGTGGGCCTGGGGCTAATTTTTATTTTGGTTACTAGTCCTTGGGAGGTGAGGTTTGACTTAAACCCAGTGTTAAGTATCAAGGAGAGAGAGAAAACAGTTTTCAAAATACCCAGTTTCACTTTACCAAGTTTAATGTACTTTGGCAAACACCTATATTACCAGTCCTTTCTGTCACATCCTCATTTATCAAGATTTTTGAAGGTCTAGCTCAAGTTTGACCTCCCCTCTGAAACCTTCCCCAGTCCCCCAGTTGGATGTGATTTCTCACTACCTCCTTTAAAGTCCTGCGGATTTTATTTATGCTATTTGTAAGGAACACAAGTTTGTCAGCACTATGAAATATCAAACCGTCTTTTCAGGTTTGATAACTTACAGAAGCTTGGCTTGACATATATTAGGCTGCTTTATGTGACACATTGTGTAACTTTTAGTGAACTAGCTAAGTGACAAAGCGCTACAGATATACACACAATTATTAAGAGGAAAATGATAAGGAAGTGTGTCACCAATTGCAAATATACTCCTCTTGGAAGCTATACTTCATCTTAGTAGCTAATACTTTCACATACCAACTAGGTCCTCTCCTGCTTGCTTTTGAGTCATAAATTATTTTGTAAAAACTGGCATGCTTCCCACTGTCAAAGTTTACACATTAAATTATAATCTAGAACATTTCCTTTACTTAGACTGGTAAAATTTAATTTAGGCCACTAGGCCACTGACATTTCCCAGTTAATCATGTAACAATAATGCTGTTGAGGTGAGGGCAGAGGAGAGACAGGATAGGCTGTCACACTTTCATTTTAAAGAAATAGATATATCAGCAAATTATGGCAATTGCTGCTTTTTCTCACCCTGTATTTTTTTTTTTTTTTTTGAGACGGAGTCTCACTGTGTCGTCCAGGCTGGAGCGCAGTGGCGTGATCTCGGCTCACTGCAAGCTCTGCCTCCCCGGTTCACGCCATTCTCCTGCCTCAGCCTCCTGATATGTTTTTAAATTAATGGAATGACTCTAATATTTTTGATTCCTAGAATTTTTTCTTCTGGCATTTGGTGGCCTTTTGATGAAGTGGTGCCACGGTTTGATTACGTTGTGTTGTCTCGATTAACTTGCAAATTGACTTTCCATTCTTTTCTATTTCTAATCAACTGTGTACTTTGAAATGAAATTTTGACTCCTCCCATAACAAAGGCTTTAATTCTTTTAATAATTTTTTTACTTGACTTTCATTAGGAAGTCCTACAGACACCTTAAACTCAAATAAATAGAATCATTGGATTTTCCTCATTCTGCTTCTTCTCCTATAACATCTCTTTTGTAGAGACTAGGAATTACTCCAATTCTCTCTTTCTCACGTCCCACACACAATCAATCACCAAATCTTCTCATGCCAAACCAAAAATTAATTACAAATAAAATACAAACGGCAGAGATTTTAGATAGTCAATACATAATACCTCCTTTTCCTTTTCTAGTGCAGAATCAATTGAGAAATAGAATGCCAGAAAGAGGAGACTATAGCATTATCTTAATTGCTACCCAACTCTTAAAGTAGTGTGAGGGCTAAATGGACCAATTAGAATGTCTTGGTAGCCCGTGTCACCTCTTGTACCTCCCATCTATGTCTGAGGAAAGTTCTCCTGTGAGCGAACTTGGTATTCAATAGTTAACCTAAGCTCTTTGCTTCCCTGCCTGTCTGGTGGAGAAAGGAGAAAAGATTAAAATCCTCAGTGATCATGGATGATTGACATAATATATGAACTAATGACTTTCAATCATCAATAGAACGTTACATATTCTTCATGGGGAAGAGTGAATAAGAGATCAGGCAAGAGACCAGGATCGCAGCTAGGGAAGTCTGTCAGCTAGAAACAGGAAAAATTGAAAATACCTTAACTTGTCTGTAATGAGAGATTGGAGGAAAACAGGGAGTGATGGTAATAAAGAGTGGAGATTATTTCAAGAAGAAAATCATTAAACAGAGTGCTAATTCCACCCTTACACATGACACTCTGCCTAGAATTCTCTGAGATCATAGTTGTTTTTAATTTCAATTGTTTTTGAGAAACACATGGTGTTTGGCTGCATGGATAAGTTCTTTAGTGGTGTTTTCTGAGATTTTGGTGCACCCATCACTTCAGCAGTGTACACTGCATTCAGTGTCTAGTCTTTTATCCCTCACCCCTTCCCACCCTTTCCCCCAAGTTCCCAAAGTCCATTGTATCATTCTTATGCCTTTTTGTCCGCATACTTTAGCTCCCACTTATAAGTGAGAAGGTATGATGTTTGGTTTTCCATTCCTGAGTTACTTCACTAAGAATAATGATCTCCAACTCCATCCAGGTTGCTGAAAATGACATTATTTTGTTCCTTTTTATGTTGAGTAGTATCCCATGGTGTGTTTGTGTGCGTGTGTGTATCACATTTTATTTATCTACTCATTGATTGGTGGGCATTTGGGCTTGTTCCATATTTTTTGCGATTGCAAATTGTGCTGCTATAAACATGCATGTGCAAGTGCCTTTTTCATATAATGACTTCTTTTCCTCTGGTGGATACCCAATAGTGGGGTTGATGGATCAAATGGTAGATCTACTTTTAGTTCATTAAGGAATCTCCATACTGTTTTCTGTAGTGGTTGTACTAGTCTACATTACCACTAACATTGTAAAAGTGTTTCATTTTCACTGTGTTCCCTGTGTCTACACCTATTTTTTTTCATTTTTAGTTATAGCCATTCTTTCAGGAGTAAGGTGGTATCTTATGGTTTTGATTTGCATTTCCCTGATAATTAGTCATGTTAAGCATTTTTAAATGTCTGTTGGCCATTTGTATAACTTCTTTTGAGAATTGTCTATCCATGTCCTTAGCTCACCTTCTGATGGGATTATGAATTAAAAACAAAAATCATATGATCATCTCAATAGATGCAGAAAAAGCACTTGAGAAAATCCAACATCTCTTATGATTAAAACCCTCAGCAAAATAGGCATAGAAGGGACATACCTTAAGGTAATAAAAGCCATCTGTGACAAACCTACAGCCAACATTATACTGAAAGGGAAAAAGTTGAAAGCATTCCCCCTGAGAATGGGAACAACAAAAGGATGCCCACTTTTACCACTTCTATTCAACACAGTACTGGAAGTCCTAGCCAGAGAAATCAGACAAGAGAAAGAAATCAAGGGCATCCAAATCAGTAAAGAGGAAGTCAAACTGTCACTGTCCATCGTTGGTATGATCATATACCTAGAAAACCCTAAAGACTCATCCAAAAAGCTCCTAGATTAGATAAATAAATTCAGCAAAGTTTCAGGATACAAAATCAAAGTTAACATATCAGTAGCACTGCTATATACCAACAACGACCAAGTTGAAAATTAAATCAAGAACTCAACCCCTTTTATAATAGCTGCAAAAAAAATATTTAGGAACAAACCTAACCAAGGAGGTGAAAGACCTCTACAACAAAAACTACAAAACACTGCTGAAAGAAATCATAGATGACCCAAACAAATGGAAACACATGCCATGCTCATGGATGAGTGGAATCAATATTGTGAAAATGACAATATTGCCAAAAGCAGTCTATAAATTCAATACAATTCTCATCAAAATACCACCTTCATTGCAGAACTAGAAAAAACAATCTTAATATTCACAGGGAACCAAAAAAGAGCCTGCATAGCCAAAGCAAGACTAAGCAAAAAGAACAAATCTGGAGGTGTCACGTTACCTGACTTTAAATTATATTACGAGGCCATAGTCACCAAAACAGCATGGTACTGATATCAAAATAGGCACATAGACCAAAGGAACAAAATAAAGAATCCAGATATAACACCAAATACTTACAGCTATCTGATCGTCGACAAAACAAACAAAAACATAAAATGAGGAAAGGACACCCTATTCTACAAATGGTGCTGTGATATTGGCAAGCCACAGGTAGAAGAATGAAACTAGATCCTCATCTCTCACCCTACACAAAAATGAACCCAAGATGGATCAAAGCTTTGAGTCTAAGACCTGAAACCATAAAAATTCTAAAAGATACCATCGGAAAAACACTTCTAGACATGGGCTTAGGCAAAGACTTTATTACCAAGAACCCAAAATCAAATGAAACAAAAACAAAGATAAATAGATGGGAGTTAAGTGAACTAAAAATCTTCTGCAAAGCAAAAGGAAAATCAGTAAACAGACAACCCACAGAGTGGGAGAAAATATTTGCATACTATGCATCTGACAAAGGACTAATATCCAGAATCTACAATGAACTCAGACTAACCAGTGGCATCATACTCTTCCTAACAAGCTCATATTTCTCCTTGAAGGCTCAGATAAGTGACATCTCTGTGAGAGCTCTGATTTGTGTAGGGAGAAGGCAGTTAGTTCTCTATCACCTACCTTTGCAATTGCAATTGATACATGTCTTTTAGAATTTACAATATTTCAATGTAATCTTTTATATTTCTTTTATTCATACCACAATAGGATTTTTTTCTAAAACAGAGATAATACACTGCACTATAAATGACCAGTACACTTTTTGCTTAAGAATGTTTATCACCACATAAATAGCAAAAATAAACAAAATAAATATCTACAATTGGAAATGACCTAATATCCATTGTATGAACAAATGTAATGGATTATGTTACAACCACAAATGGAATACAAAACAGCTTCTAAAAGTTATATTTTAAAAAATATATTGGCCAGCGTGTTGGCTCACGCCTGTAATCCCAGCAGTTTGGGAGGCTGGGGCGGGTGGATCACCTGAGGTCAGGAGTTCGAGACCAGCCTGATCAACATGGTGAAACCCTGTTTCTACTAAAAATACAAAAAATTAGCTGAGCATGGTGGCGCATGCCTGTAATCCCAGGTACTCGGGAGGCTGCGGCAGAAGAATCGCCTGAACCTGGGAGGCAGAGGTTGTAGTGAGTCGAGATCGTGCCATTGTACTACAGCCTGGGCAACAAGAGCCAAACTCCATCTCGAAAAAAAAAAAAAAATTTAATAATGTGAGAAAAAAGAACGCAAACTCTGATAACATAGGTGGGAGAAAAGAAATTGTTTATAAAATTACATATCAATATTTAAAATTTACATACATACATGTAAAATATACACATATATGTATGTATTTATTCCCTCATCTTTTTAGAGATTTGACAAAAATTGTACATATTTAAGATGTACAATGTAGTATTTTGATACAATGTATGGTGATTATCACAATCAAGATAATTAACATATCCATCAATTCATACAGTTACTATTGTGTATTTGTGTGTTTGTGTGTGTGTGTGTGTATGGTGAGAGCACTTAAAACCTACTCTCTTAGCAAATACCAAGTATATAATTCATTATTAAATACATTATTACATTATTATTATTAACTATAATCACCATGCTGTACAACTAATCTCATTTTATCTTATAATTAACAGTGCGTACCTTGACCTTGTTTGATTTGGGTCAAAGGGTACAAACACATTTTTTATAGAAAACATACCATAATTTTAGCCATGTTTATTATGAGTATTATTTCCTTCTTCACACTTTTCAATTTTTTCCAAATAATAAACATTAGAAAAACAATGAATATTATCGCAAAGCTAAATGACTATCTAAATCAGCATTCATTGGTTTCCTTTCTTGATTGCATACTGCTCCTCACACTGCAGGCATTCAGTGAATTTTGGTGAATTGTGAGGAATACTGGGGCCGTTGGCTTGTTGAGAACTTCTTAAAACTTTCAGCCATTCTATTCCTATAAATTCTCTGGTGAGTTGATTTGAAAATTTTTGACATACTTAATTTTTTTTTTCATATTTCCAAGATAGGGCACCAGAATATCATTGTTGGCTTTACCTATCTGTTCTTCCCCTTTAAATAAAAAACACTAAACTGCTTCCTGTCATCTGAGAGATGAAACTTCAGGATAACTAGTAGTGTAGACAGACAGACAGACTATCTGCCAATTTCTTTTTTTTTTTTTTTTTTTTTTTTTTTTGAGACAGAGTCTCACTCTGTCGTCCAGGCTGGAGTGCAGTGGCGCGATTTTGGCTCACTGCTACCTCCGCCTCCCGGGTTCAAGCAGTTCTCCTGCCTCAGCCTCCCGAGTAGCTGGAATTATAGGCGCGTGCCACCATACCCGGCTAATTTTTGTATTTTTAGTAGAGATGGGGTTTCACCATGTTGATCAGGCTGGTCTCAAACTCCTGCCTCATGATCCGCCTGCCTCGGACTTCCAAAGTGCTGGGATTACAGGCGTGAGCCACTGCGCCTGGTGACTATCTGCCAATTCTTAAGTAAAACATATCTTTTTGACTTTTACATATCCAAATGGGATATTTTGAGTTGGCCTTCCAGTGTCTGTTCATTTTCTTTTTCTATGTTTATTTCTCAGCTATACCACCCATCCCATACAGCTTTCATTTTGGGTATCCATATCAGAGTATAGATGCTCCTTGACTTATGTTGCGGTTATGTCCTGATAAACTCATTGCAAGTTGAAAATATATAAGATGAAAATGCATCGAATACACCTAACCTAGCAAACATCATAATTTAGCCTACCCTACCTTAAATGTGTTCAGAACACTTATATTGGCCTACATTTGGGCAAAATCATATAACATCAAGCCTATTTTCTAATAAAGTGTTGAATATCTCCTGTAATTTATTGAATAGTTCACTGAAAGTGAAAAACAGAATGGTTGTATAAGTATTGGAAGTCTAGTTTCTCCTGAATGTGTATTGCTTTTGAACCACCATAAAGTAAAAAAAAAAAAAATCATTTAATTCAGGGACTGTCTGTAGTTCATTAAGAAGGTTAATGTATCTAAATACAGTCTATCCAGGCTTATCTTCATGGGACTTGGTTATCTTTGTTTTTCATATGAAGAGGTATAATTGGCCAGTTTCCTGTAAAGCTGAAAAAGCCCAGTATCTCTTGAAATAAAATACTTTGCTTTTGTACAGTGTAAGTTGATTAAATTGTTGCCTTTTTTCCCTATGTATCTTTCTTATAAACTTGCTTTGTTAAAAATGTTAATTTTTTCACATTTTCCTTGTATTTTTCATTTTGAGTTTCTTTTACAAGGCTTCTCTTTATTGACAGTATATTTACTTAACTCTTTTTGTTGATCAGCACAAGTCATTTTGGGAAGCTGCCCATTATAGAGGGCAGCTAAGCACACTCTTCAAATTAATACAAAAATCTGTGGCCAAGTGAATATTTGATGTAAATGTGAAATTCTTCATGCTTGCCAATGAAAATCTGTCTTTTTAATCAAACTACTTTTCTTCTTGGTTAATAGAATCATAATAGTAAACTCCTTTCATTTTTTTTCTCAGTCTCCTCGATTTGAATGTTGTTACCTTATTATTCTTTATCTCATGATTTTCTTTTGTTTCTTAAATGTCAGAATATACCTGTAATTCCAGTTCCCTGGTGTGGCTGGCAGCCTCTAACAGAACTCTCAATGATTTCTGTTTCCTGGAGTTCCCCTCCTTTTGAGTGTGGGTTGAATTTAGTGACTCACTTCTAATGAATAGAATGTGGCAGAAGTAAGTGATGAGATGTCACTTACAAGATTAGGATAAAAAGACATTGTGGCTTCTGTCCTGGCACCCTCTTGCTCTCTCACTTGCTCACTCTAAGAAAAGCCAACTAGCATGGAGATTTTTTTCATAGCTTCCCTAAGAAGATAATCATTTAACAAGGGACAGGCGAGGCTTCTAGCCAACAGCCAGTAAAGAGCTGAGGTCATCAGTTCAATACCCCATGAGAAACTGAATCCTATCAACAACCATGTGAGGGAGCTAGGAAATATTTCCCCTCTCAGCTGAGCCTTCAAATGCGACCATAGTGTCAGTTGACACCATCGCTACAACCTCATGTAAGCGTACTTGCATTCCTGATCCACAGAGTGAGATAATAAATGGAATGAGATAATAAATGTGTGAGTTTTTTGAGACAATTCTGAAATAAAATATTATGAATCAATAGATAACTAAAACACTTTGCCACATATATTTTCTGATATTCATGTATAAGGGAAGTTTTACAAGTATATTACTATGATCATTTCACCTTACAAATGGGAAAGATTTGAAAATTACAAGATGTTGGAATGTAAGTTCAGAAGATACCATTTTGAGTAAAAGATATAGATATGATTGTGCATTGTCCAGCAAGTAATTGCTGAAAATTTCTAATTCCTAATGAAAACATTGAACCAACAAGATGTAGACTTCCTGCACCTAATGAGCTAAATATGGAAATGCATGAGTCAATGGGAAATCAGCTCTCACTTCTTATGAAGTAACCCTGAGAAATGTGAAGCAAAGAAAATATGATGGCTGTTTCTATCAACACGAGCTTAAAGAGGGTGGAAAGAACTCTAATACTGAAACCTAGTCATAGGTCAAGGCTGCAGAATTCGCCCCATTTCCATTTTGCTGATTCATATCAGTCAGATATGACTATGCCACTTGATTTTGTCATAGAGCAAACCCAACAGTGGTTAAGCCACGTTCCAAGAATAATTTAACACTATCTCCTTCTACCCCCACAAACACATGCACTGACCACGTGGTCATCCCCCTGCAGTAATATGTACTGGAGCAATGACTCAGCTCACAGTTCTACCCTATAGCTATGTTTGTGCCACTACCACCTCCTGCCTCAAAGAAACTCTTGCCAGGGTGATTTACCAAGGATAAAGATGTCTAATTTAAGTTGGACCAACCCAATTCTCTTTCTTGGAAATTTGAAACTAGAAGAGAGCCACATGGAGAATGAAGGTAATTGAAGCTAGGATAGCTAATATTGATACTTCAGAGAACATCCAAGAGCTTCTTTCTGATGCCAAAGACCCAGAACAGCCTTTGTCCCTAGCCTTTGTCAAAGTAGAATGATGGCTCCAAGCCTTTCACTTCTTAGTAATGTGTTGTCTTAGTAATCTAATCTTAGTAAGTGTTATCTTAGTAATCTAATCAATGTAACTTTCTTACATTAGAGTAATTTTTGGTTGTTTAACAGGTAGGCCAGACCTACTATTATTTATCCCCTACGTCCGTATCAAATAGGCTTCTGCTTGAAGATCTTGGCTGACACAAGACTCTAATTTAGTTTTCCCACACAGATAAGGTAATAAAATAAAGACAAATGAATTGATTTTATTGTTAAATGAGTCATGAATTTTGATGAGCTTGGATCTTGACAACAAGTATAGAATTTAAGATGTGGAAAAATATTCTTGGAAGGCAAGGTCATCAGATCCGGAGTCCATTCTAAATCCCAGTGGAACTCTGTGACTGCTTAATGCATAAGACACAGTTGGGTTCAGATCTTTATAATGTTCCACACTGACTTCCTGACTGTCTCAAGTAGCTATTTCACGGTCTCTTAAGAGGTAACCTGTATCACCAATTTTTTATTAAACCTGTGGATTTTGCATCAGAAAAGTTATTCTGATTAATTTGGGGCCATTTAGAAGAGCAAAACAGTATTTTAGTAAAATGTTACCTTCAACAAGTATGTTATTGTAATTTAGTCATTGGGAAGATTAATTCGTCTTCTTTAGAAAATATTGCAGCCTAACACAATGATTAAAAGCATGAGATTTAGTAATTTCAAACCTTAACTCTCCCAGAGTTTGGCTGCTCCTTCATTTTAGAGGGATTAGTTCAGGTCATCCTGGCAGGTTCCCATATCAGTGTTGTGCTCTTAGGTTCATAGTTTTGTTTTATGGATAAATATTTACTTATGTCTGTTTGGCTAACTTTGCTTTGTGGCTGAGCAGTTGTTTCTTACTAGTTGTGAAACTAGATTGGGTTAAATTAAAATGACATGGCCATTTCATTTCTCCTTCCACTTTTGCCATTATGTGGGAGGGGAAACAACTCCAGGCATTTATTCAACAAATATTTATTCAGCCTTTACTATGTACCAGAAACTGGGGATAAAGTTGTTAACAAAAACATTATGGTTCCTGACCTCACCGAGCTGATGGTCTAAGAAATCCAAAATGGTGACCCACATTACTCCTGAAACTCATTCAAATTGCAAAAGATCCTATCTCCAAGTAAAGAATTTTTAGGAGTATTCCTTACTTTCTTCCCAAACAGCATCTTACTCTTAATTAGGGAAGCTATATGCCAAAGCTGAGCCCCTTCCTTTTATTTTGAGGAAGTATTATTGTAATTGGTAAATATGTTTCAGATTCTTTAGTAAGGGATTTTGGTGATTTACTAATTTACTTATGAATGAAGATTCCTTTATTATTTTCTGTTGCTCTTATTATTTTGTTTAGTGTGCTATGTAAACATGCAGTCATATCATAATCTTTCCTAGAAGTCTAATTTGATTCAAGTTTGCACATTTAAAAAGCCAATGACAAACTCTACCCCCTAATCTTTGTCATCTATATAGGTCTTATTTCAACTGTTGTTCAGGAATGATCCAAACAAATTCAGAAGCAGATTTAAATGTTATAGGTAAGCTTATTTTTTTAAATCAAACTTAAAAAAATTGAAATGTCCTCATGGGTTTTACACCCAAATACATAATAAACATATGTTTTTAAAATATTAGATAATGACAAAAATAAACAATTTTAAAATACTATTGTTAATCCTATCATACAAAAATGACCAGTATTAACACTCTGATGTATATTTCTGAAATTTTTAATAGACATACACACACATAAAGACATATACATTCTTGCTCTCTCCTTTTAATTTAAATAATTAAAAGTCTTTAATACTGTAAAACTACTTTACAACTGCTTTAATCATAGAACTTCTAAACATATACATATACATAAACATATTTAGATTTCAAAAAGCATAGATTTACAGCATCATTTTAATGGCGCATCATACTCCATTTAATGTTATAATGTATTTGCTCATTTCCGCTTACATTTAGTTTACCTTCAGTTTTTGGTTCTTAGGAGCTCTCAGGTACTCCCTAGCTCCTTGCAAGACTTGATCTTGGTTACAAATTTTTCGTCTATTTATGCCTTTAAAATACTTAATAGAAACTCATTTTGCTCATGAGTATTTGATTAAGCATGCATACAATTAGAAATAATTACACATCAGTATTATGTCATGAAGTAACATTGGTTTTGTACTTTTCTTTTTCTTGTCCTTTTGTAGCAAACACTGGTAATCTGGATTTTTCAGTTTTCTCTGGTACTTCCCACTGGTTTCAAACTGCTCTCCTTCCAAATTTAGTAATGTTTATTCCAGAATGAATGTATTAAATCTGAACTGTTTAATAAGAGTAGCCAACCCCCAAAGTTAGAATAAAGGGAAAGGCAAAACATGCCACCCATTAAGAAGCCAAGGCATTACCAAGGTAATTCTATCATCTATCTCTTTCTCACACAATGTGAGATTTGGCATTCTTGTCTACTCCTTTCCCGGGCTGCAGGCAGGAGAAGAAAAGAAGATAGATATTCTCCTCACAACCCCCCATACTCATGCAAACACACACAAAGGCAAAAGTATTGATAATTTATCACAGAACCACATCTACTCCTTGTTCTTACTGCCTTGTTACTTTCATTATGGTCTTCTCAATTTAGGAAAACAGATCTCATAAACTCTCTTTGGTAAAGCAGATAATAATAATTTATTTAATTTTTACATAGTGCCAAAATTGATCTAAGTCTTATGCATGTGCTAACTGATTTAACAATTATATTGACTCCATGAGGAAGTTACTATAATTATTTGCAGTTTATAGAGGAGGAAATTGAGGCACAGAGAAAATTAGCAACTAAGGTCATAGGGCTAGTGAATGGCAGAACAGTATTTAAATCTTGAAAATCTGATTTAGAGTTTGCCCTCCCAACCAATTTGTTATGCCTTTGTCTAATTTTATCGAGTCAATTAAATGAAATGAATGCTTGGCAGCCCTTGTGTCTAAATTTGTGACAGAATTTATCTACTTACCTTGTATTAGGATTGTTAGACTCAGACAACATAAGGGAAATCTATTGTCATTAGCCCACATAGACACTATTCCAAGTCCATAACCTCAAATTAAATTGTCAATGCTGCCATGCATGGCAGGAGCCAAGAGAATCTTTCTAGACCTTGATCTTTATCTTTTATAATAAAAGTCTTAGCTGGTGGTCCTGCTGCTGCCAATTCCATTTCACACTGTGGTAGATCCTCCACAGCTGCTATTTTGATCTCACTGATGTAAATGTTGTCATTACCTCCACCATATCTTGGAACAGATTCCATGCTCCAGGCACCAGGTGGGCACAATGAATCTAGAATCTGACTTCCACACTTCCTGAGGCAAAGTTTTCTTTTTCTTTGGAGCTGGGGTTCTATGTTGGGGCCAATTCTCTGCCCTCGAGTGCTCATGACACTCTTCCCTTGGAGAGAATTTCACCTTCAGCCACGAAAAACTTCATCTTCATTTCTCTTAGTTTTAGTCCCTGAGAGTTAACTTCATTTCCTCTCTCAAATCCCACCATTAGCCTTTTCTATTTTACTTTGATATTTGCATTTACTAATCATCTATCATTATAATAACACTACATAACAAACTCAAATCTTAGTGGCTCATAATCACATATACAGTTGGCCCTCTGTATCTGTGGGTTCTGCATCCAAAGATTAAACCACAAATCAAAAATATAGTGTTCACAGGATGCAGAACCTATGAATTTTGAAGGTTGACAGAGGGCTGACTTTTATGTGTTGGTTCTACAGGGACAACTGTGGGACTTGAGCATCTGTGGCTTTTGGTATCCATAGAGGGTCCTGGAACAAATCCCTCATGGATATCAAGGGAGAAATATTCAAATATATATATATGTCACACTCATGGGTTTGTGGGTGAGGCGAACCTTGTCTCAGTTTATTTGGGCTTGGCTGGATGCTATAGTTTGATTTCAAGTATACACTACATGTCTTATATTTGGACCGTGGTCTTCTTGGGGGTATTCTGTTGTTATGACAATAGCAGGATTGCAAGTATAGAAGCTGGTGGTAGTTAATTTTATCTGTCAACTAAACTAGACTAAGGGATGCCCATATAACTGGTAAAATATTACTTTTTGGTATACCTGTGAGAGTGTTTCTGGAAGAGATTAGTATTTGGACCAATAGAATGGGTAAAGAAGATCCACCCTAGCCAATGTGGGTGAGCAGCAGCCAATCAACTGAAAACCCTAATAGAAAAAAAAAAAAAGGAGGAGGAAGGGCAAGTGTGCTCACTGTTTTTTTGAGCTGGGGTATTTGCCTTTTCTAGTATTTGGACATCTGAGAGCTCCTGGTTCTCAGGCAATCAAACTGTAGAACATACACAGGTACCTCTCTCTTCCCCCTCCCATTTCTCAGGTCTTGGCCTCAGACTGGGGGTTACACCACCAGCTTTCCTGGTTCTCCAGCTTGCAGACAGCAGACGGCAAGACTTCTTGGCCTTTAGAATTATGTGAGGCAATTCCCATGAGAAATATACTTTTTATATCTATATAAATCCTATTGATTCTACTTCTCTAGATAACCCTGACCAACGCAAAGCCAAACCACACAGGCTCATTTAAAATTTCTGCTCACATTATGTCCACTGGCCAAAGCAAGTTGCTTGCTTGACTCAGCTGTATATCAATAAAGCTAGAAAATATATTCTACTTGCTCTAATGGAGGTACTCCCATACCATGTGGCAAAGGTTATGGATGGTTCTACCACAGGGAAGAAATAAAGAATTGGGAAAAATAATTCTATGTATTACTAAAATAAATGGAATTAATGTGTTCTAAAGTCCCAAAATTACCAGGTAAGTATAAAAGATGGTATTTTTGTACTAGGTGAGTCCAAGATAGTTGTAGTAACATCTAGAATAGTCAAGAAAAGAATAGTAAAATTATGTGTATGGCATTAAAGGTTGAAACAAAGCTCCTCTAAAAATCTATGAATCTTTAAATCTTAAAACCTTTAACTTTAAACCCTAAACTCTATGTATAAATTTGAGGTAAGACAGAGCATACAGTCAAGACAGAGGTGATCTGGAATCTGGGTGACTGCAAAGATAGATTCATTAAGTTAAATCTCATACGATATCTGTATTATGCAACTCCACTTTAGGCCTCCAGGTTTGAGCATTATTACCTGAAATCTTCTTGTTGGCAGAACATTTTTTTTTTCACCTTTTAAAGGAGAGAATCCTCTTTCAAAAGAAAACTAAACATAATTTTTTATGATGTAAGAAGATCCGTGTGCTTAGACAAGCTTGAGCATGAATATTTTGCCCTAGTAATTCAAGCAATTCCTTTTGTGCCATTCAGAAAAAGGTCACACATAGCTAACAAGATAAGCCTGCGCATATCAAACAGTGAATATTTGTGCTCTGCTACATTTATGTTGGCACTTCTCTCGGCCTTAAGAGTCAAAGGGCAAAGGAATAAAATAGCTGCCTGTGTGTTCTGCTATTCATTACAGATTTTCCATCTGTATTTAATATTCATTGGAGCCAGGTCAGCAAAGAGGTCAAAGATCAGCAAGAACACATCATATTAGCTACGACTCAGGGTGCTGATTAAGAATCAAGAGTAACAAAATTTTGGCTACATTCAATCAGAAGTCATAATCAGAATGTATTTTTAAAAATACATTTTATTGTGTATATTTGAGGTTTACAATTATTATGGGATACATATTGGTAGTAAAATGGCTACTACTATAGCGAAGCAGATCAACATATCTATAATCTCACATAGTGAAGTTTTTTTAATAAAGAAATAAAGCAGCTAAAACCTAATTATTTAACAAAAATCCTTAATACAAGTTTAGTATCTTCAGTTCTTATGTTGTACATTAGATTTCTAATCATGTTCACCATAAAAATCTTCTATGTGTTTTTATTTAAAGAATGACTAAAAACAGAACCCTCTTTAAGACTATCATTGCAGTTGAAAAGTAAAGAATGGTTTAAACATAATGAACTATTAGACCATAAGCTGCTTTGTATCTTTAAAGAAATATACTGAGGTAACTTTGGACTGGCTAAAACAGCACAAGATGATCTAGTACAGCAGTTTGCTACCTGTTACTAATGATATTTTAATGACCACTATAGCTCATTTAATCTGTCTGGTTCCTTCCAGCCAAGAATGCACCTCAGTTATCTTTCATACGTATGTGTTCAATCAAATCAAACACATTTCTGACTCTCAAACATATTAGTACATATATTATTGTGTATTAGTAGCTCATGCCAAAATTTTACAAACTCCCTTTCCAACTGTGGCTTTTTATCGAGGAACTGAATTCCACCTTTGAGAGTAACTTGTTTGCTTTCTCCTATCTTGCTTTTAGAGAGTAGAACATCATGGAATTATAAATTTAAGATTTCTAATCTTATCTTGACTTTAGCTCCATGGAAAACCTTTCACTTGTATTTTGTAAATTTTCCTTCTGATTAGTCTCTCCAATCCAATCCAAACCTATTTACTTTCCTTAACCTCAGCCTGACCTCACCCTAAACTCAGCAGATAACAATGCCTCTTCTTATCAGAGAAAGCAGTAACTCCTTCATCGTCCTCACTCTCTTACTGTAGGCTTACGTGTACACCACTTTCACTCTTAGAGCAAGAAAGAACTTTCTGTTCACTGCATCATGCACTGGACGATCAACCATTTAAAATGTCCTCTTTCATTTATTTAATTGAAGAAATCTCTGACTATACCTGGAATTTAAGTTTTCTTGCTCCTAAAACTACTCTGTCTCCTGAATTGTCCAAGTCAATGATGTTGCCTAGGCTTCTAGCTGAAAATCTTCTGGGCCTTCCTGACTTCTATGTTGCATGACTTGCCCCCGTTATTCCATCCTCCTCCCATCCTAGAGGGATGATATAAACTCACCCATCTAGTAACTAAACACTATGAGTTCTATCTAAGAAATGGTTTTCAATTTTGTCCATTTCTTCATTTCCACTGTCACTGCTTTCTTCTAGATTGCTTATAGTTGCTCAATTGAGCTTCAGCAACTATTTCCTAACTGGATATTCTTCATTAGTGTCTCTTTTTAGTCCAGGTCACTTTCTTCATGGCAGTGTAAGTTCATTTTGAAGAAAGGAAGAAGAGGAGAGAGGGAAAGGGGAGAGAGAGCACACATGCACGACAGAGAGAGAGAGAAAGAGAAAGAGAAAGAGAAAGAGAGAAAATTAATCACATTCTTCTGCTTAAAAAGTTTTTCTGGTATCTTGTCTTCAGGAAAACATGTAATTTTTTTGGCTTACTCCAGATTGTCTTTCACATTCTCTAGTGAATTTCTCATTATGCTGTCATGATCCTATTCCTTGATATGTACCCTACTGCTCTTCTCAAGAAAAGTCTTGGTGTTTTTTGGCCAAGCCAGGTGTGTTGACAAATTTATGGCCTCTGCTATGTTCCCTCTGCCACTACGACCTGCACTTTTTCATCAGACATATTCTGCTCAACTTTTCCATTTCCAGCTGTATTAGTCCATTCTCACACTGCTGTAAAGACATAATTACAACACTGGGTAATTTATAAAGAAAAGAAGTTTAATTGGCTCACAGTTCCACGTGGTTGGGGAGACCTCAGGAAACTTATAATCATGGTGGAAATAAAAGGGGAAGCAAAGACCTTTCTCACATGGTGGTAGGAGAGAGAGAGAGCGTGTGTGAGGGTGCAGGAAAAACTGCCATTTATAAAATCATCAGATCTCATGAGAATTCACTCACTATCATGAAAACAGCACGGGGGAAACCACCCCCATAATCCAGTCACTTCCCACCAGGTCTCTCCCTCAACACCCAGGCATTACAATTCACGATGAGATTTGGGTGGGAACACAAAGCCTAACCACATCACCAGCTCAAATGCTGCATTCTTAGGGAAGCCTTTTCTAACATCTTCAGGCAGCATTTTGAAACCCTTTATGCTCTCATACCACGTATTCATATCTCTATTTTACTTAATTTTGAATTGCAATGTATCTGTTTCAATAATCAGCTGTTTTTTATAGCATCCTGTTTATACCTGTGCCTTAAAGTTTGTTAATACTGTAATCACTTCTTTATATTCTAAATCTCCACTAGAGTGTGAGCAGTTTTAGGCAGGGTCTGTATCTGTCTTCTTTATTTCTTTATCCCCAGAAACTATCATAAATTTAGTACATAGCAAATGTTCATATGTATTTGTGGAATAAAAGAATCCATTCATTTCTCTCCATTCTTTTCTACAGAGAGAAGGGGTCTTTTCTCCCTATTTTTGCTTTTTCTTAGTATCTATGCCTGTCACATAAGATGCATTCATACATGTTTATTGAATGAATTATCTGTGGCTGCATTGCAAATTTATTTCTTTGAACTGGTTTTTCAGAAAGAATAATACTTAATTTAAGAGCTAAAGACATGAAAAAAATTTTCATTGATGTAACTTGGTCAACTACATTCTTTATACATCTCAATTTTTCTGAGTCTCCTCTTAAGGACAATCTTTGAATTTTAGAGCCATTGAGATGACTAAATCAGTAATTGTGAGATCATTACTTTACTCCCCATTACATTTTTAAACCTATTTTAAGTACAATAAATTCTACAGGCACTTAATTTTGGAAGTAATGCATGGCAAGAGGTTAAATAATCAGTGAAAAGAGAGGACAATGCTCTGACTCACAAATACCATTCCTTTTTATCAATTATTCTGGCTCCTGGAGGTCTTCTCTTTATAGTTTGACCTATGAGTTGTGTAAGTTTGGCAGAATAACAATGTGCTGATGCACATACAACATCAAGTGAAATCATCTCATGGGAAGAACATGATATTTTGTTGTATAGCTTATGGAATTTTGTAAGAAGTACATTTTGTTTCTTTGTCATAGCTTCAAAACATTTTTTTCTTCTTATATAGGTTGATTCCTCCAAACTAAAATAAAAAGATTTTCTTTATATCTTGTATATTGTCAGGCTAATTATTTCTAACAACCAACATATATTTATTGAATATTTACCATGTACCCATTACTGCAGAAGACTTAAAAGCAATGTCATATAAATCCAAGTTTCTGACCTCCTCCAGGGGCTGATAGTTTTCTTAGAGACACAATATCTTGCCATAAAATCACCCTTCCTTCCTTCCTTCTTTCCTTTCTTCCTTCCTTCTTTTCTTCCTTCCCTCCTTCCTCCCTTACTTTCTCCCTTCCTTCCTTCTTTCCCTCCTCCTTCTCTTTCTCCTCTTCCTTTTTCCTAATTAGAGGATTCTATTTGTGTTTTAGTATATATTTATATTTAGGACATTGGAGTATAATATTTACTTTAACTCCTTCAATCTTTATCTAACACTCAGCTATTTTTGAGTTCTGCAGAAGGAAATGAATCATCATCTGGAAAAACTGATTTCCTTCCCACGGTCCTAGAGACAAATCGAAATGACCAGTCCCAATAAAAAATTGACTATTTTTCCATCTAACATTAAATTATGGTCTAAAATTGGGAGATAAGAGTATGACACATAAATATAAATAAACAAAAGTGTATATTCATTTTGCATGGAACTACTCAAATTTGCAACTCAATCTTTAGAAATAAAAATGGTTTAAGAAAAGTTTAGGTTTTCTCAGAAAGAGTGTCAGTAATTTTGGCCTTAGGGTGAATTGACCTAATCAAAATTACTTCCTCTAATTTACCACTATTAACAGCACTGCCTTCACAAACTGACATACTACACCAGTTGAGAGGTATGTGACAGCTTTGTTACTGGTGATACTGCTACTAATGCTAGTAATAATTATACTTTAAAATTAGAGATAATTCATGTTTTAGGCCAATATCCCTTTTCATCTTCTGCATCCTGAAATAGTTTCTTGAGAGAAGAGGAAAGAGTTGTAGCTCTCATGCTTGGAATGCCCATGGGAGTGTGAGGCAGACTCAAATTTCAGCTGGTACATGTGTCACAGTTGAACATGTTGCAAGTCGTAAGTGAACATCCTGAAACTTTGAAAAGAAAGTATGAGAGTAATTTTGGAGAATGGGATAGTGACTAAATGAGGCAAACATGGGAGAAGAGAGCAAATAGAGAGTATAAGGGTGGATGCCTTGATAAAGAGACCAAAAGCAAAGAAAGGAATACCAAAAGAAGAGTTAGAAAACCATTGAAACAAATAGACTACTTAATAATTTTAATTGAAGCAGGACTTGCCATTTTTTGGAAGATGACTTTTGACTACTGCTTCCTTTTCTTTCATGATATTAGTTGTTTTTTACTTGGATAAGTTTTGATCACTTTTTTTCAAAAAATTTTCTAGATTTCAACATGCACATACCAGGTTGTAGGTAGTCAGTAGAATGGATAGAGAAATCTCTGGCATTTCCAGACAAGAGATTTGCAGAGCAGCTCAGTAAGGTTCTGGAGCAAGGCTATGCCTTCTGAGGCATTGCAAGCAGAGCCTGTTGGACACTTAAAAAGCAACTCTTGGCGCACTGCTGGGCTCTAGCAGAGAGTGCGCTGGCCCATGGGATATCAGGTCATGATGCAACTTGTTATGATCTGACCCACAGAGTCATGAGGTTGCGCAGGTGCGGTAGTGATCCATTAGACTATGGAAATAGTTCTTTTGAGGTCAGGCCTGGCCAAACAAGCGGCCAAGACCTGCATGTCACCTATGTCACAGCAATGAGACCTTCGTCTTTTTCTGAATTTCATAACAATGTTTTCAGAATTTTAGTGTTATGATGGCCTTTTCATTTTGATACATAGCTAAACATAAGGTCAAGAATATTTCCTGCAAGACCTATTATAATAACATTTAAAAAACAGTAATGGTTGGCAGATTATCAAATGCCTTTTTGACCTGGGTGAAGATGACTCAAATTTTTCCTTTTGACCCAATATTAAGGAAATGATATTAATAGATTTCTTAAAATTAAATCTTTCTATTATCCCTGAAATTAATTCCCCTTTATTATACAATATTATTCCTTTAATAGGCAGGTGAGTTCTATTTGCTAATATGTTATTTAAAAGTTTTGGAGTGATATGGTGTTTGAACTGTAGTTTTCTTTTTTCATACTCTTTGTTATGCAGATTTTAGAATTTTTCTTTCTTTCTCTATCATCTGAAATATTTAAAATAGTATCAAACCTCTGTTCCTTAAAGTTTTGATAGAATTTGCTAGGGATGAGTTGAAATATTTGCATTTTGACTATTAATAAACTTTCTGAATGCATTAAGTAGATCCTTTCACTGTAACGAATACTTTTATTAGAAACACAATTAGTTTCTTTAGGAATTTAAACAAAATTGAACAAAATCTTTACTTTCAGAAAACATTATTATAAAAGTTTATAATAATGGCATAATAACTGAGATTAAATAAAATACATCCTACTAAATTGGAAAAAAATCTTAAAAATCAGAACTCCAACACTATGTATGATTCCTAGAACAAAACTGTGAGGCAGATAAGTCTAGAGCTTCAGAAACATATGTAGTTTTCAGCACGGTGGTTACATGGACTTGTCCAAGACTATAAAGAAATCACCATCACTGAAATTTTCTAAATATTAGGAGGCAATAATACATACTTGCTGTATGCTGTAAGTATTTTGTTCTTTTCCCTGACAGAGATACTATGAATAAAGGAGTTCTGGTCAGGGTCAGATAAACCTATCTTCAGGTTTCTCTGTTAGCCTGTGTTTACCACTAAACTTTGAGAATTTGCTTTGAAATATGGAAAGTATTATAACTAAAGTGGAAAGAGTAATTTAGTGTAGAAATAAAAAGTTTAATACTTATGCCTCTACTTTGTAAATGTGTGTTCTCGAGCACTCCATTCACGAGTTTCTGCATAAAAATGGGAAAGTACTGGCTAAACGTACATTACAGTTTTTGTGAGGATTGTGTGAAGTAGATATGAAAAAATTTTATTATGATGCTCTTTTCACCTTCATCTATTTATTAATTTAAACAATAATATTTAGAATAATAAAACAATAATTTTTAGAGTAAGTTAATTAAAACAATAGATATAACAATAAAACATTTACTAAAATTTGTGACATTTTACTCAGCTATGATTAGAAGAGAAAAATGAAAAGCAAAAATGGAAAAAATAAAGGCTCAGAAAAGAAACAAGTTATGCTATATTTACCTCTCCCAAAAGAGACTGAAGCTGAAGTGGGCTCACCTGTTGTGTCTGGACACAAATTATATTTATATTGTATATTTTGTGTGCCTGAACCTTGCACATACCAGTATGTATACACAGACACATCTATTATATAACCTCAACTTCATTGGTTATAAGATTTTTTTGTAAACATTTTTTGCTTTAAACAAAGAATTCACAAATCTATTCACCAGTGCCTTTCCCCCTCATTTCTTTTCTTCCTTTAAAATTTCGTTTTTATTTTTGTGATAAATTGTACATTAGACATATGAATTATTAAAGAATAATAATGTGAATATTAAGAAATAGGACCCTGTTAATAGTATGGAAACTCTGATGTGCTCCTCTCAATCATACTTTCCGCTCTCACTTGCCAGAGGTAACCAAGAGAAGAATTCTGTTACTTCCTTGTTTGTTATTGTTGTTTTTTTAAACAGATTTATTGCATGTTAATGTAATCTCAGAACAACACATTACTGAAATTGGGCTACTTTAAACTTTATATTAAAATTGTAATGCATACATTTCTATTTTATCTTTTATCTTGCTCAATTCTATAGATTTTAAAGTCATTCATGTGACAGCAACAAAAAAGCAATCCAGGTAAAAAATGGGCAAAGAACTTAATTAGCTATTTCTTTAGAGAAGTTATACAAATGACCAACAAGCATATGAAAAGATGTTCAACATCTCTAATCATTAGGGAAATGCAAATCAAAGACAAAATGAGATATCACCTCATGCCTATCAGGATGGCTACTATCAAAAAACAAACAAACAAATCCCGGAAAATAACAAGTGTTGTCAATCAAATTAAAGAAGTTAGATGATTTGTGCACTGTTGGTGGGAATGTAAAAAATTAGGCAGCTGCTATAGGGAACAGTATGGCAGTTCCTCAAAAAATTAAAAATATAATTATCATATGATTCAGCAATTCCACTTCTGGATATATGCCCAAAATAATTCAAACCAAGTTCTTGAAGAGATATTTGGACACACATGTTCATAGCAGCGTTATTCACAATAGCCAAAAGATGGAAGCAGCCCAAGTGTCCATCAATGGATGAACGGATTTGAAAAATGTGGCATATACATACAATGGAATATTATTCAGCCTTTTTTAAAGAAAGGAAATTATGAAACATGCTTCATGTATGAACCTTGAGTATATTATGCTGAGTGAAATAAGCCAGTCACCAAAACACAAATACTATACAATTTTACTCATATGAGGTACCTAAAGTAGTCAAATTCATACAGATAGAAAGTAGAAAGGTGATTGCCAGGCACTGGGGGGAAGGGGAAATGGAGAATTGTTTAATGGGTTATAGAGTTTCAGTTTTGCAAGATGAGAAGAATTCTAGAGATTGGTTACATAACACTATGAATGTATTTAATATTACTGAACTGGGATGATTAAAAATGGTTAAGATGAGAAACTTTATGTGATATATATTTTACCATAATTTTAAAAAGTCATACATATATATGTGTATGCAATACCATCATTATATTTCTGCAAATGTAATTATTTATTCTGGGGACTATTTTGCTTGTTTTGAGATCTCGTTGTCTTTTTACTCTCTTTATAAGTTTTTTGTTGAAATAAATTATTAATTTCAATATAGCCAAATTTACCAAACTTTTCTTTTATGATTGCCACTTAAAAATCTTTCCTCAATAAATATTTCCCCGCCTTGAAGTCATAAAACATTTTCCTTATTATTAAGTATATTAAAGTTTTAAAAAAAATTCTATTTAAGTCTTTGATCTATCTAAAATTCATTTTTTGTGAAGCAGGATATTTATTTCTTTATTTTTCCTATATAAATAACTAAATGTCTCTGCAGCATTTATTGAACAGCCCCTCCTTTCCCACTGATTCGCATTTCCAATTCTGTCACGTATCCCATTTCTATGAGTGTATTTTTGGAACTTTCATTTCTCTTCCATTGATCAAATTTCTATCTCTGTATCCCAGCCATCTTCTTAATTCCTTTGATTTTTTAAATCTCAAAAGTTACATTTTCTAATGTGTGTTGCTGGTGTATATAAACTTAGTTGGATTTGTATATTGATTTAGTGTAAGACAGCATGACTAAACTCTTTAATTAATTTGGTAATTTTTTCATAGATTATTTGAGGTCTTATATTTACAGAATGAGATCACTTGGTAATAATGATAACTTTTCCTCCCTTCATAAAGCTTATACTATTTTCATATTTTTTCATCTCTTATAGTGCAGGGGCTTCAATTTAATATTGAATAGATGATGGCATCTTGGTCTTGTTTCTATTTTCTTCTTTCCTTTAAAGAAAATATTTTAGATTCAGGGGTACATGTATAAGTTTCTTATACGTGTAAACTCATGACTCAGGGGTTTGGTATACAGATTATTTCATCACCTGGGTACTAAGCGTAGTACCTCACAGTTTTTTTTTTTTCCCCGAACCTCTCCCTCCTCCCACTCTTCTCCCTCAAGTAGGCCCCAGGATCTGTTGTTCCCCTCTTTCTGTCCATGTGTCTTCATCATTTAGCTGCCACTTACAAATAAGAACGTGCAGTATTTTGTTTCTGTTCCTGTGTTAGTTTGTTAAGGATAATGGCCTTCAGTTACATCCATGTTCCTGCAAAGGACGTAATCTCATTCTTTTTAATGGCTGCATAGTATTCTGTGGTATATATGTACTCCATTTTCTTTATCCAGTCTATTGTTGATGGGCATTTAGGTTGATTCCTTGTCTTTGCTATTGTGACTAGTGCTACGATGCACATACACGTGCATGTGTCTTTATAACTGAACAATTTATATTCCTTTGGGCATGTACCCAATAATGGGATTGCTGGGTCAAATGGTAATTCTGTTTTAAGTTCTTTGAGGAATCACTACACTGTTTTCCACAATGGCTGAACTAATTTACACTCCCACCAGCAGCGTATAAGCATTCCCTTTTCTCTGCAACCTCACCAACATCTGCTATTTTTATGACTTTTTAACAAAAGCCATTCTGACTGGTGTGAAATGTTATCTCATTGTGGTTTTAATTTGTATTTCCTAATGATTAGTGAGATTGAGCCCTCTTTCATACGCTTGTTGGCCACACGTATGTCTTCTTTTGAAAAGTGTGTGTTCATGTCCTTTGTTTTTTAACTGGGTTCTTTGTTTTTTGTTTGTACAGTTGTTTAAGTTCTTTGTAGATTCTGGATATTAGGCATTTAGCATATGTTAATTTGCAAATATTTTCTCTCATTCTGTAGACTGCCTGTTTACTCTGTTGATAGTTTCTTTTGCTGTGCAGAAGCTCTTTAGTTTAATTAGGTCGCATTTGTCAATTTTTGCTTTTATTGCAATTGGTTTTGACATTTTCATCATGAAATCTTTGCTAGTTCCTGTGTCTAAAATGGTATTTCCTAGGTTGTCTTCCGTGGGTTTTATAGCTTTCAGTTTTATATTTAGGTCTTTAATCCATCTTGAGTTGATTTTTATATAAGGTGTAAAAAGGGGTCTAGCTTCAATCTTCTGTATATAGCTAGCCATTCATCCCAGCATCATTAATTGAATAAGCATTCCTTTCCCCATGGCTTTTTGTAAGCTTTGTCAAAGCTCAGATGGATTCAGGTGTGTGGCTTTATTTCTGAGCTCTGTATTCTATTCCGTTGGTCTATTGATCTGTTTTTGTACCAGCAACATGCTGTTTTGGTTTCTGTAGCCTTGTAGTACAGTTTGAAGTTGGGCAGTACGATTCCTTCAGCTTTGATCTTTTTGCTTAGGATTGCCTTGGGTATTCAGGCTCTTTTTTGGTTCCACATGAATTTACAGTTTTTTTCTAGTTCTGTGAAGAATGCTATTGGTAGTTTGATAGGAATAGCATTGCGTCTGTAAATTACTTTGGACAGTATGACCATTTTAATGATAGTGACTTTTCCTATTCATGAACATGAAATATTCATCTATTTGTCTGTGTCATTTCTGATTTCTTTGAGCAGTGTTCTATAATTCTCATTGTAGAGATCTTTCACTTCCCTAGTTAGCTGTATTCCCAGATATTTTATTCTTTTCATGGCAATAGTCAGTGTGATTGTGTTCCTGATTTGGCTCTCAGCTTGGGTGCTGTTGGTGTACATGAATGCTACTGATTTTTGCACATTGATTTTGTATCCTGAGATTTTGCTGAAGTTGTTTATCAGCTCAAGGAGCTTTTGGGCAGAAACCATGGGGTTTTATAGTTACAGAATTATGTCTTCTGCAAACAGTGATAGTTTGACTTCTTCTCTTCAAATTTAGATGTCTTTTATTTCTTTCTCTTGTCTGATTGCTCTGGCCAGGACTTCCTCTTGTTCCTAATTTTTAAGAAAATGCATTAACATTTTATTATTATATATGATGTTTGCTGTAGCTATTTTTACATATACCTTCTATTATATTAAAACAGTTTTCTCTATTCATTGTTTGCTAAGAATTATTCTCGGCCAGGCATGGTGGCTCATGCCTGTAATCCCAGCACTTTGGGAGGCCGAGGCAGGTGGATCACCTGAGGTCAGGAGCTCGAGACCAACATGGTCAACACGGTGAAACCCCGTCTCTACTAAAAATATAAAAATTAGCCGGGCATGGTGGCGGGCACCTGTAATCTCATCTACTCGGGAGACAGACTCAGGAGAATTGCTGGAACCCAGGAGGCGGAGGTTGCAGTGAGCCGAGATCGAGCCATAGCACTCCAGCCCGAGCTGACAACAGTGAGACTGTCAAAAAAAAAAGAATTATTCTCATCTGTGTATGTTGATTGATATTTAATGTTAATTTTTTAGTTGACAATTACATAATTTTCTCATTTAATCTGTTAAAGGAGATTATTTTATGGTGAATTATATTAATTATCTAATGTTAAGAAAACTTGGTCATTATATATTATCTTTTATATACATTTCTGGATTTGATTTTTTACATTTTTCTTAGGACACTTCACTAATTACATTGGTCTTTTTTTGTAGTGTCTTTGGTTATTCTGTCAAAGTTCCGGTAGCCATCTAAAATGAGTTGTGATGTTTTCTCTATCTATTCTCTGGAAAAATTTCTTTAAAATTCAGATCAATCATTCTGTATTTTCTGCGAAGGAAAATTTCAAATAATGAATTCATTTTCTTTTATATTTACAGTTGATTTTTCTAACCATTTGTGCAATGGCTTTGAAGTTTATTTTGACTGAAATTAGCATAGGCTTCTTTTGGTTAATATTTGCAGTTTTCATGTTTCATTCTTTCAAATGTTTTCCAAACTAAAGTTCCCTTTCATATATATTATTGTTTATTTGTACTGTTTTTACTTTTTCTGAATTAATATTACCAGAAATTATTTATTTTATTAGTCTTCTCAGTCTCTTTATGTAATCTTTTGTCGAAATAAATACTCAGCCATATTTCTGGTTTTTATTTTGTTTTGTTTTAGGTGCAAGAAAGGCTTATACCCATACCCTAGAAGTTAAGTATGGCCATGTGATTCACATTGGCCAATGAAACATAAGAATATGTGACTGTATCACCCCCAGATGTGCAAATCTCCATGTTCTCTTTCCTTGCTATGGCAAATGCTGAACTCCTTGTTGAGATTGAAAGAGATAGTAGGGCCTCTGGCAGCCTGAAACCCTCAGTGACTTCAATGAGTAGAACCTCCCTAATAACTCCTGGTGCTATGAAATATAAGTTAGAAATAAAGCTTTTGTTACTTTTAGGCACTGTTATCTTGGTGGTATTTGTGTCATAGCATAACTAGCCTATCCTGACTCTGGAATAACATATTAACATTTATTATGACTTATGGTGGGATATGGATTTTATTATATTATTTAATATACTTTTCCATATGTTTGGACAATTTCAATATTTAAAATTAAATTAAAAATAGTATTTTAAAATGTTTTCATAGCTACATATATTTGGTCTATTTTAAAGCATAGGAAATTTTAGGCTTGGGTTAAACAACTTGTTTCTGAGCCAAATGGCAAAGTGAATCCCTAAGTATTTAATTCAAAATTCTTATGATTATAGCCCATTAAACAGACCTTTATTTTCTTTACTTGAATTCAAATTCTTTGTGTCCCTTAACACAGAAGTTTACTAATTAGTGGCCTTTCCTGGTTTCTGGTCTCAGAATCCTGGCCCTGGATCAAATACTGAGAGAGACACTATTAACCTGCTATAATCCCTGCAATAAAACATGTGGGAAAGGATCAGGGATCACTGCTCTGAACTACATTTCATATTATATTCATCTGATAGTTGATTTTCAAGGCCATCAGAAAGCTTAGAAGTCAGCACGCTACAGACCTTCGGCAGTATTATCTGTGCATTTCACAGCCTCATTCACTCTAGACTGGTTTTTATGTTATTCTCTAAGCTTTGAGAATTTCCATGGTAAGTAGGTGCTAGAAATGCTAGAAATGTGGACTGACAGAAATTCCTCACAGAAAGCTTTCCCAAAGTCCAATCAGAAATAAGCTTATCAGAAACAATCAGAAATTCTTGTGTCTTTTCTGAACTAGTAGGTAGAGTTTTAGAGGTCATTTCTTTTTTTGACCCATTTGCTAAGAATCATCTTTTGTAGAGCACAGGCTTTATGTAGTACTTTATGTTTTTTGTGAAATAGGAAAACACCAGTGTCTAGATCCCAGATCGCCAACTCCCAAGCCACAGACTGGTACCAGTCCATGGCCTGGTAGGAACTGGGCCACACAGCAGGAGGTGAGTGACAGGTAAGATAGCAAAGCTTAAGCTGTATTTACAGCCCTTCTCAATTGCTCACATTATTTCCCAAGCTCCGCCTTCTGTCAGATCAGTGGCAGCATTAGATTCCCATAGGAGCACAAAACCTATTGTGAACTGTGCATGCGAGGGGTCTAGGTTGCATGCCCTTTATGCACGTCTAATACCTGATGATCTGTCACCGTCTTTCATCACCTCCAGATGGGACCATTTAGTTGGAGGAAAACAAGCTTAGGGCACCCACTGATTCTATATGATGGGGAGTTGTGTAATTATTAGATGGTGTAATTATTAGATGGTAAGTAGTATTATACATTACAATGTAATACTAATAGAAATAGATAAAGTGCAAAATTAATGTAATGCACTTGAATCATCCCAAATAATTCTCTCCCCAACACCCCCACCAGTCTGTGAAAAAATTGTCTTCCATGAGACTGGTCCCTGGTGCCAAAAAGGTTAAGGACTGCTGCTCTAGATCATTTCTTTTACGTACCAAGTGTTCCAAGAATACTATAACAAAAAACATCAAAAGTTCAGTAGAAAATGGGCAAAGGGCATAAGCAAACTGGTCAGAGTAAAAAAAAATATATATGAAGGGTCCTTAGTTGCATGAAAAGATACTCATCTTGAAAGTCCAAAAGTTTGACCTGCCCTTTGTGTGCCAGTCTTCAGAGGAAAAGACATTTCCTTACAATGCTTGTCAGACTGTCAAACGATATTAAATACAACCTCTGTGGAAGGCAATCTGACAATAACTCTCAAAATAAAACATGAATTCCATTTTTAGGAATTCATCCTACAGGTAGATCTACACATGTACATGATGTTTGTAATTATAAGTTTTTATACTTCAGAATCTTGTGTCCATCAATAAACAATTGGTTTTTACATAAGGCAATATTATGCAGTTTTTAAAAAGAACAAAGAGATCTCCATGTACTTATGTGGAAATAATCAAGATATAGTATTAACTGAAAAAAGAGCAAGTCTCATAAGATTGCATACAAAAGTAGGTCACGTTTTGTGTATGAAAAGAGGAACAAATTTTCAATGACATATGCTTATTGTTGCCTAGGAAACAGTGGATGGATAAATAATAAACTAATAAAATACATTATTTACAGGGAGAAGGAGAACTGTTGGATGGGGGCAAAAGTAAAGCTTATTATATAGTTTTTATTTTTGAACCATGTGAATGCATTATCCATTCAAAAGTAAAATAAGCCAGTTTGATGGCTCATGCTCGTAACTCCCAACATGTTGAGAGTTAGAGGCCAGGAGTTTGAGTTCAGCCTGGGAAACATAGAGAAACCTTGTCTCTACTAAAAACAAACAAAAAATTAGCTGGGCATGGTGGTATGTGACTGTAGTCCTAGCTATTTGGGAGACAGGTAGGAAGATGCTTTAAGCCCAGGAGGTTGAGGCTGCAGCAAGTCATAATCACACCACTGCACTCCAGCCTGAGCAACAGAGCAAGACCCTGTCTCAAAAAATAAAAAATAAAATAAAAATAAAACATAAAACCCATAGCAACAAACTCCCAGCCCCTGGCTGTCAAAATGTCTGTAGGGTCAGACATTTCTCTGGGCCACTCAGAAACTTATTACTTTAGCTCTAAATTTTCTCTTGATTTCTGACACCTCAGTTTCCTCCCTTTTTTTCTTGTGAATTCAGCTATGTATTTAAAACTTAAAAAAATTATCTAATATTATTATGAATTTTCAGTAGGAGAGGTGTTCCGGTTGGTTTTGTTTTTGAAATTGCTGGAGCCCCAGTATATTCATAGAATTAAGCAGCCAAAATGATTTCTCAAAGTTAAAGAGTGGAAAGATTTTAACTCAGCAAACTCACTGTAATGGTTAATACTGAGTGTCAACTTGACTGGATTGAGGGATGCCAAGTATTGATCCTGGGTGTGTCTGTGATGGTATTGCCAAAGGAGATTAACATTCGAGTCAGTGGGCTGGGAAAGGCAGACCTGCCCTTAATCTGGGTGGCCACAATCTAATCAGCTGCCAGCACAGCCAGAATAAAAGCAGGTGGAAGAACAAGAAAAGACTAGGTTGACTTAGCCTCCCAGCCTACATCTTTTTCCTGTGCTGGATGCTTTCTGCCTTCAAACATCGGACTCCAAGTTCTTCAGCTTTGGAACTCTGGCTGGCTACCTGGCTCTTCAGCTTGCAGATGGCCTATTGTGGGACTTTGTGATCATGTGAGTTAATACTCCTTAATAAACTCACATATATAAATATATATATTCTATTAGTTCTGTCTCTCTAGAGAAACCTGACTAATACACTCACATAAGAGACAAGCTTTATAAGGCTCACTTATGTGGTGTGTACTTAAATGGCCCTTTGTGATCATCCCTTCTTGAAGGAGATATACCTAATGTAAATGACGAGTTAATGGGTGCAGCACACCAACATGGCACATGTATACATACGTAACAAACCCGCACATTGTGCACATGTACCCCAGAACTTAAAGTATAATAAAAAAATTTTTTTAAAGTCAATATTGGCTTGTATATATCATGAAATTTCTAAGCTATGATGTTATGACTCTTTGCTCTTGTTAACAGAGAAGTAAGAGTCCTGATCTGTGTATTTAGTTTCATATATGAGTATATTTAACACTACATCAGAGATCACCTGTTCTCTTTAGCATATTTTAGATTTAAAAATGTTTTAGTCTCTGAGTATTACTAAATAGTTTTGTCTTAAATTATATAAAGTGATTGAGCCAGACTAATAAACTCTTTCATTCTTCTGAATGGGCAGAAACATTAGGCCTTATAAAAAATAAGCCTTTGTTTTTTTAGATATTAATAAATACATTGTGAGATAAACATCCATGAGGAGGATGGAGAGTACAGTTGTAAAAGGCTTTGAGCCCTGTATTAGTCTGTTCTCACATTGCTATAAATAAATACCTGGGACTGGGTAATTTATAAAGAAAAGAGGTTTAATTGGCTCATGGTTCGACAGGCTGTACAGGAAGCATGGTGAGGAGGCCTCAGGAAACTTACAATCATGGTCAAAAGCAAAGGGGAAGCACGCATGTCTTACATGGACAGAGCAGGAGGAAGAGAGAGCATGGGGAAGTGCTACACACTTTTAAACAATCAGATTGCGTGAGAACTCGCTCACTATCACAAGAACAGCAAGGGGGAAATCTGCTCCCATGATCCAATCACCTCCCAGCAGGTCCTCCTCCAACATTGGAGATTACAATCCGACATGAGATTGGGGGAGGACACAGATGCAAACCATATCAAGCCCCATCAGAAATTGAGATAGTTGTGGAAACAACACTGCTAATTCAGCTGCTACACTTACCCCTATACAATCCCTTATAATTCATTCCATGGAATAAACAACTTAAAATGAAGAATCTAAAACAATTAAGTTGTAGCAGTTGAATGGTGTCTCCCAGATATATATATATATATATGGCCTAAACTCCAATTCCTGTGAATGTGAACTTATTTAGTCACAGGGTTTTGTATCATGGGATTACATCAAGCTAAAACATGGTCATATTAGGTTAGTATGGGCCTTAATTTAATCTGACTGTTGTTCCAATAAGAAGAAAAGAGACACAGTGACAGACATGGGGGAGAAGGCCATGTGAAGACAGAGGCAGAGATTGTAATAATGCAACTGCAAGCCAAGGAATGCTAAGGATTACCAGTAATCACCAGAGGCTTGGAAGAGGCAAGAAAAGACTCTCACCTAGAGCCTTCAGAGAGAGCATGGTCTTGCCAATACCTGAATTATGGACTCTCAATTTCCAGAACTGGGGGTGGGAATAAATTTCTGTTGTAAGCCATTTGGTGTGTGCTAATTTGTTATGGCAGCCCTAGGAAACTAAGGCACAAGTCAAGGTCTAAAAGTGTAATTGACACAATCTGCATTTTCAATCATAGCCATCTCTTGAAGGATGTCTAAAACTTGAGAAGATCATTCATGAATTCAAAATTGGGAGAAGGTAGCATGGAAAATTGGTGCCACTATTTCTGTCTTGGATCACTTCAACCATAAAAAGACTTTTTTTCCCCTCTCTTTAAGGGTTTTGGTATTAGGAGTGCTTACTTTTGTCAACCTCTTTGGTCAGTAGGATGGAAAATATATACTAAACTTTTAATAAAAATAATATAAAATTAACAATGTCAAACAATAAAGATGTTTATGCATCAAAATCATCCTTTCCTCCTTTCACCTTTAAGATATTCTCCAGAGATAAGCACTATAAACCATATCTTTTATATCATTCTAGAAATGTTTTATGTATATACAAGCATTTTCATAGACATGTATGTTTAAACATAACTGTGATTGTAGTTTACATGGGAATTTAGGCTTTGTTTTCTCTGTTTAATATATTTTGGTTGTCTTTTTATATTGACTCTTACAGAATCTACCTTATTCTTTTAAAAATTGCTAATATTTTATTGCAAGGTTCCTGCAATTAATATGCCAAATCTCTATTATAGGCATTTAGATGGATTTCAACTTATCAATTATACTGCAATACATGTGCTTATATGTAATCTTTAAGAATTTGTATATACAGCCATGTAGTGTGAGAAATTTAAAAAAAATAAAAACAAAGAATTTGTATGTATATATTTGAGGAAAAATTTTATGAAAACAGAAATGTCAGGGCATGTACACTTAAAAATTTGAAAGCTATTATCGAATAACTCTGAAGGGGAAATATTAATACATTTCCATGTCCCCTAATTCCTACAGCTAATTCAGTATACACAGAACTATTAAACAGCAAAATCACAACATTGATTTGGATAACTTTTACTCTCAAAGATATATTCAATTTTTAATTAAATTAAATAACCATGGAGCAAAGTGTTTTAGGGATGAAGAAGAGAGAGTCTGTTTTAAAGATCTTGGCCTTAATGGTTTCTTTTCATCAACAGTCAGAAAGACCTGTGGACAACATTCTAAGGAAACATTAAGAAGTTGTTTTATTACAGGTATTTTCTAGGAAGCTACTCAAAAGAAAGTGAACCTTGTATTTGCAGGAATCTGTGTTGTAGCCAATAGAAAGGCATGGCTAAATCAAGAGAACCACCACTGGTGACATTAGTTCTTACACTTTTAATTTTTTGGACCCTTATGTTTAACTTAGAGACATAGAAACAGCTGTAATTTGTATATCACCTCTAGTAATAGTCCAGAATGCATTGTCACAGAGGCAACTAATGTGAGAAGTAAAAGAGGAATAATGAATGGCTAATAAGTTTCACCAATTATCTTTATCAGGAGGGATTGACAGTTAACATCAGAATCACATTATTACGTGATTCTAAGTTACCAGTATTTTGAAATTTATTTATGCCTAAGTTTTAGCTGTCTATTAGATGACATATCTTATTTATACGTAATTGCATGACCACCCTACATATAATAGACCATGAACACATATCAGTGTCTCTCTTATTTTTCTAAAATTAATTATGTTAATTATGGGTTGTACTTTTAAGTCAGAAAACTTTCTGCATCTTTTTTAAGCCTATAGAGAAAGGTCCCCTTTTTCCTATTGTGTAGGGGAAATACTCAAATAAGAAGATCCAGTGAGTACTGACTATCAGCATCCAAGCTGCTGCAAGAAGCTTGATTTTCTTATTTAAAAAATGCCTGAACAAGATGAATAGTAGCAAGACCTGTCCTGTTTTGTCCATCTCCTAACATTGTAAAAGAACAAGCATGTTTCTGCAAAATCTGTTTGCCTGTAATGTGTGTGTGTGTGTGTGTGTGTGTGTGTGTGTGTGTGATGATAATAATGAGATTGTGGATGGAGAGAGTGATATAAGTTCCCTTGCTTTGCATCTTACTACCCAAAGTTTCTTTGCTTTTCCAATCCTGAGCACTTGTGGTGGGAAGACATGACTCTGACTGACTCAGCCAGCTGGGTTGAGTCTGTGTCTATTGATACTTGTCCTATGTTTATTTCCCTGTAGCTGAACCATATCCTTGTTCTCTCCTGTCTCATTTTCAGGCAGAATTCCTGGAATGACTCAGCTCTGCAGCTCACTTAATTCCCATAAGTTATCTCTATTTGGCCCATAACTAGCCTGTATTTTCTTGAGTTTCTTTGGTGACTGTTTCTCATTGTTGCTTCCTATCCACCATTAGGGCTACAGTTTTAATCCATGTTTTGCCCATGTACTCCTGTTAATTCTACTCCAGCTTCCCTGAAAAATAGGACTTGAGCCCAATTCCTTGCAGGCTTCACGGCCAGCAGAGCACAGTGGTGTATCACCCTGCTGGAAGCTATAGTTGATGACTTTATGGCTTGTGTAATAAGGAGGTAGAATCCTTAGCATTTCTAGAGGGTAGGCATAGGCCCATAAACTTACATTCCTTCAAATTCCTTCCACTTAGAAACCTCTGTCTTCTCAAAATGATTAATAATAGATTCCAGCTATCAAAACAACTATTTTCAAACAGTAGATTATTACACAACAAGCAGGAAGTTGTGACTCAAATGTTTTAATTTTATAAACAGTTTATGATGTATTATGAGAGAGCAGAGATATTTTCAAAAGTATTTTATTGTAACTATTTGCTTTACCGAACTTTCGGCAAAAGGCAGAATAACAAAAATCTTAAAATGCTGGCATCAGTGTAACCCATTTGTTGTTTGTGTCTGGTTAAGAATTTGTTTAAAGACAGCATACAAAATATAAACGTGTCAGTTGTTTTCACCCTGATACTAAACGTTTATCATGGTGTGCTGGAGCCAGGGACTCAGCAGCCACTGAGATTTGAGCTAGGCTGCAAATTTAGCTGGACACTGACCAACAGTATAACATTGAACAGCTCACTTGACTTCTCTGAGGCTCATTTTATCTCATCTGTAATAATGATAGTTAGATATCCTCTCTTTTAAAGACTTAAATAGGGAATGATACATGAAGGCACTTAGCACAATGCTGATCAGACGAATTGTCTAAAATGCATTCATTACTTTTCCAACCTTTTTTCAAAAATAAAAAAACTATTAATTCAACTGGAAAACTATACAAAAGTGAGCCTATCAGATGCTGTGAAATTTCTGATGTATTTTTCTTCTTTGTTATTTCTGCAATATGATTCTTGACAGTAACATGTGATAAGAACACCAGAATGACATCAAAGAAATTTAGGAACTTCAAGACCACCAAGTATCAAAGATGCTTTTAAATAACATAATTTGAATAAATTGAATGCATTTGAATAAGGTGTCTAACCAGAGATTGAACTAATCCTTAATACATTTAACAAGAAATTAAAAAAAGAATCAATCAAAAAATGATCTCATCTGGAATTTTTAGTTACATGGCATTTGTCTGATAGTCTCCAATGTCTTTTCCCTTACTTTCCACTAAAACATTTACGAAGGTAATGGGAGAAAATGTTACAAAGCAATATTAAACACTAAGGTCCATAGACTACCTAGAGTCAGATTTGGGGAGGAATCTTTGTCAAATATATGAAAGTTGAAGTGATTAGAAAAAAAAATTTACTTCAGTAAATACAACGGGGGTACAGGCATTGGCTAACTACCCCCATTCCAAAAGGGATAAATTGGCCAAAACCAAGGGGCTACAGGCCCTGTGCAAGTTTGAAACCCAGCAAGGCAGTCATTAAATCTTAAAGTCCCAAAATAATCTCCTTTGACTCCATGTGTCACATCCAGGCAACACTGATGCGAGGGGTGGGCTCTACCCATTATCCAGTTCCAAAGCTGCTTCCACATTTTCAGGTATCTTTACAGCAATGCCCCACTTTCTGGTACCAGTTTTCTGTATTAGTCCATTCTCTCATTGCTATAAAGAACAACCAGAGACTGGGTAGTTTATAAAGAAAAGGGGTTTAATTGACTCAATTCCACAGACTGTACAGGAAGCATGTCTGGGGAGGCCTCAGGAAACTTAGAATCATGGAGGAGGGTGAATGGGAAGTAGGCACGACTTACGTGGCTGGAGAAGGAGGAAGAGAGAGAAGAAATTGCTACACACTTTTAAACAACCAGATCTTGTGAGAACTCACTCACTATAACAAGAATAGTAAGGGAAAATCCACCCTCATGATCCAATCCCCTCCTACCAGGCCTCTCCTCCAACACTGGGGACTACAACTTAACATGGGATATGGGCAGGGGCACAAATCCAAATCATATCAAGGATAAGTAGCAGTCCCAATGGTACATAGCTGAACAAGGAATATTCTCGCAAAAAACTGAGAATTTATCCAAGAGCTTTTTATATTAACTTTCTCTCCAGCTGTAGATTTGAGAAATAGATTTAATCATTATCCAAGAATGTATGAATTGAACCAGAGGCAATCCACATAACCTGTCTGTTGACAAATACAAATCTGAAAAGATTTGGTTTGAAAAAACAGTATCCAAAACCATGGGGAAAGAGTATTTCAAACACAACCTAACATACAGTCTATCATATGGGTTAGAAAATGAGTGTACATCCTTAATAGAATGCAAGAAGTCTTGGCCTTTTTGAAATAGTAGCAGAAAATTATAAAGGGAAAACATGACGCATTAAAAGGACATTACCAAGAGGTTAAAAAGAGATAAAAAGAGAGAAGACTAAGTAAGGATTTCTAAAAAATAAGAAAAATAGCATAGATAAAATCCACTGCAGAGTTAAAGAAGCAGTAAAAGATATTGTAGAAAATTAAATCAGTGTATAAACTTCCAAAGCTCTCACAGAACATATATAGAGAGAACAAAGATAAGAAAATTGTGATAGTGAAGATAAAAGACATGGTGTACAAAGAATATAGAGTCAGTATACAGAGAGTACATTTAGCTGCAAAAAAATCTCAAAAATAAAAACCAGTTGTACCAGTCTGTTTTTGCACTGCTATAATGAACTACCTGAGACTGGTTAATTTATAAAGGAAAAAAGTTTAATTGATTCACAGTTCCACATGGCTGGCGAGGCCTCAGGAAAGTTACAATCATAGATGAAGGGGAAGCAAGTCACAACTTACATTGCAGCAGGAGAGAGAGAGCAAAACGGGGAAGCACTACACTTTTAAACCACCAGATCTCATGAGAATTCCATCACAAGACAACACTAGGAGGATGGTGCTAAACTGTTATAAACCAGCCCCATGATCCAATCCCCTCCCGCCAGGTCCCTCCCTTGACAAATGGGGATTACATTTTGAGATGAGTTTGGATGGGGACACAGAGCCAAACCATATCACCAGTAAAATCAGAATAAGCAATTAAAAGAAGCATAAATAAAAAACAATTTTCTGTGCTGAAAAAGGATCTGGGTATCTGTTCAAAGAGCTCACTACATTCTAGAAAAAAATCCATTAAAATATATACATTTAGATATATTATTTTTTGAGGTGCAGTCATAAGTTAAAAGTCCTCTTTTTATCCAGCATAGAAACAATGACTAAAAGAACAAGCAACCAAAATCTTACCCTCAGAACAGGAATTAGAGTATACTCAGACTGCTTGTACAGCCCTAAGTACCAGAATAACAAGAAACATCTAATAATAAAAATATTTATCATATCATTTATTTGAATGCCTGCTGCATTTAACATACTTACATATTTTATCTCTTTATTTCAAACAACAACCCTATGAGGTAGGTAATATATCCTCATTTGTAGAAACTGAGATTCAGACACAGAGCATGACCAAAATCTCATAGCCATAAAGTTATAGAAATAAAATCTAATGTAAGTTTACTTGATTCCAAAACATGTGCTTTTTAAATTGTGGTATGCAGCCCCTATGATACTTGAGAGGAAATGTCTTTGATCTAGATTTTAGCACCCTGCTAAGTTGTTTTTAACAAGGGTATTAGTCTGTTCTCACGCTGCTAATAAAGATATACCTGAGACTGGGTAATTTGTAAAGAAAAGAGGTTTCGTTTACTCAGAGTTCCACATGGCTTGGGGGGTCTCATAATTATGGTGGAGGGCAAGGAGGGGCAAAGTCATGTCTTACATGGTGGCAAGCAAAAGGAGAGCATGTGCAGGGGAACTCCTCTTTATAGAACCATCAAATCTCATAAGACTTATTCACTATCATGAGAACAGCATGTGAAAGACTTGCCCCCATGATTCAATTACCTCCCACTGTGTCCCTCCCATAACACATGGGAATTATGGGAGCTATAATTCAAGATGAAATTTGGGTGAGTACACAGCCAAACCATATCAACAACAAACAAGAGAAAAGCATGGTCAGATAAGCAAAGTCTCAGAAAATATGCTTTTTGAAAACAAATATGCTTTTTGAAGGCTGCTCATATGCTTTTTAAAACAATTAGTACCAGACTGACTTTAGTTATGCAAGAAAATCATACAAATTAAGACATATAAAAGTCAATTCTATTGGAAAGGGATTGGGGCTGAGTTTTGGAACCTTTTACGAAGTTACAGAAAATAATTATAATGAATCAAATTAGGGTTATGGTGTCAGAGATGAAAATGAGAAAATAGGTTTGCAAGAATTAATGAGGCATTGACCACGGGTGGGGAGTGATGAAATAGAGACACTCTTGGACAACTTTTAGATATACAGACTTTAGTGAGTAGATGAATCTTAGTGATGACTAGCATACAGTAGGAAGAACAGAATTTCATTAAAAAATCATTAATCTTTGAATATGCAGAGCTTGTTTCTTTTGTCATATACCTACAGGCAAGCAATTAAACAGGACTAATATTCATGAGAAAGGTTTTGGGTGGAGCTGCAGACTTGGAAAGGGATATTAAAGACTGAGAAGTGAGTGAGATCACTTAAGGAGAGCATGACAGATGTGAATAAGACAGGCATTAGAGAATGTGGCATGCAGGAGTTAAGAAGTAGAAACATGCAATAACAAATAGTCAATGAAAGAAAGTTTTAAGAAGAAAGTAATTATAAACAATGCCAAGGGCTATGCAGAGAGGTCAGTAAAATGAAGATACAAAGCATGCCCAATGAATAGAGCACTGGAAGAAGCATTGGAAGATACACAGCATATCCATTGAATTGACAGCTGTGGAAGAAGCACTTTGCATAAAATTGTGATACTGAGAGTCTGACTAATGAGTTGAGGTAGTAGGGAAGTGAAGATAGTGAATGAGAGAAGGAACAGTTGAAGGAACCGTTTGGTTTTGAAAGACTACAGATATCTGAGCATATTTACAGTCTGGATGGAAGGATCTCAAAGAGAAAGGGGATGGAGGAGGGAGAGAGATTGCATCATTGGTAGAGCTTGAAACAAAGCCCTGAATGAGGTATGAAAGAGCAGAGCTGGAAAAATTGTCTTAGGAAAGGAGAATGAATACCTTGTACCTGAATGATGGCAAATATGAATGCTTTTGTAATGAGAAGTTGAGGCATTTTTCTCTGACACCTCTGTTTTCTCTGAGATGTTAGAGATAAGGTCATGTGTTAAAATTGCATGAAGTAGGGAATATGCAGAGGATTTGAGGAGAGTTTCTTTTTAAAATTAATATGCTATTTTATAAACAAAGTTATATGTGTAATATGTATGTAAGTTATGATGTAGAATAAGAAGGTGAACACCAGGAATCCACCATCCAGCGTATGCTCTAGAAGACTATATGTTTATTCCCCATCTTATCACCCAGCCTCTATTACAGGCAAAATAAAGGTTTGCGATGCCAGTGGAAAGGAATGGAAAAGAAAGATAACCAAGCACAATGGGATAATTGTCAAGCAACCCTGTGGGTCCACCTATGACTTGCTACAGTAAATTTGTAGTGGCACAGATATTCGTATTCATGGTTGTCAGATTTTGTTAAGCTACATTGATAATTCTAGTAAGAAGCCAGCTTGCAGGATTGCAGGAGAATAAGGAGGCTAGGAAGCTGATGGTACATTGAGAGAATACTTCAAATAATTTTCCATGGATTTGCATTCAATAAAAAAAGAAAGTTTGGTGAGAAATTGGTCAAGAAACTCTAGGATAGTGGAGATTTAATAGACTATTTCAGTTCAATAATAAAATGAAAGGGTAGGTTTAGTGAAAAGGAGGAGGTAAGACAGGAGAATGGTAGGAGTGTTTGGTTGAGGACAGGATATTGAAGACTAACAGTTTATAGGTAGAATAGTCCTGAATGCTGACCAACATCTCAGGTGTGGTCATTTATTTGTGTTCCTGATATAACATGCAGGTACAGTTTATTCATTTTAAAGGCAAATAATTGTGAAATTACAATGTTGGATGCATTTTTCATATGCATGCTGAAATCATCCAGTATGATTCCAAAATTATGTTTAAGAGACAGACTCTGAACCAAATGTCCAAATTCTCAATGACTGGGAGTGTCCAAGAGACTCAAATTGCTATCACTTTTAGAAGTGCACCATGCCCTCACTGGGTGTCAAGAGCTTTGGAGAAAGAGTTTAAAATGAGTGTGACTCCTTTGGAATTTTTAATAGAGGTTAAGAGGGCTTTATTCCATTGCATGGTTGAGGAAAGATGGAGAGAAAAAAAAATAGTCTTGTTTAAGATTTACAGAGAAGTGAGTGTAGAATAATAGAAAGATGAGAATACCGGGGAGAGGTGATCAAAAGAAACTGATGCAGGACAGGCAAGCCCCCAAATTGGGGCTTAGCCTGTGAGGGTTCTTTGCTTCACTCAGAAAAAATTCAAGGATGAACCGGTGGTGTTAAACAGCAAGTTTTTTTCAAATGGCAGTGTACAGCAGCAACAGAAGCACTGCTTTTTGCAGAGCAGTGCTACCCCATAGGCAGTGTGCCCAGAATAGCACCTCAGAGGCAGTGCTGTACTTATATTTGTACCCACTTTTAATTATATGCAAACTAACGGGAGGTTTATGCAGAAATTTATAGGATGATGGAGGTAACTTCCAGGTCATTGGGTCATTGCTACGGAAAGGGGCGGTAATTTCCAAGTGTTGCTGTGGCAATGGTCACCTGACATGGCACAGTGGTGGGCGTGTCTTATGGAAAGCCACCTCCGCACTGACCTGTTTTAGCTAGTCCTTAATTTTTGCCTGATGTCTGAGCCCTGCCTCTGAAGATTCCTGCCTCCTACCTCAAAACCATACTTTGAAAATGGTCTTCATATTTCAGGAGCAAGAGTCATGGATATGGTTAACACAGTAATTTGATTGCAAATTAGCTTTGGGGCCAGAACTGGATGAGAATCTGCAGTGATACTGTTGTGACCTTCCTGCAGAATTTGTCTCTGTTGTACTGGTTTGGATGGTTATCTTCCCAATGGAAACTGAAAGAGGGGAAAATTCTTATTGCATAGATGAAAGTAGTCTTAAATGTGTTCATCCCATAATATGGATTAGATGGTGGATGAAGTGGTCAAGAAGTGATAATTTCCAGAAACAGACTATAATGACACTCAGGAAACCAGTGATATACAAAGTAACCATGCTGGAGACAGCATCTGAAATATCTGGAACCTCAGGCACGCTCTCCTTCTCCATAACATATTTGTAAGAAAAAGGAGTCTATTTAACCTCATGGGAGAAAATCTAAACTGGATAAATCTTTTCAAAAAAATCTCACCATGGCTTTTGTATTGCTAAACCCAGGACTGATTTTTAGGTGCAAAAAGATCCTTGGGATTTCCTGTCTCTGAGATAGACTAGGAATAGAGTCAGGTCATACCCTTTCTACCTATTGCTCACTTCCCCAGAAACCAGCCTGCAAAGCAGGAACAGCTTTCCATCCTTTGTTGCTCTTTTCAAAAGAGCATAGAATCACTTCTTTCCTTGAATATATAGAGCTTTGTATATATAAATGCAAGTAATCATTATTAAATATTTGTGAAACAGATATAAAGATTCATCAGATCACTGTACATTCACATTTTGATGACCCAAGAAAGAAAGAATCTGGTGATAGATCAGTGGAATCTGCCATGAGCAAGTATCTGTGATTGAATGAAACGTCCTAAATGAACACATCTATGTTCTGTGTCATTGAACAAAAGATTCAAAATACTCTGCAATGTTAAAAAATAATTAAACAAAAATGATTTTGTAAGATTGCTTTTGAAGAGGCATTTGTTTGGGTTTGTAGTTTTCTTGGCTATTTATTCATTCATTTCTGGTAAACAATACTTTTAGATTCACTTTAATGAAGTCAGTTGCTACAAACTTCACATTTCTCTCCTCTGAGATAATTTAATCAACAAATTATTTTCCCTGTGTTATATATTTCAGCCTGACAAAGAACAGAAAAGCAACACATGTTAATGTCATAACAAGTGAGGCTCTGCAGCTGAGTAGAATCTCATTCCCTGGCTCTCAAGGTGGAAGAGATAGGGTAGGGAGGCTACAGTTGAATATAAGAAATGAAGTAAGTAAAAGCATAGCTGAGAAAACACTACAGCTCTCTCAGAGAAGAGGTCTCTGGTTATCAAGAAGATGACTTAAAAAAATGAAAAATAATCAAAATGCTGTTAAAACTGCGGTAAAAACAAGGATTGAAGAAAAGTGATAAAGGATAGAGGGTAATTCAAAGAATATTGAGAGGAATATACTGAGTATAATGATTTAAAAACAGAACCATTACAATTGTGTTCTAGTCAGTTTTTCAGCTCATTTCTAAGACATAGCTTAGAACATTTTGGGATAGAAGAGGGAGATGGAAATATACATGCAAATAATAGCACTATACAGGAAATACGTTCTTAGCATCTGGACATTTACACATATAATTGATTGGAGGGGAATGATTTGCAGAAACTTCAAGTTTCTGGGACAGTTCTCATTTTTAATATTTTGTTTCACTGATAAATTGTTTAATTGATCAATGTGTTAAGATTTTTCAGAAAAAAAGATTATCATAATTGTGATAGCTATACATTACTGCAATGGAGGAAAAGGAAAATGTTAGAGAACAACTGAAGAAACAAAGGCCAGATTATTTAAAGCTCACTCAGATTTCTGTAACACATAGCCATTCACAAAAGACCACGATATCTTTGGAGAAAAAAGGGAGAGTTTTATTTTCTATTAAACTCAGACTGAAGACTGGGGAGATGCGTCATTCAGTGCACAAGGAGGTGGGGTTGGAGAGTCAGCGTTTATAGAGGCAAAAACCGCAGGGCAGGGAGAGGATTCTGAGGAACAGTCCTTAAGCCCCAAATCACTAGTCTCTCTTACATGGCTGGTTCCAGGTGGTCAGTACAATAGTGCCAGGTGTTCTGTTGGAGTCAGCTGGGGAATTTCCAGCTGCAGTTGTTTCCAGTAACTGTTCTTTGACTTGCTTGTAGAAAAACAGGTTTTGTAATACTTTCTAAAGACATAGAGAGTGTGACTGCTCCCTCACACTGCCTTGGTGTCTTGGGTCTGCTTTTACTCCCAGATGAGTCAGGGAGTTCATCTTGCCTGTTAACTGGGGGCATTGTTTGACATAGCATAATTCTATTTTCCTTTTACCATCATCATTTAAAAACGTTTTAAAAAGTTGTTATGAAAATTTTCTAAGGACTTGAAATATATGTAGATGGTTCAGTTGAGTAAATGGCTACTTTTAACAAAATTAGCTGGCTTTCATTAATTCACCGAGTGTTGTCAGTCACAACAGGATATTTGCAATAAAAATATTGACATAATTGCTTAAACGATTGACATCACTAAATATGATAACTCTATACATTTGATGACAGAAGAACTGATTGGAAAAGACTGAGTTGGTTTCATTTTCTTTGTTCAGCAAGGCTAGCATTTAATGTGCAAAATGAACACCTTTGCCAGGGGCCTATTTTTCCTTGTGAAAGAAACTCACAGTGACAATATGTGTTGCAAAGCTCATAAAAATCATCTAGCTGATTTTTATAAGACCATATTAATCAATAATAGAAGATCAGGGTGGAATCTTTCCATCAGATTTTTCTATATTCTTTTGACATAGATTGAGTATTGAGTAGTTATTAATATTTTATATTATGAAGTCCATCAATGTTTTGATAATAGTGATGGATCCTCTACTGAGGAAAAATAAATGTATCTGTGAAACATTTTTTACATTTCTTTGAGCCCATTCCTGGACTTCTTCGGGGTTCTTGAATGACAGGTTAAGAATTTTTATTATAGAGTAACATCTGAAATATTACCTTTTTGTGCTTATAAGTAAACTTCACTGTTAATTGTCTCTTCCTACCCTCATGAACTCCTCTTTCTTGATCTTCTTAGCAACAGATCTATTATTTTTGTTTATTAAATTTTAAAGCAGTCAATAAATGCGTTCAGGCATGAGAGATTCTAATGTCTAAGAATCCTCAAATAATAAGCACATGGATCTGAGCACTTCTTTAAGTGTCACTAAGTTAAACTTGTTTCAGATTTGTTTCAGATTCATCTTTCAAAAATACCATGAGTATTTATGTTTTGTGGAATCTAATCCATGGTTAACATCTGGTAGCATGACTTTTGAGGTCAAAAAAATCCTGGATATAAATCTAAATTCTCATGTACAAGACAAACAAGCACAATTACTATTTATTTTAACATGACTTTTAGCTTTTGGAATAAGAGAGGTTAAAAAAAAACTGTTAAAAGAGTTTAGTTTATTTGGTTTAAAATAGCTTTATTGAGGTATAATTGACATACAATCAACTCATGTATTTAAGTGTACAATTTAATATTTTCTCATATGTATATACCCAATGAAACCACAACCACAATCACAATAATAAGCATATTTATTGCCTCTGAAAGTGTTACCATGCCCTTTTGTAATATATCCCTCTACCTCCACCTGCATCATCACCAGGCAATTGCAGATTTGATTTCTATCATTATAGATTCGTTGATATTTTGTAGAATTTTTAGTAAATGAAATGATAATGTGCGCATTTTATTTTTTTGTCACTCTGCAAAATTATTTTAGAATTCACCCACGATTTCATTTATATAAATTGTTCATCTGTTTTTTATTATTGTGTGGTAATCCATTGTCTGGCTACATCAGAACATATTTATCCACTCACCCGTTGATGTGTAATAAAGCACAGGCTCAGCGGCTCGCAGCTTGAAAAGCTAATGACAAGGATGAAGTTCCATGAAAGGAAAGTGACTTTGTTTTCCAAAGCTAGCAGTGAGGAGGAAGCTGGATTACACCTCTAGAAACTGCTTCAAAAGGTTAGACTGAGGGCAGGTGTTTAAAAAAAGAAGGCTTGATAGGAGAGGCATGCAGGAGATTTGCAGGATTCAGGGGCCATGTGTCTTGTTCCAACACCTATCTTAAGTTATGGTCACCCTGGAGCAACGGGCTGATACCATCTCGACAGCATCTGGATTGTAGATTATACATCTTGGGGCAATCTTTAAGAGGGGGAGAGTTCCACAGCTGGGCCTTTATGCTTGGTTCATTTTAAATTGGCCTCTGGAACTTAACAAGCATATAGCGAGATAAGTGTGCATGGTGTGAGTTTAACAAGCATACAATTAGATGAATGTGCATAAGACAAGAGAGCATAAGGTAGAAAGGGAAGGGAGTAGAATTTTGAAGTACATTTCAAGGCTATATTAAAGACTAAGGAAAAGGCTTCTGCAGGTTCCTTCAAGTTTACATCTTGAGATTGGGGAAAAAGGAGAAAAATGAGAAAGGAAAAATTAAAAAAAATTTTTTTTGAAGCTAAATTACTTGGTTACAATTGGACATATGGGCTGTTTCCTATTTGGACTATTACAAATAAGCTACTATGAACATTCATTTACAAGTCTGTTTGTGTACATATGGTTTCATTGATCATGAAGTAAATACCTCAGAGTACAATGTCTGGATAATATAATAAGTGTATGGTTAACTTAAAAAAAAAAAACCTGCCAAACTGCTTTCCAAAGTGCCAGTACCATTTTACATTTCCAATATCAATGTGTGTCCTGGTTGCTCCACAAGTTTATTAACATTTGGTATGATCAGTCTTTTCCATTTCATATATTCTAATAGGTGTTTCATAGTATATCAACATTGTTTTAATTTGTACTTTCCTAATGAGTGGTGATGAATATTTTTTCATGTGTTTGTTATGTTTGTCATCTGTTTATCTTTTTGGTGAGTTTCTTTTCAAGGCTTTCTCTAGTTTTGATAATGTATTTGTTTATTTTCATCTTACTGAGTTTTGAGAGTTCTTTATATATTCTGAATATAAACCGATTTTCACATATGTGATTAACAAATATTTTCTCCCAGTCTGTGCTTATATTTTCATTCTTTAATTAACATTGTTTTTGAAGAGCAACATTTTTAATTTTGGGAAAGTCAAGTTTGTCAATTTTTACTTTAATGAGTCATGTTTTTGCTAATATATTTATAAAATTTTTACTTCACCAAAGGTCACAAAGATTTTCCTCTATGATTACTTCCAAAATGTTTATAGTTTTAGATTTTACTTTCAGTCTGTGATCCATTTTAAGTTACCTTTTGTATATGATGAAGGTCATGGAACAAAATTTATTTTTCATATTTATTCCAGCACACTTGTTGAAAATGCTCTCCTTTATCTATTACATTGCTTTCGAAATTTTGTGGAAAATCAATTGATTGTATGGATGTGGGTCTATTTATGTACTCTATTGTATTCCTTTAATCTACTTCTCTGTCTGGATGCAAATAACATACTATTTTGATTACTGTAATTTTATTATAAATCTTGAAATCAGGTAGTATTAGTGTCTTAGCTTTACTTTCTTATCAGAGTTGTTTTGGCTATTCTAGGCGCTCTGCATTTCCAGATAAATGTTAGAATCAGTTTATAAAGTTTTACCAAAAAATCCTGCTGGTATTTTAACTTGAACTGTTTTGAATCTATACTTTGTTTTTAGAAAAGTTAACATCCTCATAATAGTGAGCCTTCCAATTTGCGAACACTGTGTTTCTTCCCATTTTTCCAGGTCTTCTTTAATTCCTCTCAACAGTATTTTGTAGTTTTTAGTATGTAGTTCTTCCACATCTTTTGTTAGTTTTATTCCTGTGTACTTTATAGTTTTGATTCTATTTTCCAAAAATATTATTTCTTTTTTATTTTAGTTTTCAATTGTTTGTTGTTAGTATATATAAATACAATTTTTTTATGTTGTTCTTATGTCCTCCAAACCTGCTAAACTCACTCATAATTGTGGCAGCATTTTTGTAGGTTCCATTAGATTTTCTACACAGACAATTATGTTAATTGCAAAGAGAGCTTAACTTATCTCTTTCCAATCTGGATGCCTTTTATTTCCATTTCATGTAATATTGCAAAATGGCTAGAAACTCTGCTACAATTTGAATATAAGTGATAAAGGCAGACATCTTCACCTTCTCCTGGTCTTAGGGGAAAATCACCCAGTATTTCAACATAAAAATGTTATTAGTTTTAGGCTTTTCATAGATGCCTGTGGTAGACTGAATAATGCTCCTCCACTTCCCCACAAGTGTCCATGTCCTAATTCTTGGCACCTATGACTATGTTACCCTACATAACAAAAGGGAATTTACAGATGTGACTAACTTAAGGATTTTGAGTTGGGAAGATTATAATGCATTATCAAGTTAGGCGTAATATAATCAGAGGCCTTTTTAAGTAGGAAGGAGTAGTGGTGTAGTTAGAGAATGAAATGTGATGATGGAAGAAGTACTAAGAGATCATAAGCCAAGGAGTGAGGGAACCCTCTAAAGCCTGGGAAAGGTAAGAAAATGGACTTTTCCCTGGAACCTCTAGAAGGAACACAGCCCTGCCCACCTCTTTTAAACTTTGGGCCTCCAGAACTGTGAATTTGTGTTATTCTAAGCCACTAAATTTTTGGTATGTTATGGTAGCAGAAGAAATGAATACGATGCCTTTTATCAGGTTGAGGAAGTTCTCTTGTATCTCTAGTTTGCTGACAGCTTTTATAGAAATTGCTATGAGATTTTGTCAAATGCTTTGTCTGCATCTATTGAGATAATTATATAATTTTCCTTTTTATTTTTTTAATATGGTGAAGTATGTTGATTAATGTCCAATGTTAAGTCAAACATGCATTTATAGGATTGATCCTGTTTGGTCATGGGTTATTTAGAGTTCTGTTGTTTAGTTCATAATATCTTGAGATTTTCTAAGTAACTTTCTGTAATTAACTTCAAATGTAATACAATTGTGGTCAGAGAACATACTTTGACTTGAGTCATTTTAAACTTGTTGAGACCTCCTTTATGACTCAGAATAGGAGTTAGCTTCCATGTGCACTTAAAAAGAGTATGTATTACGCTCTTGTTGGCTGTAGTGTTCTGTAAATTTCAATGGGTAATGTTATTCAAGTCTTGATAATTGCTTGATAATGTTATTCAAGTCTTCTACATCATTGGTAATTATCTCTCTACTTGTTTAATTACTGAGAATGAGGTGTTAAAATTACAGAGATTTCTTGTCTTACAGTCCTGGAGGCCAGAAGTCTTAAACTAAGATGTCAGAAATGCTACATTCTCTTGTAATGTGCTAGAGAAGAAACTGTTCCTTGCTAGCTTCTGGTAGCCTCAGGCACTCCTTGGTTTGCACATGTATCACTCTGTCCTCATTTTCAGATGACATTCTCCCTGTATCTTCACATCATCTTTCCTCTGTGTTTGTCTGTGCCTTCATCCAAATTTCCTTCTTTAAGAAGGCCACCCATCATTTTGGATGAAGGTTTACCCAAATGGCTTCATTTTCACTTGATTACCTCTCAAAGAACCTATTTCCAAATAAGATCACATTTTGAGGTACTGGGAGTTAGGACTTCAATATATGGTAGTCCTCTCTTGTCCATGGTTTTGCTTTCCATGGTTTCAGCTATCCACAGTCAACCATGGTTCCAAAATAGTACATGGGAAATTCCAGAAATAAACAATTCATAAATTTTAAATTGTGCTCTGCTCTGAGTAGCATGATGAAATGTCATGCTGTCCAAATCCGTCTGACCCAGGTAATGAATCATCCACACCATCTAAGCTACCCAAATCACTTAGTAGCCTGCCTGGTTATCAGATTCACTGTCCTGGATCACAGTGTTTGTGTTCAAGTAACCCCTTATTTGACTTAATAATTGCTCCAAACTCAAGTAGTGATGCTGGCAATTTGCATATGCCAAAAAGAAGCTCTAAACTGCTTTAAGTGAAAAGGTAAAAGTTCTTGACTTAAGGAAAGAAAACATTTTATGCGGAAGTTGCTAAGGTCTATGAAAAGAACCAATCATGTATCCATGAAATTGTGAAGAGGAGAAAAGAAATTTGTGATAGTTTCTTTGCGGTTGCACTGCTAACTGCACAAGTTATAGCCACAGTGCATGATAAGTGTTTATATAGGCCTTGGTACTATCAGTGGCTTCAGGCAACTATGGCAGGTCTTGGAGTGTATCCCCTGAGGATAACGGGAGCTGCTGTATCTTTTTGGAAGGACACAGTTCAACTCATAAGGTGTGTCATGCTTTTTTTTTTTTTAAATTCCAATCTGACAATTTACCTTTTATTTAATTATGATTTGACCATTCACAATGTGATGATTGATATGATTGAGTTTAAATCTATAATTTTGCTGTGTGTTTTCTACTTATTCCATGTGTTTTTCCCCCAAGTATCTGCATTCCTTTGAATTAATCTAGTATCAACTAATTATTTTTATCTTCTTTGTTGTCTGGTTATTTACAACTCTTTGTTGTGTTATTTAATGAGTGCTCTATGGCTCATCTTTCATTTAGTATAGCTTACTTTTAACTAGTAAAAGCCTTATAGTATATTTCCATTTCCCTCCTCTGGGTCTTTGTGTTATTGCTATCATATGCTTTAATCTTCATTTATTAGAAACCCCACACTATGTTGTTACTATTTTAGATTTAAACAGTTGATTATCTTTTAAAGTAATTTACATAATAAAAAGTATCTTATATTTGTTTATGTATTTATTCTGTATTCCTTTCTGTAGATCAATATTTTATTTATAAGAAATTAATTTGATAAATAAGGTATCTCTGGCCAACTAGTAATAAGAATTATAAAATAGAATATATCTCTCAGGCCTATGTGTAGCATTATTATATTTTAATATCAATATTTATTGAATTATATAAAATTTTTTGGAATTTATATATACCAGCAGTACACTTACTTCAAAAATAATTATAATAGTCTGCCGGGCATGGTGGCTTATGCCTGTAATCCCAGCACTTTGGGAGGCTGAGGCAGGAAAATCACATGAACCAGGGAGGTGGAGGTTGCTGTGAGTCGAGATCATGCCATTGCACTCCAGCCTAGGTGACAGTGAGACTCCGTTTCAAAAAATATTATTATTATTATTATTATAGTCAATTAATAACAATGAAAGCTAATAACAACTTAGGAATGTAAATTTAATTTATTAAGAAAGTTTTTTGGATTAATTCTATTACATTAGGCCAGGGCTTTACAATCATTTTCATATAAGGACACATAGAGAATATGGTTATATCAGTGTGACATACTGAAGTAAATTTGATGAAGTTGCTTGATGTCTAAGGTCTGACTACCTCAGCTCTTCAAAATCCCCCAACAGGAATAAATGTCAACATCTTAGACCCACTGAGAAACTCCACATTAAGTGACAATACTTTATTGCGGTTATTCCAATGACCACCAGTCTTATTTCAGCTCTATATAACATGTCCTTACCATTTCTTGTCATGTTGTATGGTAAGGAACTACAACAAGGTCTAATCTGTGACACACTTTTATTTAACTTGGCAGGTTTGATTCTCTAACCATCAATACCATGAAAAGTAGTAAGCAAACATAAATAAGGACCAAAGGAAGAAAATAAACTATTTGTCATCGGCTCACTACCTGATAGTTTCTGAGACTCACATGTATTTTTATGTCCATAATTATACCTGGCAAAAAATACATGTATAGCTGAAAAAGAATAAGCATTCCAAGCCTAATATTGTCTTTTCCCACCCCTCAATTCGTTGAAAGCAAAAAAATTATATTTCTAAAAGAAGCAGAACAAAATAATATGGTATCACTGGATAACCACATCTGAAAAGAAGACTGGAAATATTTAATAGATAAATGTGCCTAACTTTTATGTTTAGGTTGAACAAATTTTCCTGAGACTTTAGACCTCTTAGTAATATTGGGCAATGGTTCCAGTTGCTGGATTTAAATTGTAGCTCATTATTTCTCCTCTGAACTTTTTATAAGACTTTATCTAAAGACTCAATAGCCATTGTTGGCAAAGACTTGTGCTCCTTGCAGAGAAGTGAAGTGCTTTCATCAACAATAATGTCAGAGAGGATATTAGTCTTCCTTCTCTAAATTCATTCCATTACAGTTTCCTAAAAGTGATAAAAATAAAGCATGATGCTTGGGTTTGCATAATGAAGCTGTTGTGTTTGAATGCTGAGACTAACCAGAATGCTGTTGAGAGAAAACTTAAACTAGTAAATCATTGGCCTCTATTCCAAGTGTAAACTCCTTCTTAAATGAAAAAGAGAAATGGTTGAGCTTAGGTAGCATTCTTTTCTTTTTTCTTTTTTCTTTTGAAGACTAATCTTTCTTGCATCAGATTTGACTTCTCAGCATCAATTTTAGTGCCAGCCGTCTGTCAGTTTTCAATTAACCCTATAAAATTATTTATTTCAGTGATATGTAATTTATGTAATTTTTTGGACTGGATATAAAAATCAGCACTTGAATCCTATGTAATTGAATCCTAAAAATGAGAAGATTATTCTTTGAGTAAATATTTATTTTAATGCTACATGTTATAATTTCAAAATGGAAGACATTGAGTCCAACAAGTGAAGGGCCTATGCACAATTGCATCTAGTACAGGAGTCTCTAATCTCTGCCTTTTAATAGTTTTTCTAATAATTAGTCTTAAAATCTTAGTAATAATTCAGTTCTTTTTTTTTAACTGAAGCACAAATTGTTTTATTCATACAAACATTTTTCAGTTCTTTTTTTAGTTGTTGATTAAATGTTCACTTATTAAGTATCTACCATGTAGCTTGCCTTTTGCTAGATGACAAAACTGGTGAAGAATCACAGTCTCTGCTCTCTAGAAGTTTTTGATTTAGTTAATCCTGGATATTGAAATCTCTAATTATGATTCTATATTAAGCATTCTCATAAAGGAAATAAATGAACTATGTGAATGAAGTTTAGAATCATAATGTTGAGTGAAAAAACAAATTTCATGAGATTACTTAAACTATCAAAATATTTTTATTTTATTTTATTTTTTTTAATTTGTGAGACAGGGTCTCATTCTGTTGCCCATGCCGAGTGCAGTGGTGCAGTCATGGCTCACTGCAGCCTCAACCTTCTGAGCTCAAGCAATCCTCCCACCTCAGCCTCCCACGTAGCCAGGCTTCAGGTACGCACCACCTTTCCCAGCTAATTTTGTATTTTTTATAGAGACAGGGTCTTGCCATGTTGCTCATACTGGTTTTGAACTCCTGGCCTCAAGCGATCCTCCCACTTTGGCCTCCCGATGTGCTGGAATTACAGATGTGAGCCCTTGTGCCTGCTGAAAATATTTTTATGAAGCTCAAAAATAACAATAAAATAATAATGATGATGATGATGGAAACTTTAGGTAATCACAAAAAACTCAGGATAATAGTTATCACTTGGGATGGAGCTAAAGGGAAAGAGATCAGAGAGAAACACCAGCTGGGTGTAACAGTATTGGTTTGATAAAATGGGTAGCAGAATCAAGTGTGTTTATTTTATTATTATAAGTTATAGCTTAATTATGTATTGTGTGTGTGTGTTTTTTTGTTTAATGGTTTCACTTTTTATTGGTGGAAAATTTCAATTATACAAAAGTAGACTACTATAATATACCTCATATTTCTATCACCCAAGTTCAAAGAGCATCAGTTTATGGGCAATTTCATTTAATCTAATACCCCATCCATTTTATTCCCCTGCTAATTTATTTTTTTATTCAGGATTCAAATAAGGAGTGACCTTTATTTAATTTCTAGATTCCTTTTTATATTTTAATAGACTGTTTTTTATAACAGTTTTATGTTCATGGCAAAATTGAGCAGAAGGTACTGAGATTTCCCACATACTCCCCACCCAACATATGCATGTCTTCTCCCAGGATAATGTATTATTTCTTTTTTGCACTGAATAATATTTCATTATTTGGATGTGCCATTGTTTATTTATCGAATCACTTACTGAAGGACATCTTGGTTGCTTATAAGTTTTGGCAATTATGAATAAAACTCCTATAAACATCTGCGTGCAGGCTTTGTGTGAACATAAGTTGTTAATCACTTTGAGTAAATAGCATGGAGTGTAATTATTGGTTCATATGGTAAGAGTATGTTCGGTTTTGTAAGAAACTACCAAACTGACTTTCAAAGTGGCTGTATCATTTTGCATTCCCACCAGCAACGAATGAGAGTTCCTGTTGTTCCACATCATTGCTAGCATCTGGTATTGTCAGTATTCTGGATTTTGGCCATTCTAATAGATGTGCAATGTATCTCACTGTTTTAATTTGCATTTCCCTGATGACATATGATAGGGAGCATCTTTTCATATGCTTATGTGCCTTCTGTATATCTTTCCTGTTGAGGTATCTCAAGGTTTTTGGCACATTTTTTAATCAAATTGTTTTCTTATTGTTGAATTTTAATAATTCTTTGTATATTTTAATAACAATGCTTTATCAGCTATATATGTTGCAAATATCTTCTTTCAGTCTGTTGTTTGCCTTTCATTCTTTTGATAGTGTCTTTTCCAGAGCAGAAATTTTTAATTTTAACAAAGTCCAGTGTATTAATTATTTGTTTCATGGATTGTGCCTGTGTTGTTGTATTTTAGAAAATCATCTCCAAACCCAAGGTCATCTTGATTTTTTTCTTAATTATCTTCTAGGAGTTTTCCGATTTTGCATTTTACACTTAGATGTGTTATTCATCTTGAGTTAAATTTTGTGAAGGGTGTAAAGTCTAAGTGCAGATTCAGTTTTTTTTTTTTGTTTTTTTTTTTGCAGGTGGATGTCCAGTCATTCAAGTCCCATTTGTTAAATAGATTATCTTTTCTCCATTGTACTGCCTTTGCTCCTTTGTCAAAGATCAGTTGACTGTATCTAATTTCTCAGGTTGGTTAGGCTCTGGTAAAGCCTCAGCATGTTAGGCTCTGGTTAAATAATTCCCCCTGCCTGATATTCACTATGAGCATCTTTTCACACTCTTGTAGGTAAAAGTCACAAAAGGTAGGGTCACACCTATGACTGGGTCCCCCTGGAGTTTTCTCTCTCAGATCTATCCACACTAAGCCTCCAGCAATTCATCAATTACAGTTCAGGTTTCCCCACTTTTGCACTGGTTTCTGAGGAGGTTTGTGTTCATGGGTTCCTGTTTTGATGTGTTGTAACTCTCTCTATTTGCCCGTTGGCCTTTCAATTTTTGGGGGCAGCAGTTTGCCTTATGACCTCATTTCTCTGAATATTCTCAGAAAGTTTGTTGATTTTTCAATTTGCTCAGCTTTTCACTTGTTGTGAGACAGTGGTGACTTCCAGCTTCTTACATTCCAAGGCCAGAAAATGGAGGTTCCTTTTTTTAACGTAACCATACTTTTTGTAAGAAACCTAATGCATGTTGTGTAATGTCTTTTGCTCTCTGCCCAAATTTTGTTCATCCATCCATATAATAGTTTCATTTAATATATTTCTCTGTACTTTGCAAATTGGTAATTAGATATAGAGGCTTGATCTGATTGCTTTATGTTTTTGACAAGATTGTTTACAGATGGTGTGATATACTTCTCTAAGGAGTTATACAATATCTGGATAGCTCTCTTTTGGTGATATTAGCAGTCATTGGTAACTGCATGGATCTATTACTTGACTGGTGTTGCAAATGGTGATATTCTGATAAGTTCTGCATTGGTTACCTGATTCACTTCTTTAAAAAGAAACTTCCTTTCATCAGCTATTTGTTTACTATATATAACAAAGGAAAGACACTATTGATATGACAAACTATTGATACTATAGTATTGATATAACAAAGGAAAGACAGACTACCGGCTCAATTGTTTCCCTTATTTTATCAGTTTTCAAGAAAATGAACTGTCTCTCAGGCAATCTTCAAGGATGCACAATGTTTTACCTGTTATTTTGAAAATAAGGGTTAAGCACATTTGATGTATTTTATTTTATTTTATTTTTATTTTTGGAGACAGGGTCTCTCTCTCTGTCACCCAGGCTAGAGTGTAGTGGCATGATCTTGGCTCACTGCAACCTCCGCCTCCTGGTCTCATGCGATCCTCTCACCTCAGCCTCCTGAGTAGCTGGGACTACAGGCTCTTGATACCATGACTGGCTAATTTTTTTTTATTTGTGTGTGTGTGTGTGTGTGTGTGTGTGTGTGTGTGTGTGTATTTTTGGTAGAGGCAGGATTTCACCATGTTGCCCGGGCTGGTCTTGAACTCCTGAAATCAAGCCCTTCACCTGCCTCGGCCTCCCAAAGTGCCAGGACTACAGGTGTGAGCCACCCTGACCAGCCATTTGACGTATTTTAATCTATTGCAATTATTATCCTTCTTGAAGCTCATTTTTCCCATTTTTGGCTGAGGGGTTTGGGCTTTCTTTTGACATGATGTAGAGCCTTTGAGAATATCCTTACTATCTGGTAGTCAAGTTATTTCACATTCATTGTACATGTTTTCTGACACAAGCCTGGAATCAAGAGTCACCCATTTTTCTAAGCCCAGTTTCTTTTCATGAGAAGTGGTATTTTTTATTTATTATTATTATACTTTAAGTTCTAGGGTACATGTGCACAATGTGCAGGTTTGTTACATAGGTATACATGTGCCATGTTGGTTTGCTGCACCCATTAACTCATCGTTTACATTAGGTATTTCTCCTAATGCTATCCCTCCCCCTGCCCTCCACCCCATGACAGGTGCCTGTGTGTGATGTTCCCTGTCCTGTGTCCAAGTGATCTCATTGTTCAATTACCGCCTGTGAGTGAGAACATGTGGTGTTTGGTTTTCCTTGTGATGGTTTGCTGAGAATGATGGTTTCCAGCTCCATCTATGTCCCTACAAAGGACGTGAACTCATCCTTTTTTATGGCTGCATAGTATTCCATGGTGTATATGTGCCACATTTTCTTAATCCAGTCTATAATTGATGGACATTTGGGTTTGTTCCAAGTCTTTGCTATCGTGAATAGTGCTGCAATAAACATATGTGTGCATCTGTCTTTATAGTAGCATGATTTATAATCCTTTGGGTATATACCCAGTAATGGGATCACTGGATCAAATGGTATTTCTAGTTCTAGATCCTTGAGGAATTGCCACACTGTCTTCCACAATGGTTGAACTAGTTTACAGTCCCACCAACAGTGTAAAAGTGTTCCTATTTCTCCATATCCTCTCCAGCATCTGTTGTTTCCTGACTTTTTAATGATCGCCATGCTAACTGTGAGATGGTATCTCACTGTGGTTTTGATTTGCATTTCTCTGACAACCAGTGATGATGAGCATTTTTTCATGTGTCTTTTGGCTGCATAAATGTCTTCTTTTGGGAAGTGTCTGTTCATATCCTTTGCCAATTTTTTGATGGGGTTGTCTGTTTTTTTCTTGTAAATTTGTTTAAGTTCTTTGTAGATTCTGGATATTAGCCCTTTGTCGATTCTGGATATCAGCCCTTTGTCAGATGGATGGATTGCAAAAATTTTCTCCCATTCTGTAAGTTGCCTGTTCACTCCGATGGTAGTTTCTTTTGCTGTGCAGAAGTTCTTTAGTTTAATTAGATCCCATTTGTCTATTTTGGCTTTTGTTGTCACTGCTTTTGGTGTTTTAGTCATGAAGTCCTTGCCCATGTCTATGTCCTGAATGGTATTGCATAGGTTTTCTTCTAGGGTTTTTATGGTTTTAGGTCTAACATTTAGGTCTTTAATCCATCTTGAACTAGCTTTTGTATAAGGTGTAAGGAAAGGATCCAGTTCCAGCTTTCTACATAAGGCTAGCCAGTTTTCCCAGCACCATTTATTAAATAGGGAATCCTTTCCTCAGTTCTTGTTTTTGTCAGGTTTGTCAAAGATCAGATGGTTGTAGACAGGTGGTGTTATTTCTGAGGCCTCTGTTCTGTTCCATTGGTTTATCTCTCTGTTTTGGTACCAGTGCCATGCTGTTTTGGTTACTGTAGCCTTGTAGTATAGTTTGAAGTCAGGTAGCATGATGCCTCCAGCTTTGTTCTTTTTGCTTAGGATTGTCTTGGCAATGTGGGTTATTTTTCAGTTGGGCAAACCGAATCCAGCAGCACATCAAAAAGCTTATCCACCATGATCAAGTAGGCTTCATCCCTGGGATGCAAGGCTGGTTCAACATAAGTAAATCAATAAACGTAGTCCATCACATAAACAGAACCAATGACAAAAACCACATGATTATCTCAGTAGATGCAGAAAAGGCCTTCGACAAAATTCAACAGCCCTTCATGCTAAAACCTCTCAATAAACTAGGTATTGATGGAACATATTGCAAAATAATAAGAGCTATTTATGACAAACCCACAGCCAATATCATACTGAATGGGCAAAAACTGGAAGCATTCCCTTTGAAAACTGGCACAAGACAGGGATGTCCTCTCTCACCACTCCTATTCAACATAGTGTTGGAAGTTCTGGCCAGGGCAATCAGGAAAGAGAAAGAAATAAAGTGTATTCAATTAGGAAAAGAGGAAGTGAAATTGTCCCTGTTTGCAGATGACATGATTGTATATTTAGAAAACCACATCGTCTCAGCCCAAAATCTCCTAAACCTGATAAGCAACTTCAGCAAAGTCTCAGGATACCAAATCAATGTGCAAAAATCACAAGCATTCCTAAACACCAATAGCAGACAAACAAAGAGCCAAATCATGAGTGAACTCCCATTCACAGTTGCTACAAAGAGAATAAAATACCTAGGAATCCAACTTACAAGGGATGTGAAGGACCTCTTCAAGGAGAACTACAAACCACTGCTCAAGGAAATAAAAGAGGATACAAACAAATGGAAGAACATTCCATGCTCATGGGTAGGAAGAATCAATATCATGAAAATGGCCATACTGCTCAAGGTAATTTGTAGATTCAATGCCATCCCCATCAAGCTACCAATGACTTTCTTCACAGAATTGGAAAAAAACTACTTTACAGTTCATATGGAGAAATGGTATTTTAAGAGCACAATCTGAGTACTAGAAATATTAATCATTCTTAAGCAGGTTGGTTGATAATTGTTTCTGGTCTTTTTTTGCTGGAAAAGCTATACTATCTATCTATTTTTTCTATTTATCTACATACAGATAAATAGTATAATTACTTTGGTTTCTTGCCATCTTTTACTACCATTACTTCCTGTCTTAAGGCAGCAACTATCCAGTAGTTGAGCTACATCCAATACACATTTTTACATTGGGTTTAATTCCTAGCTTTGTCATGTAACCATGTGGTCTTGGACAAGTACTTGACCTTTATTTGCATCAAGTTTATCCTTTATATCAAAAAGGATTGTTGTACTAGTGTACTAAACTCAGAAGTTTCAATAATTATAGAGTTAGTATACAAAATGTGCTTAGAAGAGGGCATGACATAGAGGAGTTACATGTATTAGTTATTATTAATTGTGCAAAAGCAATGTGTAGATTTAATATATTTAAAATTTATAGGCTGGGTGCAGTGGCTTTGCACCTGTAAGCGGTGGCACTTTGGGAGGCCAAGGCAGGTGGATTGCTTGAGTTCGAGACCAGCCTGGGCAACATGGCAAAACCCTGTCTCTACAGAAAATACAAAAATTAGTCAACCCTGGTGGTGGATGCCTGTAGTCCCAGCTACTTGGGAGGCTGAGGTGGGAGGATCATCTGAGCCCGGGAGGCTGAGGCTGCGGTGAGCCATGATCATGCCACTTCAGCCAGGGTGACAGAGTGAGACCCTGTCTCAAAAAAGAAATTATATATATTCTCTCATATTTGCATAAAATTCTGACTTTGTCACTCAATATTGTGCTTTCATAATCTATTTCTGTTGATATTTAATGAGGTTTTTTCCATCATAAAATACATGATATAAATATATTTTTATATATGTTATATATATAGAGAGAGAGAGAGAGAGAGAGAAAGATACATGGAGACAAATAAATATTTGTGTGTGTATTTAGTTTTCCCAAAAAATCTTATTCATTCTCATAATTTTAGTTATAATACATATACTGATAGCTATTAATACATGATATATATTTTTTTACTTCCACTTTCTTCTAAACTCCAAATTCCTATGCCTCCCTATGGCAGATGTAAAATATGGCCACAATATTTTTCAGCTGCCACCATCAAGAAGCTGAATCTGTTTTCCCTATCATTTTAAACTTGGCCAACTTTGTGCCTCATGTTGACCAATAAAACATGGCAGAAATTATGTTGTGCAACTATGACAACAGTCCTTAGGAGGCCAAGTAGTTAACATTTTTACTCTCTTGGAACATTACCTTGTAAGAAAACCAATCTAGCCTATTGAAGGATGGGAAAACACATAGAGGAATACCAGGTGATGAAGATAAAAGCCAGCATAACTCCTAGTTTTATAAATGAGGCCATTTTATACCTCTCCTCCCAGGTGAGCTGATAGAATGACTGTAGTGACATGGGATGGCAACGCACAGCCCCTGCCTGTTCTTGCAGTGCTGTTGGTTGCTTTTGTGCTATAGAAGCAGAGTTCAATAGTTGTGATAGGGACTGTATGGCTCACAGAGCCTAAAATAGTTTCTATCTGATCCTTTACAGAAAAAGTGTGCTGATCCCTGTTTTAAGCCATTAGTTTTTTTTTTGTTTTTTTATAAAGCAATATATAATCTATGTACTCTACTATTCCCCACGCCCACATCTGTCCCTATTCCTGGGTTGTCTTACTCTAACAATATTACCTCTACCTAGTCATTTACTTAAAGAAAAACATTAGAAAGCATGTAAGCATTTCTGCATTTATTATCTTCCATACCTCCCTAATTTATCATCAAATTTTGTTAAACTTGTATTTTACATCTCTATTGGATACATCTCTTGCACAATGTTCTTCAAGATTCCATAAATATTTCCTGGATAATTACAGTTGACTCATTTATTTTATGTTTTTATAAAATAAAACCATGTTTTTGTTAGATACTGGACATAAGCAGATTAATAATCACAGTACTTGTAAACAATAATGAAATAGTATAGTTAAAACATACAAGGTGACAAGTGTTGATAGAGATGAATGGTTAATATTGGGGAAGCACAGAGGAGGGACATTTAATTACATTCAGTTAAGTAAGGCAGGGAAAAGCTTTCTAGTTAAGGTGATTCCTAAAATGAGATATAAAGGGATGAGCAATAGCTAACTATATGATATGGAGTGTATGTTAGGCCCTTCTTGCCTTGCTATAAAGAAATACCTGAGACTATGTAATTTGAAAAGAAAAGCAGTTCAATTGGCTCCTGGTTCTGCAAGCTGTACAAGCATGGCACCAGCATCTGCTCACCTTCTGAAAAGGCCTTTGGAAATTTTTACTCGTGGTGGAAGGGTGCAGGCACTTCACATGGCAAGAACAGGAGCAAGAGAGAGAATTTCCATAATTACTCTTTCTATAGAGTTGATCAGCCTGAGAACATACCTGGGGTCAAACCATTCGTGCTGGCTCAATTTTCTACCTCCTTTCATAATTCCACTGAGGGTGGCGGGGGAACAAAAGAAGGAAAGAAAGAAACAATGGCATGATTCATTTACATTATTGTTTCTTAACTCCAAATTCACCCTTCATTGCCCCGATGGTGATATTGGAGCTGAATCTTATAGACATTTTTCCTTTGCCAGTAGAGTGAGGTGGAATAACAGTGCAGGAGGGTTTCTTCTCTGGATTAGGTGTACCTATTCTCAGTTTGCTATTGCAGCCAGCAGCATGCAGATACATAGTGGTGTTATATTTGAGCATGCCAGTCCCAGGCTGTATTTTCCTCTCTGTCAGCCTTGGCCCAGTGATTGTGGACCAGCTCTGACTTAGGACAGCCCTGTTAACTTTCCCCCCATCCAGTATGCTGCAACCAGAACTTCTCCAGTGAGGTCTGAATCCTAGCTTAGGGAAGGGGCCTCTTTTCAAGTTTATTGCTTTCTTTGGTATTCTTCCTCAGCCCCATGGTATTCTTTAACATTCACTGTCATTTCTTTTTAATAGCTGATTCCCTGTAAATAGTTAATATTTCTTTTCTCATACAATACCTATTCAAATTACCTTCTTTCTCCTGATTGGACCCTGAGTAATACAAAATATTATTTACACATCCAAATATTTAAATGGTACATCTTATCAAAAATAAAACCTTCAGGATGCCAAAATATAGAAAATTTAAAGTATTGGAATATAGAAAGCCTTGTTCAGATAATAATATCAAACCATGGTACTGACTCATATGTTTGACTGTCTTATATAAATTTTTGCTAAGAATGATACATGAGATTAGAAGCAGGGTGTTTTGGCCTCTGTTGAGATTTTCTGAATTGAGATACATTCAAGAATAGGAAGTGATACTTCCATGTCCAGTAATGATAAAACTGCAGGAAGTAGAATGCCCTCCCATCCCTGCCCTGTAATTTAAACAAACTAAAAAAAAAAAGAAATATATGAAACAATTGTTTTCACACACTGGAAAACAGGCAGTACAGAAGAGTAATTCCTTAGAAGAGGAAGCAAGTTAGTTGAATCATAGAATTGCCCCATCTTATTGCCTTGAGTTTTTCCAGGCCACAGGACAAGTAGGACCACCATCACTAGGCCCAAACCGAGCCTTTTACCATATGGGGTATTGAATGATATCCTCAGAAGGGCATTGCCCAGGTAATGAGGCCAAGTCAGCCCTAGACTGACTTGTTCAGTCCCTGTTGGGGAACACCTAGCAAAGCTTAAAAGCAAGTCTTGAAAAGATCAAACCATTTTTAGGTAACTTGTGTCCACCAAACCAAAAAAGGCCCCATAATATTTAAAGAATTACTAAAACAAAACAAAATCCAACACTAACAGCATAATATTCACAATGACTAGAATCTCATGAAAAAAACTGAAAAACATGCAAAAGCAAGAAATTATAGACCATAACAAGGTGAATATGAAGTCAATATAGACATGAAATGACAGAGATAATAGAACTACTAGACAGGCGGATGTTGTAAGAAGGCATATTACATTATTTATTGTAGTAAAAAATGAAGTTAGACATTTTCTAGGAAATGTAGGTCTGAATTGGTTGATTGGCTTGACCATTAGGATTGATTTTGCCTATTCATTTATATGGTGACCATTTTTCAAAAAATGAATGAAATTTATAGTTCCAATGTTTTGACAAAAATGGCATTTTAAAACGTGACATGATAAACTTATGTAGTTTTGGCAAATATATATTTATATTAATAATATTTAGATTTCTCCTACTGCTTTTGAATGTATTAGGTTAAGTAAGGTGCCTCTTAGTGGAAGCATAATGGATATAATTAAGTTATTTGAAAAGTTTTGGTAAAGTCTTTTTGATAGAATTCCTCTAAACTCAGAAATTGAGTGACTCTAACAACTGGGTAAAAAATAATTTTGATGTCAAATGGTTTAAAAATTTTGGCTTTCAATTAAATTAAGAAAGAAATAATTTAGTTGTCAAATGTTAGATGATTATAAATTATTTTTGACGATAGATTGGCATGTGATTTCTTTTGCATGTTACTTGGAAGTTTTAAAGCATTAAGTTAAATTGCTTTAACAAAGTTTTATTTCATTCCCATTTATTCATGCAACTGACGTTTCTTAGGATTTATGCTCATAAAAATGAAAACTAGAATATAACTGGATTTGAATCCTAGCTCATTCTAACAATAAGATAAATAAAATTATCAAATATATAAACAAATTGAGAAGAGGCAGCCTTGCCTATCTCATCAATATATGCATTCCAATAACATTTACTTTTTGTTTTGAAATTATCAAAACTTCTAGTACAGAAGTTTGGCCAATTGTTTACTAATAACTGTAATAATAATTAAACCAGAAGACATATTTGACACAGGTCTTTTGACCACAAGAATTAAAAAATTAACTTCTATAATTTTTTGTTACAGAGAAGACCCTCGAGATAATAAAAAAGTCCTTGATACTTAAAAATATATTTTACCTAAAATCTCATATCGAAAGAGATAAAAATACAAATTTAAGAAGCAAAAGGAATTGTATAAAATTTCTGACTCAAATAAAAGTCTGTCTATAAATTTTTAGTGTATGAATCTTGGTGTCAAATCACCATGCTATTTAACTCTATTGATATTTTTAAATGAGTGATATATCAGTTTTCAATATTTTAGAAATTATATCTTTACGGCCATAAAGATAAAAAATGTAGATGTCAGCTTTGAAATGTGAAAGGTTTACAATGCTTTTCAAAATTCTTCTAGGAAATAAACCAAGCAAACACGTTTCAAACCTAATTCCGTAGGTGACAAAACTGTTTGGAATTTTAATTAGATAAAGGGCATGGTCACGTTATATTTTAGACAAAAATCTGCAGATGCATTAATACCGTGTTAATGCCCTCCTCCAAAGATAGATTTGAGGGAGTCAAGAACATAGGCAGAAAAAATCCTGTAGAAGATGCTTGAGAACTTTTAGGTAATTGATGAGGAAATTGCACAGAGATAATGGCAATAGCATTTACAAATTCTGAAATATTTAGGAGATACAATCATCAAGGGTTGGCCTTCTATCTGGTTCCCTGCTTTGGTCACTCCTTCTTCTAAGCCATCCTCCATGTGGCTACCCAAATAAGTCTTCTAAAACATCCAATTATGTCCTTGTCTTTGCTGAAGTTCTTCAACAGAGTTCCATTATATTAGTCAAGGTAATAGTTAAGATGTTGTAATAAGGATATCCCCAAATTAAATGGCTTAATAAGAGAGATTATTTTTTCCTGTAACAATCCAACAGGCATAAGCAGGTAGGGCAGCTCCTTTTTTACAAGGTCATTCACACACCCAGGTTTCTTTCATTTGGTTAACTCTCATCCTCTAGGGTGTGTCCTCAGCTAGACCGTCAAGACTGACTTGCCACCATGATATCCACATTATTTGAGGCCATTGGAAGGAGAAAATTAGTGTATTAGTCAGGGTCCTCCAGAGAAACAGAAGTAGGGGTGTGTGTGTGTGTGTGTGTGTGTGTTGTGTGTGTGTGTGTGTGTGTGTGTGTGTGTGTGTGTGTGTAAAATAAGGAACTGGCTCAGCAATTATGGAGACTGACAAAGCCCAAGATTGTCAGTCAGCAGGCTGGAGACCCAGAAGAGGCTATGTATAGTTCCAGTCTGAGTTCAAAGGCCTGAGTTCCCACTTATTCGCGATAGGGCTGAGCTTTTTGTTCCATTCATGCTTTCAATGGATTGGTTGGGGCTCACTCACATTGGGAAAGGCAATCTGCTTTATTCAGTGTATTGATTCATTGTTAATCTCATCCAAAACACCCCCACAGACACATCCAGAATAATGTTTGACCTAATATCTCGGCACCCCATGGCTCAGTCAATTTGACACATAAAATTAACCATTGCAATTAGTAAATTCATATTAGCAATTTTTTTAAATCAAGTTTTCATATTGTACACATTACTTCTACCTACATTCCACTCGTGAGAACTCACTCATGTGACTGCACCTGGGTGTGTGGGAGGCTGAAGAATACGGTCTCTAGCTAACTGGCCATGTGCCGATGAAAGAGAGAAGCACAGATTTAGGGAGACAACTATCAGTCTGCCCGTCATATATGAAGAATTGTGTTCAAAGCACATCACTTCTTCATCCAATCAACAAGTATCTGGCTCCTACTTAGTCCTTACCCTACCCAACTACCTCTGCATTTAATTATTTAATTGCACTTGACTATATTTTCATGCACTCTTATAGTGTCATGCTTTTGTTCATAAAACTACAATTGACTAGAATGCTCTCTTCCCAATTTTGTTTCTTTTCTGCCAATTGTGCATTTCTTTTTCTCTAATAATAGGTTTAGCTGGGTCCTCTTATGCTGAGTAAAGTGTAGCAGATTACCAGAATGAAGTTGCTGAGGGATGATTCTTAGTAGGGAAAATGTGAGTAGAATTTACACTCAATATAGGCTTATATCAGGGGTTCCCAACCCCTGGGCCAAGGACCAGTACCAGTCTGTGGCCTATTAGGAGCTGGTCTACACAGTTCTCATAGGAGTGCAAACCCTATTGTGAACTGCGCATGTGAGGTGTCCAGGTTAAGTGCTCCTTATGAGAGTCTAATGCCTGATGAACTGAGGTGTAACAGTTTCACCCCAAAACCATCTCTCCCCCACACCAGTCCATGGAGAAATTGTCTTCCACGAAATGGTTCCTGGTGCCAAAAAGTTTGGGGACCGCAGGCTTAGATTACCTTCTATATACCTGGTGCTTAAATGGATGACAGTTCTGCCCAATAGCAAAAAAAGTGGGTGTGATTCAGAACTTGTATATATAGGAATTTGTGCGTGGTGGGGAGGTTTCTGTCTTCTCTTTTCAGTCTCTTTGGTCAGTCATATACTGAAACTGATATTTGATTGTTATATTGCTCCTTTTTTTTTTCTTATTCTTTAGTTTCACTGTTGTTGAGAACTGCTTTAAGAAAGGGAAAAAACTAGTAATATAAACATGTATTCTTGTATTTGATTTTCTAAAAACCACTAAAATTACTTTCTAAGAAATTTCTAAATTTGTATTTCTCTTATAGGTCAGTGCCCTTGGGAGATAAGAGGTAAAATTACAGTAAATGTTTTAGATTTTTACTTCCTCACTTTATATAAACTTCCTATGCTAGTTAACATCACTTTTATGGCATTCATCTCTTATTTACTGGCAACATGATTTTCAAAGTATAATATTATTTCAAAAACCTTTCTCAGTTGAGAAGACTTTTTCAATGAGCATTCTGTAAGATAATTAAATGCTACACCAATGTTTGAGCAACTATCTTCAATTCTCCTAGAGGTGGCACATAGTTTGGACAATTCTAGATGCATAGAAGATAAGTTAATTCATGATACGTGATGAAAAATCTTACGGCACTGAGGCTTAATTGTCCTGGAAACTTAGTCCTAGATAGAGACTAGCCAAGGGATTCCAAACTCTTAAACAAAAGGCCTGTCCTTCTGAAATAGAAATGTGAGATTTCTATCTTATTTTTATAGTGATAGAAGTAGGCATATTTGAAGTGTAAAGTGAAAAGTGTAATCTTATGATTTAAAATGCATGAGGTTTACTATTTTCTATTTATATCATAAGTAACAGTTTTACATTACTCTAAGAAGTGTTTAATACCAATAAAGAGAACTGGTTTTATAAAACTACTACTATAAGAAAGTTAAAAATAACAAAACCTTGGGACTAAGAATACAAATATATTTTAAAATATTTGTAGCTAAAAGAGTTTGTAATTAAACAATTAGATATTATTATAAGCATTTGGGACTTCCCTATCTTTTCTTTTAACTTCTAAGAGCAGATGCGTACTAATATTATAGATTTGGTATAAATTTGAATTGGATGTAATCATAATATTTTGAAATGTTTTTATCAAGTACTAGCATAGTTTTCTGTTACATAGAAGACAATAAATATTAGCTGCTGTCTTCTTCTTCTCCCTCCTCCTCTTCCTCCTTTTGACCCACCTCTTTCTTTTCCTCTCCTCCTTCCCCTTTCCTTCTCTTCCTCCTTTTTTTCTTTCTTTTGCTTTCCTTCTCTCTCTCCTTTACTCAGGAACAAAGTTATCAGAGTGTACTGTTATGTATGAAAATTTTTTAAGGCAGAAGACAAGAGAATGTGCCTTTTTTAGAATCACTGGGAAAATATCTTACAGAATCAAACTATTTGAATCTATATTTTTTTTTCCAGCAACTGGAACATATTACCTCATTTCAAGGTTATACCTGTTATAATTGTATTGGGCTTTGTATGTTATATTTGAGTTGTTTTGTTTAGGTTTGTTCTAATAGTCCCAGCTGCTATTATACTTCAGTTAATGCTTGATAGCTGGAGGAAGACACTAGAAGAGGTGTGACATTTTCCCTGAATTATAGAGAATGAAGAAAATATTAAGAATAGACAGAATCATCTATTTAATTTACCTTTAAAAATTGAAAAAGAAGGGATTATATTTACCAAGTCCCTAATTTATGTAATTGTTTTGCTTATACCAGTGTTCTCCTGGGACCCTCATGATACTTTGAAGTGAATCCCATTATCCACTGTTATATAGAGTCCTGGAAGAACTACATAACATCCTTCAAGTCTACCAATCAGTCATTGGCAGTGTTAGAATTCAAACCTTGATTTGCCTAATTTCAGCATCTCTTTTCTACAAAGTTCCCTTACAAACAACGAAGAAAGAGGAAGATAGAACAATACACTTCTTGAGCATCTGTAATAGACTAGGCCTTGTGAAAGATGCTTTATATACACATTTTCTCAATACTTCCTGATATGGTTTGGCTCTGTGTCCCTGCCCAAATCTCATCTTGAATTGTAGTTCCCATAATCCCCACGTGTCATGGGAGGGACCCAGTGGGAGGTAATTGAATCATGGGGGCATTTCCCCCATGCTAGTCTTGTGGATAGTGAGTAAGTTCTCACGAGATCTGATGGTTTTTTAAGAGGCTTCCCCTTCACTCAGCTCTCATACTTCTCCCTCCTGCCATCATGTGAAGAAGGACATGTTTGCTTCCCCTTCATCCATGATTGTAAGTTTCCTGAGGCCTCCCCAGCCATGCAGAACTGTGGGTCAATTAAACCTCTTTCTTTTATAAATTACCGAGTCTCAGGCAGTTCTTTATAGTAGCATGAGAATGAACTAATACACTTCCCAAACCCCAGTCTCTCATCTACTATCATGAACATTTTTGTCACTAAAACTAATGTTTTTTCTAGATTGCCTTAAAAAAAAGGAAAAACAAAACAAAATCTAAAGGAAATTCAAACAATGTAAATGGAAATTGAGTACATGAAAATCTTCACCAGTGACACACATCATATCCATTATCAACACTTCTGAATAGTTATTCTAAAAGTTCAGTTTTTAAAGGCTTAAAATATTTACAGGCGTGCCCAAACACTGTGCCTATTACTCATGTTGTTGTCTAAATTGGATACACAGGGGCCTACCCACTTTGTCCCTAATTTACATAATAATAACTGGCACGTTTCATGTGTAAAAACCCTATTTTAAAATAAACATATTCATAAACATATATAATTATTAAAATTTAAAAGATTCCCATAAAATTTATCTCACATGTAAATAAGGTAACCAGCCATTCCAACTTGTCTCAGGCAGTGGGACTTTCTACGCTAAAAGTGGGACAATTCCACAGACAAGCCAGGAAGTATGTACTATATTGGGAAAATATGGCATTATCTCATGTAATATTTATCCAGCCATTCAGTTAGATATAATTATCCCTCTTATATACTTGAGAATCCAGGCACAAGGTATCTTCTAAAACAACTACTATTTTTTTTTCAGGTAGAGTCTCAGTGTGTCACCCAGGCAGTGGCACGATCAATGCTCACTGCCACCTTGACCTCCTGGGCTCAAGTGATCCTACTACCTCAGTCTCCCAAGCAGCTGGGATCACAAGTGTGCACTGCCACACCTGGCTAATTTTTTTTCAATCTATTTTTTGTAGAGATAGGGTTCTCACTATGTTCCCCAGTCTTAAAACAGAGACTATCAAATCACATATTCAAAACTAGGTCTTAAAATAGATAGATTTTAAAATAGATGGATTTTAAAAACACTACACTTTTTTTTTTTGTCCAGCACATTTTCTCAGGGAAAAATAACATTAACAAATAATATGCTAAATTCTGACTCAATTAAGAAACTTTTGAGCTTTCTAACCATCCCTCAGATCCCTCTCAGCCTGTTCAGGATGTCCAGCATACCACCCTGTCCTCCTCCATTTATTCTGCTCTTTGTCAGAGCTGTTGCTATAGCCTCTCCATTTTAGCCCTCTCCCCATGGCCCTCTTCTACTTTATCTCTTCTCGTGTGGCACTCTCAAATTCCAGGAAAAAAACTTTTTTTTTTTTTTTTAAAAAACCTCCTCCCCTTTTACCCAAACCAATCTTGAATCAGTGTTTTCAACTCTCCCTTGCAATGAATTCTGCCTTACTCTCTAGGATCTTTCTTTATGCACATAAACTTCTGGCAGTTCTGCTTCACTGGACTTTGCCAGGTCATGTGGCTATTGTCAGGTCATGTGGCTATTGAGAATTTGGAATGCAGCCAGTCCAAATTGAGTAGGCCAGGAACTATAGAATATACATAGGATTTTTTAGATTTAATATTTTACAAAGTAAAATAGATCATTAAAATATGTTATATTGATTAAACAAGGGAATTATAACCTTTTGAATCTGTTAGGTTAATGAAAATATAATATTGAAATCAATTTCACCTGTTTCTTCTTTTTTTTAAAAAAAAATGTTGCTACTAGAAAGTTTAAAATGACATCTATGGCTCATGTTTCTATTGAACAATGTTGTCCTACAGTATCATGATACCTTCACATAGCTGAGACTAGAGAATGCATCTAGCAGGGGAGTTCCCATCCATTCTTATTTTATTTATCCATCCATCCATTCAGTTATGTAACATATACTAATTAGGTTTTATGGGTATACCCACTATACCCACTATATGGATATAGTGATGGAAAAATAAACACAGTCATTCTCTTCATTTATCTTACAGTTTAGTGAAGGAAAAAAATCATTAACCAAATATTTCACAAGTAAATGTATAATTAGAAGCTATGTTAAATACTAAGTTGGAAAGACATCCCCTTATCTGCAGGGGATACGTTGTAAGATCCCCAGTGGATGCCTGAAACCAAGGATAGTACTGAAACTGACTGCCGTCAATCAGAACACATTTCTGTTTATGTCTCCCATCCACAAATTCAATGCCTTTTCCATCTTAACAAAGCACTTACTATGGGCTGTGGCTGTAAGTCTTGTAGTTGAGGTTCCACAGCAAAACTAGCATACATTTCTTTTTCCCTTCTTAATTTCGTGGACATAAGATTTGTTCTTACTGTAGATCTTAGCAGTCTCAGTATACAATTTTTTTTGTTTTCTTAAGTCAAGAGCTTTCACCTTTTTAATTAAAAGGAAGCACTTTGCAGCTTCTCTTTGACATATCCAAATTGCCAGCATCACTACCCTTGCACTTTAGGGTCACTACTAAGTAAAATAAGGGTTACTTGAACACAAGCACTGTGATACTGTGACAATTGTTCTAATAACCAAGAGGGTTACTGAGTGACTAAGGGACAGGTAGCACAGACAGTGTGGATATGCTGGATGATTCATGTCCCAGGCAGGGTAGAGTGGGACACTGCAAGATTTCATCACATAACTCAGAAAAGCATGCAATCTAAAACTTATGAATTGTTGATTTCTGGAATTTGCCATTTATTTGTTTTAATGGCAGTTGACTGTGGGTAACTGAAATTTTAGAAATCTAAACTGTGGATTGGGAACAGGGTGTGGGGGGTACCTATTGCTATAAAGGAATACCTGAGACTGGGTAAGTTATAAAGAAAATACTTTATTCAGCTCAAGGTTTTGCAGGTTGTACAAGAAGCACGGTACCAGAATTTTGTTCTGATGAGGAAGCTTGCCCTCATGGTGGAAAGTGAAGTGGAGGGAGCAATTGTGATTCAACATATGTGAAGGGGATAGATATCCAAACTATGTTAATGACTATATGGATTATAAGAGCCAGACAGAAGGTTACCTAGTGTAGACTATGTTCATGGAGTATAAAGAAATGCCTCTCTGAGGGACTGGGCATTTGGCCTCATAGCTAAAGTATAAGCAGTGGTTAAACTAAGGCAGAGTGGGATAAAAAGAGAGAAAGTATCATTTCAGATGAGCCTTTTCAGGGCATTGGAGCAAGAGGGCTTATGGCACCAAAACAGAACAAGATAAAAGCAGTTATCCAAATGAAGTTAGAGAGGTAAAGACCAAATCACAAAATCTTGAGGAGACAAGGGGCTGGAGGGAGACATCAGCAATGGCTTTTGCAAAGTTGTATTGACATGGTTGAAGCTCGTGGGCAATTTTTGTTAGGGTAAGGGGCTCTATCAAGGTTATTTGTTGTTGTTTGTTATATTGTTTGCTTTTCTTCCTTTGGCACAGCTTTGAAAATGTGCCATGAAAATGTGGAAATGCCAGGTATTTTTTTTCTTTAGAGTTTAATTACAGAGCTCTTTTTGGCAAGGTTATTTGGACTTAGTCATGCCAAAGTAAACGTTCAATAAGGATAGAAAAGAAGAGGACTTTCTGGAATTTATATGTAACCTTCACACCTCCTCCCACCCTGACAGCCAGGCAGGAATCCAACTGAAAGAACCAAAAAAGAAAAAAAAAAGAGAGAAAAGAAAAAGAAAAAAGTTTCTTAAGGGGAAAGAAGGGATCTTTTTTGTTATTCATTCTCATCCGAAGATTATTTTCTTTATGAGCTCTTCTCTATACAAATCTTGGTAGATTTGTTTTGTTGCTATTTTTATTTCTTGTTTTGTTTTATTTTTTGTAAGACAGATTCTTTACTTGATTATTACTAAACATTGGCATCAGTTCTAAGAATGGTTGTGGTAATACGTGCAAAAGCATAATTTGTTATCAAGTGCTGCATAAAAATTATTTCTGTGATGCTTAATCAGTGAAGATCACAGCTTCCCGCTCAAATGCTATCTGCATTACTTATACATATCCTCTTTTATTCAAATGAGTGAAGAAAGAAAAGGAAAAGACTTCACAGTGAAAGATACAGCAAGTCATTTCCCATAGTTATAAACTTCATCCACTTAAACTACAAATTATTCTGGGAAAAGATCTAAAAATAACCATAAATCTGTAGGACTGCATGGGAAATTATCATTCATGCAGAATTGCTGTTTGTATTTTTGTCTCTCAAATAGACTACTTTCTGTTTTACTTTTTGGACAACACATGGTTAACTGGTTTAGGACATTATAAAACATTAGGGAGACTGACCTATTTCCTGACATGCTATGCAGATCACATTCAAAATATGCTTTATCATACCTGCAGCAAAAATAAGTATGCACTGGAAACTTGTCACTGCAGCTTTTTTTTTTTTTTTGAGAAAACCAAATGTATTTACTAATTTATAAGACTTTTCAGAAAAACCTTTCCAAATAACATAAAAAGAAAACTTGGAGACAGATTAAAATTTTCCAAGTGGAATCAAAGTTTAAAACTAATTAGATTATGAATAAGAATACATAACTGAAAAACTATTTAATGATGCTGATTTTAGACTGGAATGGATTATCCACTTTATGTGTATGCAAATTTCACTATCCCTTGTCCTTTTTTCTCTTATTTTCTGATACCAACAGCTTTGTTTCTTACAATCACTCAATCATCTTTAGCTTGTTTTCTTTCCCTTTCTTTCTGGAAGAAAAGTAGAGGAGCCCAGTGACCTTCCCACTCTTTTTATTGCATAGAAAAACAAGTTACTACCTTCAAGAGTGACAAATTAACTATACTAAATTATAAGCTCTGGCTAGAATCATTCATCCATGCTCATTCAAGCATTTCCATGAGTTAGTAAATGCCCGGGATGCTCTATATGAGAAGTTTAACTTGAATGTTTAACAAGAACATCTTTTGCCACATTATTTTCTCTAACCAACTCCTTATTCATACTGGATGCTGAAGAATCTCACCACTACTTTAAGAATTATGTCAAAGTCTAAAATCTTCATAATTCCAGGTTGTGTGATAAATTTTAAATTCTTGTGATGAAGATGTTGGGAGACAGAGAGTCTGAGCTTTCTTTCTGAGTGTCTCCTTCCTAATGACTTCAGAATCCTGGAATAATCTCAATAGGACCAGAGCTGGGCACATGCCTTTCTATTCTGGGTTGTAAAAATTTTGCATTTAGGATTGTTGAACAAACACGGTTTTGATTTTTTAAAAATTCTTTTTTAATTTTGGTGGGTACATAGTAGGTGTATATATTTATGGGGTACATGAGATATTTTAATAAAGGCAAACAATGTATAATAATCACATCAAGGTAAATAAGATATCCGTCACCTCAAGCGTTTATCCTTTGTGCTACAAACAATCCAATTATACTCTGTTATTTTAAAATGAATAATAAGTTATTATTGACTGTAGTCATTTTGTTGTGCTATAAAAGACTAGATGTTATTTATTCTATCTAACTGTATTTTTATACCCATTAACCATTCCTACTTCCCCTATCACCCCCCACTACCTACTTCCCAGCCTCTGGTAACCATCATTCTACTCTCTATCTTCATGAGTTCAATTGTTTTAATTCTTAGCTCTCACAAATGAATGAGAACATGTAAAATTTGTCTTTCAATGCCTGGCTTATTTCACTTAACATGAATTCTGGTTCCTTCCATGTTGATGCAAATGACAGAATCTTATTCTTTTGGATGGCTGAATAGTACTCCACTGTATATATATACCACATTTTCTTTATCCATTTATATGTTGACAGACACTTCAGTTTCTTCCAAATCTTGGATATTGTGAATAGTGCTGCAATAAACATGGGAGTATATTATCTCTTTGATTTACTGATTTCTTTCTTTTGAGTATATATACCTAGCAGCGGGACTGCTGAATTATATGATTTAGCTTTTGAGGAGCGTCCAACTGTTTCCATAGTGGTTGTACAAATTTACATTCCCACCAACAGTGTACAAGAGTTCTCTTTTCTCCACATCCTTGCCAGCATTTGTTATTGCCTATCTTTTGGATAAAAGCCATTGTAACCGGGATGAGATGATTTATGGTTGTAGTTTTGAGTTGCGTTTCTCTGATGATCAATGATTTTGAGCATGTTTTCATATGCCTGTTTGCCATTTGGATGTCTTTTTTTGAGAAATGCCTATTCAGATTTTTTGACCATTTTTTAAATGGGATGATTAGATTTTTTCCTATAGAGCTGTTTGAACTCTACATATTCTGGTTATTATTCCCTAGTCAAGTGCGTAGTTTTTAAATATTTTCTCTCATTCTGTAGGTTGTCTCTTCACTTTGTTTATTGCATCCTTTGTTGTGCAGAAGCTTTTTAACTTGATGTGATCCCATTAAGCACAGTTATGATTTATAAAAGTAAATATTTGTCACCAAATAGAGTGCCGATTACAGTACTAGGCTGAGAAACAGCACGACCAAACCCCTGAGATAAGAGAGAGCTTGGCTTGTTCAGAGGAATGCAAATGCTATTGTTTATTATGATTGGAGCTTAGAACACAGAAAGTTGGCACCATGACCTAGGGAGGTGAAAAGGGGCCCAATCGTTATAGGCCCTGAATGCCATATTAAGGAGTTTCCAAGTCACTGTTTCTTGCCACTGAGGCTCCTTCTCCCTCTAGGGAAGGCAAATACATTCTTTCCCATGCTTCCACCATTCAGACCCACTCTGGTGGATAAGCTTTGCTAACTGTCACAATCTCAACTTTAGTTAGACCAAAATCCAAGCTCCAAGTCACCCATTGCATTATTCCCTGCATCAACAGAAGGAACTCAATGAGCTGTTAACTATAGCTAACCAAGCCACGTGCAATTCTCCAAAGATTTCAAATATCCAGCCATGAACAAATAAATGGCTATGAAAATGTTTTTTGGTATACTGCATTGTCTATTCTGAATGAGTACTTGATAGTTCATAATGTTAATTAGGAGAAACAAGATGAAAAGAGGGTTCCACATTCAATCACTATTTACCAACACTCCATTTTGTGCAAGGCTAGGGGTTCTACTACACGCTAAAGGATATAAAGGTAAATAAAGCTCAGCTTCTGCTTAGAGAGAACTTATAATCTTGCAGAGTAACAACCCAGGCTTACTATGGAGGGAAATAGCTGGGATTTGGAGGCAATTAGAAAAAGAATTTAACACGTCTAGCTTGCACAATGCCTGGCTCAAAGTAGGTGCCTGAAAAATGCTGCTGCCGTTGATGAAGATGTTATACAGGAAAGTGCCAGGAAAATTATTTCTAACAGTGAGGAATACGGGGCATTTATTCTTTATGCAGAACATTGAAGGCTGAATAAGATTTCAATAAGTAAAGATTTAGGACATGATTATTCCCAGATGATCTAACCTGATTAAATGAAATAGCAGGATTAGAAAGTTCAAGACAAGGTTTGACCAGGAGGAAGCTCTGAAAGAAGCACAGTTCTCAGGGAAAGTGAAAAGCTCCTTAGGAAGCAGTTGCAACAGGCTAGGTGAGAGACAAGGAGGACCTGACCCAGAACTTTGGCACATTCACCTTTTGTGCTTAGATGTCTGACTATCCCTTTATTTAAATCTAGGTATGAAGTCTGAGGTTGTGCTTTTCTAGGACATGACCCCAGCAGTATGTCTTTGACATTTACTTCATTTTAAAAATAAAAGTGGCATTTTTCAAATGAAAATCCATTGTCTCTTTCTCTAGTCACAGTGTTCCTTCAAATAGAGGGTCTAATTGTCTACAAATTGAGATGTCTTAATTTTGTCAGTTTAGCTAAAGCTTCTCTTGTTTTAAAAGATAAGCCAATTCAAGAGAAAGATCTACCAAGATGATCCACCCAAATGTACTACTTTTAAAAGAACTTTGTTTTCACTCATACATTCTGATTTGTTCTTTTTTTGAACTTTCACAGCTTGAGGATGTTTACAACACATACAAGTCCTTCATATTTCTAGTCTTGTGTTAGGTATAAGAGAAGGTCATGATCCAGATAACTTATTAGTTGAGATGATGCTCCATTTTGTATTTTCATGAGTTCAAATCCTTTTGTAAAACTCTAAGTTTTGTTTTATTTATCTTTTACTGCATGCCTTTCTTCAGATTTCCATGAAAGAGTACTTAGAAGCTTTAACTAATCTATGATATTTAATCCTGTTGGTAATACATGTGTGCTATGCTGAACACACATTGTTCTCCAATTTACTGTGTTTCTTTGTCTTTTCTCTGTGCATAATTGGATGTTAATATGACAAATGTAGTAGGAGGTTTTCTACCCTATGAGATTTCCTGGCTGCAAATGTTTGGAAACATCTAAAATTTTCTGCCTAATACTTCCTCAAAATTACATGTAGTGCTCTGTCTGGAAGTACTCTTGAGAAACATGGAAAGGTTTTTATTGACATTAAACAGTTGAAGATAGTAATTAACATAATAGTCTTCATGTTCAGCAATAATACTTTAACTTTCTAAATAAACTCTTTTAACCTAAGGAATTCTCTTCCAATATCTTATTTTCTCATGCTCTAAAAGTAAAGTCTTTCCTGTAGCTTAATAGCCTTACAGAGCCAGAAAACAAAGCCACTGCTGTTAATCTGAAAAGGAAAATTTAACATCTTATTTATGCATGATAAATAATTAATTTGAGTTGGCTATCATGGTAAATTATCATTTACTCCCCAGTGTGTCAACTCCTTAAATGCACTAATTTCTAGAAAATCTTTTGGAATTTCCTAAGTGACATTGACATCCATGGAAAAGGAAGTATTTGTGCTTAAATAAGCTTTCTTGTCAAGGTCAAAACAGATTATACTCTTCTGCTTCATTCTAATTTTTTGGTTTAACTTATCAGAATTATATTAAAATGCGTTGTAAATTGTCTTCTCTTCCCTGGAAATTTAGAAAGGTTTGTGTCAGGCCTCTGAGCCCAAGCTAAGCCATCATATCCCCTGTGACCTGCATGTACACATCCAGATGGCTGGTTCCTGCCTTAACTGATGACATTCCACCACAAAAGAAGTGAAAATGGCCTGTTCCTGCCTTAACTGATGACATTATCTTGTGAAATTCCTTCTCCTGGCTCATCCTGGCTCTAAAGCTCCCCTACTGAGCACCTTGTAACCTCCACTCCTGCCCACCAGAGAACAACCCCCCTTTTTCGTCTCCTGCCCACCAGAGAACAACTCCCCTTTTTCGTTTACCTACCCAAATCCTATAAAACGGCCCCACCCCTATCTCCCTTTGCTGACTCCCTTTTCAGACTCAGCCGGCCTGCACCCAGGTGAAATAAACAGCCCTGTTGCTCACACAAAGCCTGCTTGGTGGTCTCTTCACACGGATGTGCATGAAATTTGGTGCCACGACTTGGATTGGGGGACCTCCCTTGGGAGATCAATCCCCTGTCCTGCTCTTTGCTCCGTGAGAAAGATCCACCTATGAACTTCCACCCTCCATTCCTCCTTCTTCTCCCTTAGCCTGTGTTCTTAAGAACTTAAAACCTCTTCAACTCTCTCCTGACCTAAAATCTAAGCGTCTTATTTTCTTCTGCAACACTGCTTGGCCCCAATACAAACTTGACAATGGCTCTAAATGGCCAGAAAACAGCACTTTCGATTTCTCCATCCTACAAGACCTAAATAATTTTTGTCAAAAAATGGGCAAATGGTCTGAGGTGCCTTACATCCAGGCATTTTTCCCACTTCATTCCCTCCCTAGTCTCTGTTCCCAATGCGATTCCTCCCAAATCCTCCTTCTTTCCCTCCCGCCTGTCCCCTCTGTCCCAACCCCAAGCATCGCTGAGTCTTTCCAGTCTTCCTTTTCTACAGACCCATCTGACCTCTCCCCTTCTCCCCAAGCTGCTCATTGCCAGGCCGAGCTAAGTCCCAATTCTCCCTCAGCTTCCGCTCCTCCACCCTATAATCCTTCTATCACTTCCCCTCCTCACACCCGGTCCAGCTTACAGTTTAGTTCCGTGACTAGCTCTTCCCCACCTGCCCAACAATTTCCTCTTAGAGAGGTGGCTAGAGCTGAAGGCATAGTCAGGGTACATGTACCTTTTTCTCTATCAGACCTCTCTCAGATCAGTCAGCGTTTAGGCCCTTTCTCATCAGACCCCACTAAATATATACAGGAATTCCAATATCTAACTCTGTCCTACAATTTAACCTGGAGTGACTTAAATGTTATCCTGATTTCTACCCTCTCCCCAGATGAACAGGAAAGAGTTTTTTCTCTAGCCCAATCTCATGCTGATAACCGCTGGCTTCAAGAACCAGACCTCCAGGAAGGCATTAGAGCAGTTCGCTGAGAGGATCCCCAATGGAACTATCAGGCAGATTCCACAGGTATAGCTAGGCAAGATTACATGATTTCCTGCCTAGCTGAAGGGCTTAAAAGGGCAGCTTACAAAGCTGTTAATTATGACAAGCTTAAAGAAACTACCCAAGGTAAAGACGAAAACCCAGCCCAGTTCATGGCCCGCTTAGCAGCAACCCTTAGACGCTTTACCGCCCTAGACCCAGAAGGGCCAGAAGGCGGTCTTATTCTTAATATGCATTTTATCACCCAATCCACTCCTGACATTGGGAAAAAACTTCAAAAGTTAGAATCTCGCCCTCAAACCCCACAACAGGAATTAACCTCGCCTTCAAGGTGTACAATAATGGAGAGGAGGTAGCCAGACAGCAATGCATTTCTGAGTTACAGCTGCTTGCCTCCGCTGTAAGACAGCCCACAACCACGTCTCCAGCATACAAGAACTTCAGAACATCCAAGTCACAGCTCCCAGGGGCTCCTTCAAAACATCCTCGTGGGCCTTGCTTCAAATGCCAAAAGCATAGCCACTAGGCCAAGGAGTGCCTGCAGCCTGGGATTCCTCCTAGGATGTGCCCTGTCTGTGCGGGCCCCCACTGGAGGTCAGACTGTCTGACTCACATCGCCGCCACTCCTAAAGCCCCTGGAGCCCAAACCCAACGTTCCTTGGCTGACTCCTTCCCAGATCTCCTTGGCTTTGTGGCTGAAGACTGACGCTGCCCGATCGCCTTGGAAGCCCCCTGGACCATCACGGACACCGAGCTTCAGGTAACTCTTACAGTGGAGGGTAAGTCTGTCCCCTGTTTAATTGATATGGGGGCTACCCACTCCACATTACCTTCTTTTCAAGGGCCTGTTTCCCTTGCCCCCATAACTTTTGTGGGTATTGACGGCCAAGCTTCAAAACACCTTAAAGCTCCCCTACTTTGGTGCCAACTTGGACAACCTTCTTTTAAGCACTCTTTTTTAGTTATCCCCACCTGCCCAGTTCCTTTATTAGGCCGAGACATTTTAACCAAATTATCTGCTTCCCTGACTATTCCTGGACTACAGCCACATCTCATTGCCACTCTTCTTCCCAACCCAAAGCTTCCTTTGCGTCTTCCTCTTGTATCCCCCTACCTTGACCCACAAGTATGGGACATCTTTACTCCCTCCCTGGCAACCGATCACATGCCCATTACCATCCCATTAAAACCTAATCACCCTTACCCTGCTCAACGCCAGTATCCCATCCCACAGCACGCTTTAAAGGGATTAAAGCCTGTTATCACTCGCCTGTTACAGCATGGGCTTCTAAAACCTATAAACTCTCCTTACAATTCCCCCATTTCACCTGTCCAAAAACCTCACAAGTCTTACAGATTAGTTGAGGATCTGTGCCTTATCAACCAAATTGTTTTGCTTATCTACCCTGTGGTGCCCAACCCATACACTCTTTTGTCCTCAATACATTCCTCCACAACTCACTATTCCATTCTTGATCTTAAAGATGCTTTTTTCACTATTCTCCTGTACCCCTCATCCCAGCCTCTCTTTGCTTTCACTTGGACTGACCCTGACACCCATCAGTCCCAGCAGCTTACCTGGGCTGTGCTGCCGCAGGGTTTCAGGGACAGCTCTCATTACTTCAGCCAAGCTCTTTCTCATGATTTACTTTCTTTCCACCCCTCCGCTTCTCACCTTATTCAATATATTGATGACCTTCTTCTTTGTAGCCCCTCCTTTGAATCTTCTCAACAAGACACCCTTCTGCTCCTTCAGCATTTATTCTCCAAAGGATATTGGGTGTCCCCCTCCAAAGCTCAAATTTCTTCTCCATCCGTAATCTACCTCAGCATAATTCTTCATAAAAATGCACATGCTCTCCCTGCCAATCGTGTCCGACTGATCTCTCAAACCCCAACACCTTCTACAAAACAACAACTCCTTTCCTTCCTAGGCATGGTTGGATACTTTCGATTTTGGATGCCTGGTTTCGCCATCTTAACAAAACCATTATATAAACTCACAAAAGGAAACCTAGCTGACCCCATAGATCCTAAATCCTTTCTCCATTCCTCTTTCCGTTCCTTGAAGACAGCTTTAGAGACTGAAGCCACCCTAGCTCTCCCTGACTCATCCCAACCCTTTTCATTACCCACAGCTGGGCTGGAAGTGCAGGGCTGTGCAGTCAGAATTGTTACACAAGGGCCGGGACCACGCCCTGTAGCCTTTTGTTCCAAACAACTTGACCTTACTGTTTTGCCTAGCCCTCAAGTCTGCATGCAGCAGCCACCACTGCCCTAATACTTTTAGAGACCCTTAAAATCACAAACTATGCTCAACTCACTCTTCTACAGTTCTCATAACTTACAAAATGTATTTTCTTCCTCACACCTGACACATATACTTTCTGTTCCCGTGCTCCTTCAGCTATACTCACTCTTTGTTAAGTCTCCCACCATTACCATTGTTCCTGGCACAGACTTCAATCCGCCTTCCGCATTATTCTGGATACCACACCTGATCCTCATGACTGTATCTCTCTGATCCACCTGACAGTTTGTATATGGTTTGTTGACATTCCAAACACACTCCTTTTTCTCCTCCTTATATACCTCCTTTTAAGTGATCTCATCAACACTTGTGACTGTAAATATCACATTTATGTCAAGACTCTCAGATTTAGAATCTCCAGCTAGAATCTTGTTTGTCCTCTAGGCCAGTATGTCTTAATGCCATCCTGAAATCTGAACATAAAGTCTCAAAAAGGTCTCAAACTTAACATTTCCCAAGCCAAACCCAGGCCAAACCCCTTTTTTTCCACCCCTGAATACTTCAACTTCTCTCCCAGCCTAACTTTCTCAGTGAATGCCTCTGTCATGGACCTCATTGCAGTGAATGGCAGTATCATTGGCCAAATAAAAATATGGAAATCATTTTTCTCCTAACCAACTCACCCAACCCTGGTGCTAGGTCAATTTTATCTCCAGAGCATATGTTTCCATCTCCCTGATCACTACCATAGTCCAAGTCTTTATCACCTCTTGATTATACCACTACAGGAGTGTCCAAATTTGCCCTCTGAGAAGGCCAACTCACTTGCCCTCTTAAACTTCTTCCTTTTCATTCTTCTCACAGCAACCAGAATGATCATTTTAAACCATTTCTCTAATCACATTACTTCTCTGCTTAAAATTCTTTAAAATCTTCTTCTTGTACAGAGAATAAAGACCAAAATGTTTAGCATGACTTGTAAGTCCCTGCAAAATTCAGACTTTGTGTAATTTTCACCTACATCCCATGCCACTGTGCCCCTTGTTCACTGTTCTCTAGTTACATTGATCTCTGTCTGTTAAGGTCTTCGGCGTGCCAAGCTCCTTCCTGCCACAGCTCTTGCCTCTACTGGCACATCTTTCTCCCTCACTCTACATCACTGGTGCCATTGCATCCTTAGATATCCATGGGTGCCACCTCCTATTCTAAAGCATGTCCTCCTCCTTAATCTCTCCCATGATCTCCTCTTCTTTTCTTTCAAAGCACTAATATAAGCTATTTACTTGTTACTTATATTTTTTCTATTAACCTTAAGCACAATGAAAGTAGGAGACATGGCTGGTTTGTTTATTACTATCCCCTAACAATGAGGATACATCTTGAAAAATGTGTCTTTAGGTGATTTCATCATTGTGTGACATCATAGAATGAACAGTATTTACACAAACCTAGATGATATAGCCTATTACACAGCTAGGGTTTGTGGTATAGCCTATTGCTTCTAGGCCATAAACCTGTACAGCATATTACTGTACTTCATACTGTAGGCAAGCGTAACACATTGGTAAGTATTTGTTACTGTGTGTGTGTATACATATACATACATATATATATATATACACATACATATATATATACACATATATATACACATACATATATATATGAGACAAAAGGGGGCCAAACTCATCCTTTTATAAGGAATTCACCTTTGTGATTAAAAAACTCATATATATATATATATATATACACACACACACAAATATATATGTACACACACGAAGACATATATGTACACACACAAATATGTGGTATTATAATCTTATAGAACCACCGTCACATATGTGGTCCATTGTTGACTGAAACATTGTTTTGTGGTGCATGATTGTATATAGCCAGCACCATATAGCATGCCTAATACATAGTAAGTACTCAATAAGTAATTTTGAATGAGTAAACAGATGAATATGTAGACAAATAAATCAAGTAAAATCTTACTTCGTGATATCAAGTATGCAAGGAATATCACATTTCCATGTATTGAGTAAAATCTGTTGCTGAGATCTCAATTCATTCTGTAGAGTGAGGAAATTCAAACTCATATTTTTTGGAGGAGGACTCTCCTCTCTAGAGGCACATCAGGACTGTGGAGGCTTATGCAGTGCCCATAAAATAAGGAAAAGGCTCTCATCTTCGTCTCTTAATTTAATTAACCCATTTATGGCTAGTGTTCCATTATTGCAATGCTAAGCTTGTGAGAGCTATTTATAGCCTACTGCTCAAGGTCATGGCCAAGGTCTGATTTTTTACACACACACAAAAATTGCAACCTCTCATATAAATGGGTAAAGAGGTTTTTACTGTCATGCTGCCTAGCCCCTTAAAGAGAGGCTGCTCTGCTTCTCTCAGGTGATGCTTGAGCAAATAAATCTTTGCTAATTGAGGCCATGAGCCTCAATGTCTAAGATCCACCCTTTTCTTGGATTCACAGCCACTTCTTTCTAAAGCTTGCCATTTCCCAGGACACTGCCAAGGGCCAGGGCTCAGATCTCTCTCTTTGTCCTTGTTGTCATATTCTGAGCTGTAAGCTTTGGCTATAAGTGTACATTTGAGTTCAGCTGATGCAAAGTATAACATGTAACAATATCTAGATGAGATTTGTTAATTTATGCTTTTGCCAAAGATAACAAATTATTGTAAATGATGAAGCCAACTTTGCGGAATTAGAATTATTGACATTTTACTATACTGTTAATGGAAACATAAATGTTTACAGACTACTATAATTAACAAGTAACAGAGGTCTGATATAACATCTAATCCCACTCCACTAAGGGATTTTGTGAAAACTCTTGTTTGGATAAAGAAATTCTCCCTCCGTATCTCTCTCTCTAAATTCTACAGACTCTTCTCTGTGTCTTTCTTAGTCTGTTTTGTGCTGATATAACAGAATATCACAGACTGGATAATTTAAAATGAGCATAAATTTATTCACTCATAGTTCTGGAGGCTGGGAAGCCCAAGAGCAGGGGGCCAGTGTCTGGTGAGGGTCTTCTTGCTACATCATCTCATGGAAGAATAGCAAAGAGAGGGAAAAAATGAGAGACAAAAGAGGGCCAAACTCATCCTTTTATCAGGAATTCACTCCTGTGATTAAAAAAACTCACTCCCATAATAATGGCATTAATTTATTCATGAGACAGAGCCCTCATAGCCTAATCACCTTTTAAAGTCCTCACCTCTCAACACTGCCACATGGGGGAATCAAGTTTCCAACACGTGAACTTTGGAAGACACAGTCAAACCAGAGCATACTTCCCCGGCCCCTGAAATTTATGTCCTTCTCACATGCAAAATACACTCAATTCATTCCAATAGCTCCCCAAATCTTAACTCATTCCAGCATCAGCTCAACAGTTCAAAATCTAAAATCTCATCTAAATCAGATATGAGACTCAAGACACAATTCATCTTGAGGCAAATGTCCCTCAAGCTGTAAACCTGTGAAATCAAAACAAGTTATCTACATCTAAAATACAGTGACCCCCACCCCCTTATTCTTGGAGGATACTTTCCAAGACCTCCAGTTGATGCCTATACATATTATGTTTTTCCTATAAATACATATATACGATAAAGTTTAATTTATAAATCAGACAGTGAGAGATTAACAATTATAACAATAAAATAGACTATAACAATATACTGTAATAAAAGTTATGTCAATAGGGTGTCTCTCTCTATCTCTCTCAAGATCTTATTACATTGTCCTCACCTATTTTTGTACCATGAGTAACTGAAACTGCATGAAGCATAACCAGGGATTAGGGGAGACTCTATTATGCAATGGTGGGACAGGCATAAAATAGACATTCTCATTCCAAAAGAAATAAATAAACAAGAAAAAAGAGGTACCTGATCCCAGTGAGTCTAAAATCCAACAGGATGAACAACATTAAATCTTGTCTCAGGAATAATCTTCCTTGACTCCATGTACCACTTTCTGGACACATTGTTGTAGGAATTGGGTCCTAAAGACCTTGGGAAACCCTGTCTCTGTGGTCTTGCTGGGTGTAGCAACAGTTCTTATGAGTTGCAGTTGAGTGCCTGCAGCTGTCTCCGACTGGTTTTGCATGCTGATAGCACTATAGTTTTTGAGTATCGTGGGTGGCCCCACTCGCATGGCTCCACTAGGAATTGCCCTGGTGGGCACTCTCTGTAGTGGCTACAACTTTTGCATCAAGTTTCTGCCTGGGGACCCAGTTGTTTACAACATCCTTTGAAATCTAGGTGGAGAGACCCACGCTCACCCAGCTTCTGCATTCTTCATACCTGCAGAATTAGCACCACGTGGACATCACTGGTTTACAGCTTAAGCCTTCCAGAAAAGCAGAACAAGCCACACCTGGGGCCATTTGAGTCACAGCTGAGGTAGTCAAGGAACTTGTGCCAGAATATGTGGAGCAGAGTCCTGAGGTGGCTCTGGGCAGTGAGCTCATGGTGGGCAACCAGGATATAAGCCCTGAAGCATCTTGCTCTCCTAGAGCTCTGTGCCTGTGATAGGAGGGACAGCCTTGAAGTTCTCTAAAATGCCTTTGGAATCTTCCTCCCATTATCTTAATAAATAGCACCTGGCTTTCTTCTGTCCATGCTAATCCTTTTAATCACAGGATTGCTTGGCTGCACCCTTGTATGTGTTCTTTTTCTCTACATGGCCAGGCTGAGAATTTTCCAGATTTTTACATTTTGCTTTCCTTTTTTTTTTTGAGATGGAGTCTTGCTCTGTCACCCAGGCTGGAGTGCAGTGGTGTGATCTCAGCTCACTGCAAGCTCTGCCTCCCAGGTTCACGCCATTCTCCTGCCTCAGCCTCCTGAGTAGCTGGGACTACAGGTGCCTTGCTTTCCTTTTAATTATTAATTATGTGTTTAAATAATTTCTCTCCACTATCATCTTACTGAATGCAGCTAAAATAAGCCACATAGCTCCTTCAATATTTTGCTTAGAAATTTCTTCTGCCAGATATTCTAGTTCATTGCTCTTAAATTCTGTCTTCCATAAAGCCCTAGGACACAATTCAGCCAAGTCCTTTCTAACTTTGTAATAAGGATGTCCTTGATTCCAGTGTCCGATAAAATATTCCTCAATCCTGTCTGAGACTTCATTGGAATGACATTTACTGTCCATATTTCTAATAGCATTCTGACCATGACCATTTAAATAATTTCTAAGAAGTTCTATACTTCCCCTACAATTCTCTTCTTCAGACTCTTCACTAGGATTGTCCTTAAAGCTCTGTTCACAGCAATACAGGCTTTTCCCAGACTGCTCCTCCAAACTCTTCTAGCCTCTGCTTATTATACAGTTCCAAAGCCGTGTCTACATTTTCAGGTATTTGTTTAGCAATACCCTACTTCTCTGGTATGAATTTTCTGTCTTACTCTGTTTCATACTGCTATACTAAATACCACAGTTCGGGTAATTTATAATAAACATAAATTTATTGGCTAACAATTGTATAGACTTGGAAGTCCAAAATTAGGGGCTGGCAGCTGGTGAGGACCTTCTTGCTGCATCCTCCCATGACAGAAAGTGGAAAGGGCAAAGAGAGGGCAACAGAGAGAGAGAGAGACAAAAAAAGGCCAAACTTTTTTTTTTTTTTTAATAAGGAATCCACTCCTACAATAATGAACCCACTCCCACAATATCAGCATACATTCATGCAAAGCCGTCATGGCCTAAACACCTCTCAAAACGGCTGCATTGAGGATCAAGTTTCTGACATGTGAACTTTGGGGGACACATTCAAACCATAGAAATGCCTCAACACATTTTGTATTTAAATTGTCATTTCTTTATATCAAGACCCTTAAGAGGCGTTACAAATTTTAAAAAAGAGGGCCTATCAATTGGTTATTTCATTTTTTCTAAGAAAATACATTTTAATTTTATAATGCTTGAAAAATACCAAAAGATATAAAGAAGAAATTAACAATCACCCATAATCCTACCCTCAGCAATAACCAATGCCATCAAATCTTTATTATGACAGCTTAATCTCACCTGCTGTGTGAAATGCTTTCAGTCAATTACCCATTAACTAGGAATGATCTTGTCATCTGAATATGTAGAATTTTGCTACTTTATGACCCTTTCTGAGCACCTTCTGATCACTGCCTCTAATTTCTACTTGACCTTAGGTAGTGGACTGGATTCTATCTCAAGTCCTTTTGGAGAGGAGACCAGCTTTTAGTTTAATTTTCACCAATAAAAGGACTTCCTATTGGAGAATATCAAATATGTCTTCATACTTCATCATCAATATTATTAAATACTGCTTCTGACTATAATAGTTACATGACTATTTAACCATTTTATCTCTACTGTCATGTAGGCTGTCACTTTAAATATAGAATTATAGTCATAATAAAGCAATTCTGCACATCAACATGTATACTAAGTGGCTCAAAGTCCTGAGTATGTAACTCTAAGTGGCTCTGATGTTGCCATCTACTTCAATTGCCACAGTCACAGAGCTCAAGAAGTAATTTACTTATTCTCTGAAAGAATGATTATAGTAGTTGTCAGATGTATTTGTGAAATATTTGAAACTTTTCATCTTCTGGGTTCAGGATAGGAGGGCACTTTCTCCCCATTTTTGAACCTAGGAACAGGCATGTGACTTGTTTTGGCCAGTGAAATGTAAACCGACATACGCCACTTTCAGGAAGCAATTTTAAAACTTAATGCATGAATTACCACATTGTTTTCTATGATTATAGAGCATGTATTCAGATGGTGGCAGCTCCATCAGTCTGTGTTGCAGAATTAGAGAAACAAACAGAGCCTCCAAATGACCTGCACTGGACATGTAGTGTGAGTGAGAAACACATATTTGTTGTTTAAGCGACTGAAATTGGGATTATTTTTACTACTATGTTGTAACGAAGACTTTCCTGATTAAACCACCCTGCCATTAAAAGTCACATGTGCACAAATGAGAGCATATGTCAAATCCAGGAGAAAGCTATCCCTAAGGTTATCTCACTTTATCTCATGAGATCATCTGAAAGTTTCATGTCTGCATGCCAAAATTTAGCTTGCTAACATTTAACTTGACATAGCTCCCTAGACATAGGAAAAACTAAAATACTCTAAAACCTGATCTGTCATAGTGACACTGTTCCTCACAGGAATTTTATGAAGGGACAGGAAAGGAAGGGGTAGAATAGAGCTGTAATTCCCTCCTGCACATCCAGCAGAGTTTATGCTTAATAAAAAAGCACAAAATATATATTCAATGACACAAAGTACCAACCATCAAAGGATGGAAATATGCTAGTACTGTTACATCAAAGTTTGGTTGTCATGCTTTATCTGAAAGGACTAAATCAAATTATAAATTGGAAGGAAATGATAAAAGGTGTTTTTTTAAATGTAAGAAATCTTAGGAAAACAAAAATACATGTCAATTTTTCAAACACTAGGACTGCAGAAACTCTATTATTGTGATTTTCTGGATATTCAAGATTGCCTTGTAGGGCCTGATGTGGAATTTAAAACTATATTACACATTCCACCTAGATAAACCATTAGGAAAAAATTCTCATGACTTGTAAATCATTGAAGGCTTTTATTTTTCCCATTAAATAGTCTTGTTGACATATTAAAATCTATAAGATACTCAGATTTTACCAATCATCTTCAAAATATAAAATGGTATGCTGGCAATACATTCAAGATTACCTGAATATTTTGGTAAAATATGACAGTATTTCTTTACAGCAGTGCAAGAATGGACTAATATAAATTGAATCTTGGTGCACCAAATACATTTGTAACCTTCAGATTACTTTACAGCCTTGGTTGAAAGTGCATATTATGGAAGCATATACTTGGAAGTTATTTTACAACTATGCATTAAAATGAATTTTCAATATCATTTAACATTTTATGGTATGATTTTAATGGCTGTTCTCCTAAATACCACCACTATTCAAATTTACTTTTGAAGACAAATGTAGTGTTTTTAACTTTTTATCAGCCTTTCAGATGCAGAAACTTTAATTCTGTTCTGTGTGGCTCTTGCTTGGAGATAGAGTCTATAAAATATTTTCATAGGTTGGCAATCATTAAATACATATTTATTCATTGGGTTGCTGTGGTTGTATTTTTGCAAAATTTCTACTGAGTTTTTTTTTTTTTTTTTTTTGAGACGGAGTCTCGCTCTGTCGCCCAGGCCGGACTGCAGTGGCGCTATCTCGGCTCACTGCAAGCTCCGCCTCCCGGGTTCACGCCATTCTCCTGCCTCAGCCTCCCGAGTAGCTGGGACTACAGGCGTCCGCCACTACGCCTGGCTAATTTTTTTGTATTTTTAGTAGAGACGGGGTTTCACCGTGTTAGCCAGGATGGTCTCGATCTCCTGACCTCGTGATCCGCCCGCCTCGGCCTCCCAAAGTGCTGGGACTACAGGTGTGAGCCACTGCGCCCGGCCTATTGAGTTTTTTTTAAGGACTTTAAATGGTGCCTATGTTTTTATGTCATTTTCTTTCAGTTTCCACTTCATTAAAGTTTCTTAAGTACTTCACTTAGCATGGTCTGCAAGTTATCCTTCAAAAAACAAAAGTTACAATAACCCTGCTTCTAAGACACTGATCCAATCTTTCAGTTCTGTAACTTTAGCCTTTTATGTCCTTGTATATCTTTTGTAACAAAATTTAACACACCAAGATTTCCACAAGATCTAGTAGTATTTGGCAGATAATAATGCATGTGTATGTTTGAATATCTTCTGGAGCCAGGTTTCCTAAGATTTCTTTCAATAATGGCATATAGTCTGTCTTTAGTGGACTAAACAAACTGCAACATTTGAGAGTGTAACTATTTATAAGCAAATATATTACACGATTGACATTTTACAATCCAACATTTCATACTAGCTAAGCAGCAACGAAACTGCAATGCTTACCCAGCAAAGGATCATAGCACTGCATATATTTAGTAATCTTCAAGGAAGCTGCAATCAGATGTTATTACAATTCCAATAGAAACAATTACCTTGAAATGTCATTACAAATTTTTATACAAATTACTCATAATTCTGAGGACTTTTAATGTGTTTTTTCTATGCTGTTCTGTATAAGAAAACTACTTAGAATATATTTATAGATGTATATACAACAGTTACAAAAGTCAAAAATTGGCCAGTTTGTAGATTGTGCCTAGGTTAACACTTTTCAAACAAACAAACAAAAAATCTAACTTTTTTTTGTTGACAGGGTCTTGCTTTATTACCCAAGCTGGAGTATGGTGGTGCAAACACAGCTCACTGCAGCCTTGACCTCCCAGGCTCAGGTGATCCTCCTACCTCGGCCTCCAGAGTAGCTGGGACCACAGGCGCATGCCACCATGCCTAATTAACTTTTTTATTTTTTGTAGAGATGTGGTCTCACTGTGTTGCTCAGACTGCTCTCAAACTTCTGGCCTCAGGTAATCCTCCTGCTTCAGCCCCCCAAAATGCTGGGATTACAGACATAAGCCACCATGCCTGAGCAAACACATAAATTATTCTTCATTAGGAATTTGTTAAACCTGTCAAAGTGATAAAGTGGGTATGTTCATTTATTCTTTGGGCTAGTTTTCTTTCCTTGACCTTTTAATAAAGTCAACTTAAGAAATAAACTGTCAGTAAGGCTAGGTTTCTTATTCCCCTTGTTACCAAAATGCCAGGGGGTTTGGTCTAGATCCTGTTCCTTGCTGTACAGAAAGCCAGTCACTGAGACAATGAGTATTGCCATGAAAGAAAGGCTTTAATCAGGTGATATCAGCTGAGGAGATGAGAGATAAGTCTCAAGTCCTCTCCAATCAATTAAAATTGGGAGTTTATATAAAAGGGAAGGAATGGAGCTACATGTGGGAAAACGGGAATAACGGAGGGGGAAGGAAGTAATCATGATGAATAAGGGGTCTGTTGTCTCATTGTCTGGATGTGGTGACCTGGTGAGTTTCAGTTCCTTGATACTCAGAGCCCTGAGTTTTTGTTTTCTGAGGAAGGAACTCAGGCAATGTACATTTCAATCTTTAAGACCATGAGGGTCAATATCTATGTTTATTCCAAAAGATCATAAACATCAATTCTACGGGACAATTGGGGTGGTTTCAGTCCCCTCTTTCCACTTATCAGTTCCTCAATCCTGGGGAAGCTGGTCATCAATCTTTCTGGCTGCTTTATGCTGAAGAGGAGGCATCCTGGAATAATGATGAGAAATGAAAATTTCACACCTATAATTGTCAGTACTCATGAGTACCTGGCTGCCATCCAGCTTGTTGGAGCACCATGGTCTTTGTACCTTTATTTGGTTTCAGAAGAACATTTTAAGCCACATTGAGATTGGATGATTAATAAGATAGATAGACCAAATTTTAAAATACCAAAGAATATGGAACAGATCTCCTGGGGAATCCAAGAGAACAATCCTAAGCCTATGAAAAAGTCTTCCTAATTCATTATATCTTGCATGCAAAGAACCAGGGTTTGGGAGAGAAGAATAACCTGAAAAGTGCATGTTCCCTTTCTGAAGTCTTATCTAGGGCCTTGACTGGACTTTGAATGTTAACTTAAGCCGGTCCGAGGGTTCACAAGAAAATCACTGTTTTCCTTGGAGGGATCCCAAAGGGACTGGTTTTCTCTAAGTATGAAGAATCCATGGCTTAACACCAGCTAACTTGACAGATTAGTATGAATGGTCAGCAGCACCTGAAAAGGGCTAACCCATTGTGGTTGCAGCTGGTCTTCAGACTGGTGGGATTTCTAGGTCTTCAGCATGATTTTGCCCTCGGCTTCAAAGAGTGGAGGGACACATCTGTAGGAAACGGGTGCCTGTTGGAAGCAAATTCAGAGAGACTATTAATATATTTCCCAATCATTTTACATATGATTTAGTTTCTGTTTCAGGGGAGGAAAAAATCTTCAGGGGTCAGAGAAATGGTCTTCCATACAACATTTCAAAGGAGCTAAGACCCAACCTACTTCTGGAGGCTATTCATATCGTCGGCAGGGCAGGGGGCAAGAATTTTTCCCAGGTATGATTTATCTCTTGGAAACTGGGGTCCCCTTAGCCACAAGTAGGTCTGTTCAGTTGATAGGGTGCTTAGAACTTTATTTTTAGGTTAGCCCCTTTTGGTCAAGATATGCCAGAGGCAGCAATGATGTCCAGTCTCTTATTTTGCTCCATTTCTTTGCTGGGTTGGTGTGGCTACCTACTTGGGGTCTATTCTGTCCCTTGCTGGGACCCCTATAGCCAGAAGACTTAGAGTCAAAAGACTTATAGCCAATTCAATGTTCCAGGCAAGACAGGAAAGGAGGTGGTCAGGCACTCATTACCCCTTAAAATGCTTTAAAAAACATGAGAGCAAAAAACCAAAAGCCAAAAAGAAAGGTTAATACTGCTGTCATCATAAAGCCAGTTCCCCATGGCTTGCATATGAAGCATATCAACTGCTTCATCTGGGGTGCTCCACTTGGCATTGATAGGTGGAACTGGACAGTTTCTTTTCTCAGAGTAAACAGATCTTGCAGTGCCTTTCCATCCAGTCCACCAGGCTGGCTGTTCTCTTGAGAATAACGTCCTCTGTGTCTGGATTATATACACCCATCTGCAATTGTTCAATTGTGAGCTGTGGGTCCTGCACAAATATACTCCTTCATTCTGTAGCATTTAAAACCAAAGACATTGCTCTTAAGTTAGTAACTTTCACAATACATTTTAGTAAAGGTTCATCAGAATGTTGATGATAGCAATCTACAAAATGGAACAATTCCTTCGTGTTATACCTTCTGGTTTCAGTAGTTACCTGGTTTTGCCCTTCCCCTACACTAGCTATCTTGTTAGAAACCACATGTCTCAGAGTTACTTTCTGGCATAATTTCCTCTTTTGTGGGTAATTTTGAGGCTAGTGATCTGAGCTCAGACAGGCCCATATCTGAGCTTGGTCCAGCCTCAAGGCCATCCCAACACTCTCTTACTTTTGTTTTAGCTATCACAGATAACAATAAACAAGGGAATAATATTTTACTTTTTCCTTATTAGTTTGAGTTTTCTTATGCATCCATGCATCTCTAAATCCTACTGGTAACTTTTACCTTTAACAACTGAATGCAGAACATTTGCAGATCCATACCATGGGTGACCATATGGCCACCCATGAGTCAAAGGTTAATATAATACTTTTCTTCTGAAACATAATTGTTGTCTCTCCAGTCCCTCACTTTTACCAAAGACAAATCATAGTAGAACCAATTTATTTGCAAAAATATGTTTTAGGACTGGGCGAGGTGGCTCACACCTGTAATCCTAGCACTTTGGGAGGCTAAGGCGGGCAGATCACTTGAGGTCAGGCGTTCGAGACCAGCCTGGCCAACATGGTGAAACCCCGTCTCTACTAAAAATACAAAAATTAGTCAGGTCCAGTGGCATGCACCTGTAATCCTAGCTACTCAGGAGGCTGAGGCAGGAGAATTGCTTGAAACCATGAGGCAGAGGTTGCAGTGAGCCAAGATGGTGCCACTGTACTCCGGCCTGGCTGACAGAGTAAGACTCTGTCTCAAAAAATATATATATGTTTTAGTCTTATTGTATTTGTCCTGATTATTTGCATAAAGTTTAGCAAGAATTATTGTTTACGTAGGTTCTTTTCAATCAACTTTGCAGGAACTTTTTCATAAGGAATCTTAGAATTGACTTTTAAAGGCTTCTTGAGCCCAGACCAGCCAAGGATTTATCTGTGTCTGAAAATACCTGTATGAATTCCTTTTTTCTCTAAGTCCCAAAGTAACTTGAGATTCCTGGGCCTGTCAGAAAGTGACATCCTTTACATACCACAGGTCAGGAACCCTGTGAGGAACTACATAGACAAGGTACAAGGTCAGTCTTTCCAAGGGACGTTTATTACTTTATATAGTCAAATTTGGTTTCTCAAAACAGTCTGCCTATATGTGAAAATATGTCATTTCAGTAAAAGCCTTGGTAAAAAATAACCAGTGTCTCCAATTTTGTTCTGTTATTAAAAAAAGATTTTCATTTAACTTATGCAAATAACTATGTTGCCATAAATTAGGAATATTCACAAATAGTTTCTGAATTCTGTAGAAATCAGGTAGAGAGATAAATATGCTTCAAATTTTGTTTACAAGAGTATACTCTACCCAATTGTTAAAGGCTATAAATAGCTTGAAAGAAAAAAGTTTTCTTGACTCTGAAAAACAAAACAAATAATCAGCAATGTTTCCTATAAAAAAGGCATAAAAATTTCAGTTCCATATTAGTTCAGTCCATGTAATTAACTCCTATTTTACTTAATATTGGATCAGCAATTCTCCTGAATACATCACCTCTTCAATGAGAGTCCTGGAAGTTTTCTCTCTAGTCCAATGGCGCAATCTTCAGAAGTTGTCAGAAACCTGCATTCAAGAGTCATTTTTATGAACTCCCCTAAAGAAGCAAGTTTTGGACTTCAGCTGATTATAAACTGCTTTTTAAGAGGAATCAGAGTAAAACAATAATTTGGAAGACAGAAGTCTTAGGACAGCCATGGTTAAAGATATAATTGACAAGAAAATTTAATTATTTCTGTGGCATACAACAGTTTAATATAACACTCATAATTACTATTGATGACATATACTATGATATATCAGAATTTTAGGAGTCTCATAGAATTTCAGAATACATACTAACAAACATATGGAAATTTATATATTTATATAAATATAACCCAAAGAAAATTAAGCAGTTTTGGACCCAAGGGACCCCAGCGTCCAAAAAGTTAGTCTGAGATTTAAAAGAAGACGGAATTCAGAATTTTGAATTTTGATATTGGAAAGTTTGGCAAATGTCAAAACTTTTATCTAAGTGTTTCAAGTTTTATCTAAGTGTTTCAAACACTTAATGTCATAAAATCGCATTACAGGTCACCATAAAATAGTAATCCACTTAGCCAGAATGATAACGCAAAGATTTCAAAAAAACAAAAACCATTACTCTTTGATAGAGAGTAGACTGAGTTTCCCCCCGAGAAAAAACCTAATAAAGACAGCATAAGGCCAATTAAATCTGTTTCTCTCTCTGCTCTTTTATTTTTTGGAAGTTTACTCAAAAGTTAATCGAAAATATTTTATTATCTCTTACTAATATTACACAAAAACATTGTTCATAAGAGAAAAAATTTACCTCTGTATTGTGTATTAATAATGCTAAAGCTAATTGTAATGAGGGCTTGTAAATAAATCTAATTTTAATCAATTTGACCATAAGATAAGATCTCCATAAACCTCTTATAACCTTTTACAATTTTCTTTCCTTTTTTTTCTTTTTTTTTTTTTTTTTTGAGACTGAGTTTTGCTGTGTCACTCATGTTGGAGTGCAGTTGCGGGATTTCAGCTCACTGCAGCCTCTGCCTCCCAGGTTCAAGCGATTTTCCTGCCTCAGCCTCCCGAGTAGCTGGGATTACAGGTGCACACCACCATTCTCAGCTATTTTTTTTTGTATTTGTAGTAGAATTGGGGTTTCATTTATTAAAAAAAACTGTACTAATTTCATCCCTCAAAATTGGCCCTTATAATCTCATGCACCTACCACTTCTATGATAGTCCCTGGGTCTACAGGGATTGGATTGTTTTAATTTATGGCCCTGTGTCTCATGAAAGCAGTTCATTTTGATGTTCCCTTTCTCCATATTTGAAGACAAGGCTTTAACTGATGTCAATTTCAAGATTTAGCGGGTGTCAGTGCCCTTTTCAGACCCAGGATTCAAAGCTCTATAACATATTAATAACAGCACAAGGACTTTAAAAGCAATAAAGAAAGTTACATGAATATAAAAAAAACCTTAATTCTTTTAAATCTCAGTTTTCCTAAGCATTCAAAAACCTAATAACAATGACATAGACATTCTCTCCATAAAATGTAATATCTGTTGGTTAGGCCAGCAGCCAGAAGGGAAAGAAGGACCTGCTACAGTGTGATTGCATCTCCTCATGGGAAGTCCATTTGGATAACCTGGAGGTCAAATCTGATGAAAGGGTACTTGAATTAATGAAACACAGGAAGAATGCGTTCAGGGCCATGAGTGAACATAATATCAATATTATAGAGGAAACAAGAAACTAGAAAAATAGCACCTTAAGCAGGGAAATCAAGTTATGCTAGAGGAAAACACTGCTTTTATAGACTTTTCAGATAAACATTTTAACATCAGGCCACAATAGCAGTTAGAACTTGAGGAAAAAAATACAAGAGCTGATGAAAAAGTTGGAGGAGAGAGTTACTTCAGGCCTTTTCAAGAGGAGCAAAAAAAGCTGAAAGCAGCAAGACACAATCAAGTGGCACTTCTGAGATACAAATATGAGAAGTTTTCAAAAAGAAAGATTATAGAATCAAAATAGAAGTCTCTTTTATTTACATCAAATCAATATTTTAAGAAAATAATGTTTTAACATAGAGAACCAATCTTTAGAAAACTATTTTAAATAATTCCCCTTTAATTATAGCCAACTTAATCACATATGAAATTCCTTTCATAAATTCTCTTTTCATGAACCATATCATGATTTATACAGATCATCTATGACATGCTTGCACTTTCTGATTTGACACACTTTATATGTAGAATTCTTATTTTTAGTAAACTTAAATTTTAGTAACTTAAATTTTAGTGAAACTGCAGGAACCAAGAAATCCTGAACTATCAGGTTTACTAGCATTTTATAAATAAAATCACTCCACAATTTTTATAAATGTTTTCCCATATTATAACCCTTTCTTATTTAGAAATGACCCAGACATCCAACAAACATCTATTATTGAATCAAAATAACTTTAAGATTTTAAATTCCACAAAAAGTTTACCTATAAGCATTTATCCCATTTACATGTATTCAGTTCTTTCATCTTCAACAGTTTATATGAATTACTTCTGAAAATTAGATATTAGACAAAACTACTCATCATTTCAAGTTATCTCCTCATTAATCATTTTTTATAGTCTGTGACTATCAGGTGTTCACACCTGATATTCAGGTGTAAGAACGTTAACACATGGGTATTTTTCTGATAACTCAGAAGATTCAGCTGTTGTTTTCATTGAACCAACAATATTAAATTAGTCTTACTTGTCAAAAAAATCACACAAAGATAATTCTGTTTTTGTTTGTGTTTATAATTTTATAAAAACAGTGGCACCTTAAAATATCTAGGAGAGACAAATATAAAATCTGGACAAAAATGTATGCTGACAATTCTGAAGACATTTTTATTCTTATCTTACCAATAACTTTAAAGCCAGCTTATTTAACAAAAATGTACTTAAGAGACATGAACTGGAAAAATGCTTGAACTTATTTACTTAATTTATGATTGCTCTTTTATTTACAAGCCAATTTGGTACTCTGTAAAAACAACACATAACATCCAGACATGTATACTCACATAAAAACAAAGACCCAATAGCTTTCATCTTAGAAGTATAGCCATGAGAGAGCAATATAATCTCACAGGTTTATAAACATGTTCACATGGCTGAATTTGGTTTGCCCTAATAGGTAATTCAATAGAGGCTGTGAACATAAGTTTAGGGTAAAGCAGTTTCCAAAGCAGTTTGATTTTTAAAGGCCAAACCTCCCCAACCTCCAAAGAACACTGAGACTAATCAGCACCATAGAACAAGATACTAATCAATCAGGCTCAATCCTGCTTAGAACAGCAGCATAAAAGCCTAGATATACAGACCTCCATCCCACTTTCCCATTCAACAGCAAAATTAATCCAATTGTAAGCTCTGCAATTCAAAGACCTTGTGCGATGAGATCAGGCATGTTCAGAGTAGTATGGCTGAAGACTTTCCCTTACTCCATCAACCCTCAACTACATTCTGGCCAACTCTGAAGAATGCACCCCAATGGGCTGCTCTCTGGGATCAAACCCCAACCTCCCATGATTATGATGACACACACACACACAAACTGTCACAAAAACACAATCCAATCTGTAGCAATGAACAAACCACAAGAGTGTCAAAACTGAAATAGTCAAGGTGCTTCCTCTTTCCATTGGTCGGGCTTGTTCAACCTGCAAATGGTAACTCCTTTGGAATTTCCCAGACTGAGAGAAGGCAATCCTTTGTCTGGTACCCACAAAAGACACCTATCCAAATATAGATGTCAAATTTCAATAGCTGTTCTTCCTAGGCAATCAGGAGAGTGGTTGGGGCTGGTAGTGGTGGATCCGAAGAGAGAGAAACCAAACCCACTTCTGACCAAAAATGGGCAGGCAGCTGCTTAGGAGAACTTCTGAAACTCTCCCAGCACATAGCAGCTGAGCCATGAGCAATGCATTCACAGTCAAGGAACAACAAAATTTTTTATCAAAATGCCAGGGGATCAGTGTAGGTCACATTGCTTGCTGTGCACAAAGCCAATGACTGAGACAATGAGTATTGCCAGGAAAGAAAAGCTGTAATTGGGTGATGTCAGCTGAGGAGATGGGAGGTAAATCTCAAAGGCTCCTCAACCCAACTAAATTCGGGGGTTTATATAACAGAGAAGGAATGTAGCTACATGTGGGGAAACAGGAATTAGAGAGGGGTAAGGAAGCAATCATGATGAATACAGGGTTTGATGTCTCATCTGGATGTGGTGATCTGATAAGTTTTAGTTCCTTGATACAGTTTCAGAGGCCTGAGTTTCAATTTCCTGAGGAAGAAACTTGGACAATGTAAGTTTCAGGTTTTAAGACCAGGAGAATCCATTTCTATGTTTATTGAAAAAGACCGTAAACTTCATTCTATGGGACAATTGGGCCAATTTTACTTTCTCACACAAGAGAATATTTGAATACAAAATGGTCTAGTTTCTGTTGTGTAGTACTATTAAGCATTGACTTTCAAATTCAAAGCTGAACATTATTATATTCCTAATGGGAGTTCTTTGCAAGAGTAAAAAAATTGGGGATATAGCTTGACTTCTGTCACAAACAAGTTTTATAAATTGGAGAATCTCACCTAGTCTATCTGAGGCTGTTTGAACATCTGCAGAAGAAATGGGCTTAATTAAGGGTTGTGAAGTTTGCTCCAGCTTTGCATTCTGTAATACATAATAAAGCTTCCTTTGTTACAGTTACTCATAGGGGTTCTTAGCATTCTTAAACATAAGATTTGTTATATGTGAAGATAAGTTGGTTTCTTAGAGTTACCAGACAGTTTTAATCCTAAAATCCATGCTCCCGAATCTGAGCATGGTAAAACATTATATATTACAATTATTGAATATAATCATGCAACTGATACTTTCTTCACCTGTAAGCCAATCATTAGCCTGTTTGCACTTAAATCTGTTCCTTTTCTCCTCCTGCTTTGCTGAGTGTTGCAGAGGCTGACCATAGTGATCTGTGTTTTCTAGGCTTCCCTGCTGTGGCAGCCACAGAGGGTAAGATGCCCTAAATGCCCATACCCCCTTCAAGAGTGACTCTGCCACAGGAAGGTCAGGACACCAATAGTACCCAGCTGTGGTGCCTTCAGGATCTGCCTTAGCTTTGGAGCTGAGGTCCCTTGCTACTTAGGATGCCCCCAACCTCAATGACTGAGCATGGAGGAATACAAGACCCCTCAATTGTAATCTATGTTCCAGAGTAAACTATTGGGCTGATCAAGTCTTTCTCAGAACTCTATCACAGTTGGGGCTCTCACTACCCAGTCCTTTGATCTGCCCCCATTCCTTTCATAAGCCTCATTTCAGTATCAGCTCTCAAGTCCTTCCCTACATACTCTTTTTCCTTCTCCACTTTATCTTTCATAGGCATTACCTCTATTAAACCTCTTGTACATCTAAATTCATCTTGGCATCTACTTCCCAGAGGACATGAATTATACATCTGTCAGTTGCTTCTGACTACCTTCAGCCAATGAGATATACTGTATGGGGCTTGCAGGGAGGAACCAAGAGTGACACTGGGGAACAATTTCTCTCTCTGCTACAGGAGGCATCCCAGTTGTGGCTGTACGTTCACCATGATGCCAGCTGCTGCCCCATAACCACTCTCTCTGTGAATCTCTGTTTCTGTCAAACTAATTAGCTTCTAGTATCCAATAATATTACCTTCTCCCAATGTATTCATGGGTATGAGTGGCTTCTTGCTATTGTTATCTTGTTTACCTCACTAGTTTCACTGCCCTCAATCTGGAAGATAAACATCTGGCAAAATAGGGTTCTTAAAAAGCACTGTTTTACAGAATACTTCGGCATCCTCCTGTTGCCGACCTTGGATCTGAGTCACTTGAAGGAAAGTCTGTTCTCTCTCTGTTCTCTAGCTTTCTAGTAATTTTCTTTCAAATTGTCTCTTGGAATTGGCTTTTCTAAGCCCAGCATTCTTGCTCTTCTGATAACAAATTCCCTCCCTCTTTTCTTTTACAAGACGTTCCTTCTCTCCCTAGTAGTGACCCAAATTGAAGGTATGGCATGAAACCTAACCTTGACCAACCAGAATCCTTTTCCAGGAACTGCTAGGGATGCAGAGGAGAGAGCAATCACCATTTGCCTTTGCCATCCTGTATGTACCGGGGTCTATTTTGTAAAAAGAGCCTGTGAATGGGGCCAACACCAATGGAGGCTGACCTAAAAAATGCCTGATAACATTTTTTATACTAAACTCCTGGATAAATTTGGAAGAGAACAATATTAATACAAAGTACAACCCAACTCATAAAACTCTCAAGTTGTAAAAGTCTTTTCTGACTGATTGAAAGGAAGTTTTGAGTAGAGTGGGAGGAAGGGATGAGTAGGGGGTTGTTGGAGATAAAGTTAATTTGGGTCACAGATATAAAGAATGAGAACACATCTTAGTGTCTGGATGGTTGCTGAAGATGGAGGGAACTTGGAAAACTGAAACCCAGCATATGTTGATTTATCTCCACATTTTCATTTCTGAGTTTCTGGCTCTTTCTGACACTTATGATGTCTGTGGCATCTATTCTTTTTATTACATTGTTACAAGTCTTTCCTAACCCTTTGAAGTCAGAACGCTTTGCTTTCACTACCACTTCATGCTGACATCTGTGACTAAGCTCCCTGGCTGCTTGGGGATTTTTTTTAACCAGATGTCATAAATTACAGAAATGGAGGTTGCCAAAGATTAAACTGATTATCAAACAAATAATGAAACACATTATTTGTGTTAGGAAATAAAATATATCTTAAATGTCTATGAAAGAATTGTTGAAAATGACATCTAAAAATCATCCCTGTTTTTCTTAATTTTTGAATGTGTTGCCTTAGGAGATGTTTTCTTTAACAACAGAGTCATATGGTTTAATGACATTGAACAATTTTTTTTTTTTTTTTTTTTTTTGAGACAGAGTCTCGCTCTGTCACCCAGGCTGGAGTGCAGTGGCGCTATCTCGGCTCACTGCAAGCTCTGCCTCCCGGGTTCACGCCATTCTCCTGCCTCAGCCTCCCGAGTAGCTGGGACTACAGAAGCCTGTCACCATGCCCGGCTAATTTTTTGTATTTTTAGTAGAGACATGTTAGCCAGGATGGTCTTGATCTCCTGACCTCGTGATCCACCCGCCTTGGCCTCCCAGAGTGCTGGGATTACAGGCGTGAGCCACCACGCCCGGCCGTCATTGAACAATTTACTCCATACCATGAACAGATAAATTTCTGACAGAATCTCAGCATCAACTGGAAATTCAGATCAGTAATTTTGTTTTCCAGGTTGCATAAACTTAAGTTAGGCTAGAAACATTCTTGTTCAGGTGCTCTCAGTATTCAGTACTGGGCTGGTCACCTATTATGCTTTAATTTTCTGTATGAATCCCTCATAAACTGTCATCTTTGTCCTAGACATAGTCAGAAAAGTAACATTTGTGCCACCAATAGAGTTCTATTTGAATCAACTAGGACTTTTAAAAGTTTCAGCCACTATTCTGCCCGGAGAATATCAGCTGTTATGTCTTCCCATCCTAGAACCCCTGCAAACATTCCCTAGAGCCCACTTTGACTGTGGCAACCACAGGAGACTGGCAAGACTGGGGAGCTGAGGTATCCCCAAAGATCTGGCTCTTAGCATGAGCTACCCATAGGGCAAGGGGCAATGCAGCCTGCCAAAGTGCCCCTTAGGACAAAGGAAACCTGATTGTGTGTTCTCCCCATCTGATAGCCCTCTCATGCTTGTGAGCAGAAGGTAACTGTGCCCATCCCAGTGAAGATGAGGGCATAGTGCTGATCTCTGAAAGGGAGGAATGTTGTTCTACTTCAGTAGACAGGCAGCACCAGTGGCCAGGAACAGATGTGAAGGTGGGGGGTCTTCTCTTGTCCCCCCATCCACTGCTGTGGATGCAGCCACAGGTTTTCCTACTGGGTATTGGAGTGGGTATACCTGGAGATAGCTTCTCCAGGACTATGTGGGGTTACTAAACCCCTACTGAAAGTGTGCCCACGAGCCCAGGCTTGCACAAAGGGCAGGATTCAACATCCTCTTCCTATGTGGAGTAATGGCATCCCTACAGCTGAATGCTGGCCAGCCACAGAGTTGTTTGGGGCTGAGGGAAGAGGTTCCACTCCAGGCCAATTCAGGGTAGCCACAGGATGTGCATTTTCTGCAGAATTCAGTTCCATTTAGCCTGGAGATAAAGGGCAGGGTCTATCTGAACTGAAGGCTGCAAGCTCTGGGACAGTGGTGTGATAGGGAATTGGATGGGGAACTGATACAGCCCCCTCCTTGCCACCTCTGAGGATACCTCAGAGCATTGTACCATGTGCTCTCTCAACCACCCCAGTCAGGGTAGGTGCTTCCACTGATCATTGGGGTATCTGGGAATGAGCCAGCTCTTACTTGTAAGTGCCACCTACAGGACTGAAAGTTGAACTGCATAATCAAAAAAAAAAAAACCCCACTTACAGAAAGGCATAGTGCTAGGGAATGAGATACGCTTCCTGAGATCTCAGCTCTTAGCCCCACAGAAAATAGTGAGCCAGTTCATATACCCAATGCATTGTTACAACAATCAGCACTTGAGAAAGCCACCACACATAGAAAAGCTATCTATAACCAAGGAATTTATACCAGAACCTTGGCCCCTTGAAAGCATCCAGAATTGAAACCAAGTGATCATATACAACATACATTACAGTCACACCTCAAGGGGAAAAATAAATAAAAATTCCCATCCAAACAAAAGAAAATTCAAAAATAAGAAGAGCAAGCTTCTCCAGATGAGAAATAATCATCATAGAACTCCTGCAGTACAAACAAACAAACAAACAAACAAACAAAAAACAACATTTCAACATCCCCAAAGGATCACATTAGATGTCTAGCAATGGATCCTAATCAAAAATGAGTTTGGATCCTAATCAAAATAAAAACTCTGAAATAAGAGAAAAAGTTCAAAATATGGATTGTAGGAAATCTCAATGAGTTCCAAGAAAAAGTTGAAAATCAACACAAAAAATCAGGAAAACAATTCAGGATATGAATGAAAAATTTACTAAAGACATGGATAGTTTTTTTAAAAAAACAGAACTTTGGGAAATAAAAAAATTATTGATGATATTACAAAAAATAGTTGGAAGCTTTATGAGTAGACTAAACTGAGCAGAAGAGTTTCAGAACTTGAAGACTGGTCATTCAAATTAGCCCAGTCAGACGAAAATAAAGATAAAGAAATGTTTAATAATGAACAAAGCCTTCAAGAAATATGGAATTATGTAAAACAACCAAATCTATGAGTAAAAGGCATTTCTGAGGGAGAAGAAAAAGTAAAAACTTTGGAAAACATATTTGACAGAATAATTCAAGAAAACTCTCCTGGCCTAGCTAGAGAACTAGACATTAAGATACAAAAGCTCAAAGAATACTTGGAAGATTCTCTGCAGGAAGAATCTCATGAAGGCATATAGCCATCAGACTATCCAAAGTCAAGATGAAAGAAAAAAAAAATCCTAAAAGCAGCTAGAGGGGAGCCTCTAATAATCTATAAAGGAAATCTCATTAGACTAACAGTGGACTTCTCAGCAGAAGCTTTATAAGGCAGAAGAGATTGAGGGCCTATTTTCAGCCTTCTCAAAGAAAAAAAAATGCCAGTCAAGAATTTATATAGTGCCAAACTAAGCTTCATAAATGAAGGAGAAATAAAGTCTTTCTCAGACAAGCAAATGCTAAGGCAAATTCATCACCACTAGACCAGCCCTACAAGAAAAGCTCAAAAGAGTTCTAAACATGGAAATGAAAGGACAATGATTTCCATAATAAAAGCACATGTAAGTACAAAGTTTACAGATCCTATAAAGGAATTACACATTGAGATTACAAAGCCAACTAGGTAACAACATTATGACAGGAAGAAAACCTTACATATTAATATGAATCTTAAACATAAAAGACTTAAATTTTCCACTTAAAGATATAGATAGGTCAATTGTATTTAAAAAAACAAGATACAACTGCTTGCTGTCCACAAGAAACCCGCAAAATAAGTGAAGGCCCATAAACTCAAAATGAAGGGGTGGACAAAGATATACCATGTAAACAGAAAACAAACAAACAGAAAAAAGCAGGAGTAGCTATAGTTATAACAGTTAAAACAGACTTTAAATAATCAATAGTGAAATAAAGCAAAGAAAGTTGTTACGTAATGATAAAGAGTTCAATTCAACAAGAAGATATAATTATTCTAAATATGTATGAGCCAACCACCAGAGCACTCAGATTTATAAAACAAACACTACTAGACCTGAGAAAAGAGATGGAGAGAAATAAAATAGTATTAGGGGACTTCAACACCTCAGTGGTAGCACTAGACAGATGACTGAGGCAGAAAATCAACAAACTCTGGACTTCAACGGGACTCTAGATCAAATGGACCTAATAGACAGTTACAGAACATTGCACCCAACAACCACAGAATATACATTTTTCTATTACTTCCCAGCCTTTTGGCTAAGATCAAGTACAGTATTTGTTCTTATCAGAATATACATTTTTCTTATCCATGTGTGAAATATTCTCCACAATAATCTATATGCTTAGTCATAATACAAGCCTCAATAAATTCAAAAAATAAAAATTATTTGAAGTATCTTGGATGACATCAGAATAAAATTAAAACTATACAAATACATGGAAATTAAGCAACTTGCTCCTGAATAAGCTTTGGGTAAATGATGAGATTTAGGTAGAAATAAAAAAAAATTGATATGAGTGAAAATAGAGACACAATATACCAAAACCTATAGGATACAGCAAAAGCAGTGCTATGAGAAAAGTTTATAGCATTGAATGCCTACATCAAAAAAGATTAAAAGGATGTCAAATTTACAACCTAATGTCATACCTCAAGGAACTAGAGAAACAAGAACAAACAAAACTTAAAGCTAGCAGAAGGAATGAGAAAATAAGGATGCAATGAATCATTAAATTAAAAAATTAGTTCTTTGAAAATTTAAACAAAGAACATGTAAAGAAAAGCAATCAGTAATCTTAAAAAATCTTCCAACAACAAAAGATCCAGAAGCAGAGAGATTCACAGTCAAACCTTACCAGACAAACAAAGATGAGCTGGTACCAATCTTACTAAAACTATTCTAAAAACAAAACAAAAAAAATTTGAGGAGAAAGGATTGCTCTCTAACTCATCTACAAAACCACTATCACCCTGGTACCAAAATCAGGAAAAGACACAACAAAAAAGGAAAACTACAGGCCAATATCCCTGATGAGCATAGATGCAAAAGTCCTTAACAAAATACTAGCAAACTGAATCCAACATCACATAAATAAGATAACATATCATGATCAAGCCAGTATTATTATAGGGATGCAAAGGTGGTTCAATATACAAAAATCAATAAATGTGTAAAAAAATCAATATGTGTAAATTCACGTAAACAGAATTAAAAACAGAAAACATGATCTTCTTAGTAGAGGCAGAAAAATCATTCAATAGAATATTTTCTTTATGATAAAAACCTGCAACCAACTAGGCATCAACAGAACATACCTCAAAGTAATCAGAGCCATCTATGACAAACCTATAGCCAACATCTTACTGAAAGTGGAAAGGTTGCATGCATTCTCCCTAAGAACTGGAATAAGGCAAGGATGTCAACTCTCACCACTCCTATTCAGCATGGTACCAGAAGTTCTTGCCAGAGCAATCAGAGAAGTGAGAGAAATAAAAAGCACCCAAATAGGAAAAGGGGAAATCAAATTATCTCTGTTCGCTGATGGCATGATCTTATACTTAAAAACTCAAAAGACTCTAGTATTTGTTAACTGACTCCAGTAAAGTTTCAGGATACAAAATTAACACACAAAAATCAGGGCATTTTTATACTCCAATAATGTTCAAGCTGAGAAACAAATCCAGACTCAATCCCATTTACAACAAACAGCACACACACAAAATACCTAGGAATACATTTAACCAAGAAGATGAAAGGTCTTTTCAAGGAGAACTACAGAATACTGATGAAATAAGTCATAGATGATGCAAACAGAAAAATATCCCATACTTAAGTTTTAGAAAAATTAATATCATTAAAATGACTATATGGCTCAAAGCAATCTACAAACTCAACACAATTCCTACCAAATCATTAATGTTACTTTTAACAAAATTAGAAAAAAAATTCCTAAAATTCATATGGAACCAAAGTAGAGCCTGAATAGCCAAAGCAATACTAAGCAAAAAGAACAAAGCTGCAGGCATCCCATTACCTGATTTAAATTATACTATAAGACTATAGTAACCAAGGTAGCATGGTACTGGTTTAAAAATAGACACATAGGTCAATGGAAGAGAATAGAGAACCCCGAAATAAAGCCACAAACAGCTAATTGATCTTCAACAAAGTTGACCCAAATATACTATGCTTAAAGGACATCCAATTCAATAAATGTTGCTAGAAAAATTGGATAGCCATATGCAGAAGAATGAAGCTGGATCCATATCTCTCACCATATATAAAAATTATCTCAAGATGGATTGAGACTTAAACGTAAGATCTGAAACTACAAAAATACCAGTAAAAACCTACTAAAGAGAAGAAGAAAGAAGAAAACCTAGTGACAACTCTTCTGGACATTGGTATTTATGACTAAGATCTCAAAAGCAAATGCAACCAAAACAAAAATAGGCAAATGGAACTTAATTAAACTAAAATGCTTCTGCACAGTAAAAGAAATAATCAACAGTGAAACAAGCAGCCTATAGAAAGGGAGAAAATATTTGCAAACTACTCATCCAGCGAATGTCTAATATACAGAATCTACAAGGAACTCAAATAACTCAACACGAAAAACAACAAACCTCATTAAAAATTAAGCAAACGACACAAACAGACATTTCTCAAAAGAGCATATTCAAGTAGCCAATGAACATATGAAAAAATGCTCAACATTACTAATCATCAGAGAAATGCAAATTAAAATCACATTGAAATATCATCTCACACCCATCAGGATATTATTAACAAGTCAACAAATAACAGATGTTGGCAAAGATGTGGCATAAAAGGAATGCTTCTACACTGCTGGTGGGAATGTAAATTAGTACAATCTATATGGAAAACAGTATGGAGATTTCTTAAAGAACTAAAATTAGAACTACCATTAGACCCAGCAATTCTACTACTGAGTATCTACCTGAAGGAAAATAAATAATTATATCAAAAAGACATCTGCATTCTTAATGTTTATGACAGCACTATTCACAATAGCAAAGTATTGATATCAATCTAAGTGTCCATCAATGGATAATTGGATAAAGAAAATGTTATATAGATACACAATGGAATACTACTCAACAATAAAAAACGATGAAATCCTCTCTTATGCAGCAACGTGGATGGAGTTGGAAGCCATATCCAAGTAACATAACTCAGAAACAGAAAATCAAACACCACATGTGCTCACTTGTTAGTGAGAGCTAAACAATGAGTACACATGAATATACAGAAGGAAATCATGGGGACTTCAAAAGCAGGGAGGGAAGAAGGTGAGTTAGAGTTGAAAAATTACCTATTGGGTACAACAATATTATGTTTTTGTTGTTGTTGTTGTTGTTGTTGTTGTTTGTTTGTTTTGAAACAGAGTCTCGCTCTGTTGCCCAGGCTGGAGTGCAGTGGCACAATTTCAGCTCACCACAACCTCCACCTCTCCTGCCTCAGCCTCTCGAGTAACTGGGACTACAGGTGTGTGCCACCACCCCCAGCTAATTTTTATATAAATATTTTATATAGATAATAGATAGCTAATTTTTATATAGATAATTTTTAGTAGAGATGGGTTTTTGCCATGTTTGCCAGGCTAGTCTCGAACTCTTGGCATCAGGTGATCTGCCTGCCTCAGCCTCCCAAAGTGCTGGGATTACAGGCGTGAGCCACCGCGCCCAGCCACTATTATGTATTATATCCATGCAACGAACATGAACATGTATTCCCCGAATCTACAAAAATTAAAAATATATATATTTGAAGAAATATTTGAAAAATAATTTAAGATAATAGAAGTAAGAAACAGTAATTTTATTATGTGTCACATAACAATGTAAAGACATTTAAAATCTAGTTCACATGGGATAACCAATAGAGAAAATACTTTTTTTCTAGTAAAATACATACGCATACACTTACACAGAACTAGTCTACTTTTGCTGAGTATATATTCTATCCCAGATACTGCACCTGAGGTTTTGTATAAGTATGGTAATAAGAAGCTCAACTTTTGGTATCACAAAGGCATGGGTTCAATAATCCCATATGGTCAACTAATAATGGTGATACCTTGACTAGTTTTTTAAAATGTCCTTGAATGTTATTTGCCTTGTGTAAGTTTGGGATAGTAAAAGCTACTTAATGGGGTTGTTGAGAGATTTAAATGTGTATGTGTAGCCCTTGATGCAGTGCCTGTCACATAGTTCATAATAATAGCCTTTATCATCATCATCATGTTTGGCTATTCTATCTCTGGATCTGCTTTAATTTTCATTTCATCTCCCATGCATCTTCATGTCACTCCTATATGATACAAATTATTATCCCAATTTAGATGAGGGAATTGAGGTTCAAGGTAATTCAGCTAAAAATTGGCCAGGGAGGAAGTTGAACCCATGTATGTCTAGCTATGGTGCTCCTACTCATTTTACAGTACTATACATATGTAATGTAATTTTTCCTGGTATAGAGAATTGACTTATTTTTTTTCCAGAGCAACTTTAACACACCTTTGATGACACAAATTCCTGATTTACTGAGTCATTCGAACAAAACAATAATTTTACGTGCCAATGGACTAGAGATGTGTGTGACAAGGTTTCAACTTGAATGATGACTAACCAAAAAACAAAATTCAAAAAATATCTACTAGTACTTCATTAAGAAACAAGCTACTAACATGCATATATATATATATATATAAATGAATATACTCCCATATCTGTGGCATTAATTCCATATTAAAGTATATATATTTTAGCCTTAATAATAAACAATATAAACCCAAGCAACAACTACTATGTAAAATTACAAAAGTGAGAAGAAAGATGTATTACTCTAAATTATTTACTTTCCTGTAATCCTTTTTGAGGTTCTACTTCTTAATCTTCTGTGCAATCTTAAATTTCCCACAATAATTTCATCTGTAGTATAAGGATGTTGTGCTTTGTTGAAAAATAAAGAACCTTATATAACTGTGGCATCATTTATATAACTGGAGTTGCTGGAGCTTGCTTCTAATACAGGACAAAGCCTCAAGAAAGTCTTTCGAAATGTGCAACAGATGGTATTAAGTTGGTGCAGTTTTTGCGGTTAAACTAATGGCAAAACCACAATGCCTTTTGCACCTAATATTCTTAATAAAGAAATAAAGAAATAAAGCTATGCGTATAATACCTTCTTGCCAGGGATGAGTTAGAATGATCACACTTCTCCTGAGCAATATAGGTTAAGTTCTACAAGATAGTATTTAATGTCACTTAAAATTGTAACCACAAGTTACTGCATGCATAATCTTGTCAACAGTCCAAAAGTTACTAACCTTTTCTAAGGGAATACATATGTTTTCATACATATGTTCATCCTGTATAATTTGTAATATCAGTGGATGGATAAGAAATAAAAAATACTTATGTTTATTTCATGTCTGGAGAATCTGTGTTAACATCTGAATTTTACTGGTACGTTGGTTTAATAAAAATTTCAATGTATGACATTTTTTCTGTGCTAAGGCAAACTTTTTCAAACAATATTGACAACATAGGCATATGTAGACAAAACAAAAAGAGTCTTCTGCTAAGCAATACCAAAATCTACCCTTGCAATGCAACTGGTAAACATACAGCAAAAATGACTTCCTTTCAGCCCTCTCGAAGATATTCTTAATTACACGTTTAAGCTCTCTGCAACTTCACCATTTCATTTCTTGCCTAGACCTCAAAAATCATCAAAGAGTAAGTGATGTTTTGCAAATCGAACATAGAAAATGAAAGCATGTTACATAAAATCAAACTGCCTTGCAGCGAACTGTTTTGGAAAGGTAAACTTCCTATCTTTCATATTAAAATACTTAACCAGTCTCTGACTTGCTGTGAAAATGCATGCTTGGCAAAAATGTCTGAGACAGGCTTCTGAGATTTATGAGATGACTCATACCTTCTACATATATATAAAAACATTGATCTTGTTATTACACTTTGATGCACTTTGCACACAGCTGAGAGACAGTGTTGTTTAATTTGTTAGAATACAGAATCTGTAGCTAACTTGATGAAGCTCAACTCCCCCACTACCTACTTGTGTGAACTTGAACAAATTTCTTGCCATCTCTAAATCTTAATTTCTCTTAGCATTTTTTTGTTTAATGGAGAAAAATTATAATATGATTTATCTCCTAAGGCTATTATAAAGAATACAAGATTATTTATTGAATCTTAACAAAGTGTCCAACTGTAAGTGCTCAGTAAATGTTTGTTGAAAGGAATAAAAGGAGAGAATTGGAGAGAAGGAAGGGAGAAAAAGGAAATTGGGGCTTCAGCTTTCTAAGTTTAAGCATAACCAGAGTTTATAAGAGGTTGGAGAAAGGATTGTTTATAAGGGGTGGAATCCTAAGAAACAGTAGGCAAACACAAAATGACTATCTAAATATTTCATACTCTCATAAAAATTACACAGCTCCTGTAAAGTATTTTACTTCTCCTTCACTTATGAAGCTTAGTTTGGCTGGATATGAAATTCTGTGTTGAAAATTCTTTCCTTTAAGAATGTTGAATATTAGCCCCCACTCTCTTCTGGCTTGTAGAGTTTCTGCTGAGAGATCAGCTGTTAGTCTGATGGGCTTCCCTTTGTGGGTAACCCAGCCTTTCTCTCTGGCTGCCCTTAACATTTTTTCCCTCATTTCAACTTTGGTGAATCTGACAATTATGTGTCTTGGAGTTGCTCTTCTCGAGGAGTATCTTTGTGGTATTCTCTGTATTTCCTGAAATTCAATGTTGGCCTGCCTTTCTAGATTGGGAAAGTTCTCCTGGATAATATCCTGCAGAGTGTTATCCAACTTGGTTCCATTCTCCCTGTCACTTTCAGGTACACCAATCAGATGTAGATTTGGTCTTTTCACATAGTCCCATATTTCTTGGAGGCTTTGCTTGTTTCTTTTTATTCTTTTTTCTCTAAACTTCTCTTCTCGCTTCATTTCATTCATTTGATTTTCCATCACTGATACCCTTTCTTCCTGATCAAATCGGCTACTGAGTCTTGTGCATTCATCACGTAGCAAATGCTGAGAGATTTTGTCACCACCAGGCCTGCCCTAAAAGAGCTCCTGGAGGAAGCACTAAACATAGAAAGGAACAACCGGTACCAGCCACTTCAAAAACATGCCAAATTGTAAAGACCATCAGGCTAGGAAGAAAATGCATCAACTAATGAGCAAAATAACCAGCTAACATCATAATGACAGGATCAAATTCACACATAACAATATTAACCTTAAATGTAAATGGGCAAAATGCTCCAATTAAAAGACACAGACTGGCAAATTGGATAAAGAGTCAAGACCCATCAGTGTGCTGTGTTCAGGAAACCCATTTCACATGCAAAGACACACATAGGCTCAAAATAAAGGGATGGAGGAAGATCTACCACGCAAATGGAAAACAAAAAAAGGCAGGGGTTGCAATCCTAGTCTCTGATAAAACAGACTTTAAACCAACAAAGATCAAAAGAGACAAAGAAGGCCATTACACAATGGTAAAGGGATCAATTTCACAGGAAGAGTTAACTATCCTAAATATATATGCACCCAATACAGGAGCACCCAGATTCATAAAGCAAGTCCTTAGAGACCTACAAAGAGACTTAGACTCCCACACAATAATAATGGGAGACTTTAACACCCCACTGTCAACATTAGACAGATCAATGAGACAGAAAGTTAAAAAGGATATCCAGGAATTGAACTCAGCTCTGCACCAAGTGGACCTAATAGACATCTACAGAACTCTCCACCCCAAATCAACAGAATATACATTTTTTTCAGCACCACACCACACCTATTCCAAAATTGACCACATAGTTGGAAGTAAAGCTCTCCTCAGCAAATGTAGAAGAACAGAAATTATAACAAACTGTCTCTCAGACCACAGTGCAATCAAACTAGAACTCAGGATTAAGAAACTCCCTCAAAACCGCTCAACTACATGGAAACTGAACAACCTGCTCCTGAATGACTACAGGGTACATAACGAAATGAAGGCAGAAATAAAGATGTTCTTTGAAACCAACGAGAACAAAGACACAACATACCAGAATCTCTGGGACACATTCAAAGCAGTGTGTAGAGGGAAATTTATAGCACTAAATGCCCACAAGAGAAAGCAGGAAAGATCTAAAATTGACACCCTAACATCACAATTAAAAGAACTAGAGAAGCAAGAGCAAACACATTCAAAAGCTAGCAGAGGGCAAATAATAACCAAGATCAGAGCAGAACTGAAGGAAATAGAGACACAAAAAACCCTTCAAAAAATCAATGAATCCAGGAGCTGGTTTTTTGAAAAGGTCAACAAAATTGATAGACCACTAGCAAGACAAATAAAGAAGAAAGGAGAGAAGAATCAAATAGATGCAATAAAAAATGATAAAGGGGAAATCACCACTGATGCTACAGAATTAAAAACTACCATCAGAGAATACTATAAACACCTCTGTGCAAATAAACTAGAAAATCTAGAAGAAATGGATAAATTCCTCGACACATACACTCTCCCAAGACTAAACCAAGAAGAAGTTGAATCTCTGAATAGACCAATAACAGGCTCTGAAATTGAGGCAATAATTAATAGCTTACCAACCAAAACAAGTCCAGGACCAGATGGATTCACAGCCGAATTCTACCAGAGGTACAAGGAGGAGCTGGTATCATTCCTTCTGAAACTATTCCACTCAACAGAAAAAGAGGGAATCCTCCCTAACTCATTTTATGAGGCCAGCATCATCCTGATCCCAAAGCCTGGCAGAAACACAACAAAAAAAGAGAATTTTAGATCAATATCCCTGATGAACATTGATGCAAAAATCCTCAATAAAATACTGGCAAACCGAATCCAGCAGCACATCAAAAAGCTTATCCACCATGATCAAGTGGGCTTCATCCCTGGGATGCAAGGCTGGTTCAACATATGAAAATCAATAAACATAATCCAGCGTATAAACAGAACCAATGACAAAAACCACCTGATCATCTCAATAGATGCAGAAAAGGCCTTTGACAAAATTCAACAATGCTTCATGCTAAAAACTCTCAATAAATTAGGTATTGATGGGACGTATCTCAAAATAATAAGAGCTATCTATGACAAACCCACAGCCAATATCACACTAAATGGGCAAAAACTGGAAGCATTCCCTTTGAAAACTGGCACAAGACAGGGATGCCCTCTCTCACCACTCCTATTCAACATAGTGTTGGAAGTTCTGGCCAGGGCAATTAGGCAGGAGAAGGAAATAAAGGGTATTCAATTAGGAAAAGAGGAAGTCAAATTGTCCCTGTTTGCAGATGACATATTGTATATCTAGAAAACCCCATCGTCTCAGCACAAAATCTCCTTAAGCTGATAGGCAACTTCAGCAAAGTCTCAGGTTACAAAATCAATGTACAAAAATCACAAGCATTCTTATACACCAATAACAGACAAACAGAGAGCCAAATCATGAGTGAACTCCCATTCACAATTGCTTCAAAGAGAATGAAATACCTAGGAATCCAACTTACAAGGGATGTGAAGGACCTCTTCAAGGAGAACTACAAACCACTGCTCAAGGAAATAAAAGAGGATACAAAGAAATGGAAGAACATTCCATGCTCATGGGTAGGAAGAATCAATATCGTGAAAATGGCCATACTGCCCAAGGTAATTTGTAGATTCAATGCCATCCCCATCAAGCTACCAATGACTTTCTTCACAGAATTGGAAAAAACTACTTTAAGGTTCATATGGAACCAAAAAAGAGCCCACATCACCAAGTCAATCCTAAGCCAAAAGAACAAATCTGGAGGCATCACGCTACTTGACTTCAAACTATACTATAAGGTTACAGTAACCAAAACAGCATGGTACTGGTACCAAAACAGAGATATAGATCAATGGAACAGAACAGAACCCTCAGAAATAATGCTGCATATCTACAACCATCTGATCTTTGACAAACCTGACAAAAACAAGCAATGGGGAAAGGATTCCCTATTTAATAAATGGTGCTGGGAAAACTGGCTAGCCATATGTAGAAAGCTGAAACTGGATCCTTTCCTTACCCTTTATACAAAAATTAATTCAAGATGGATGAAAGACTTCTGTGTTAGACCTAAAACCATAAAAACCCTAGAAGAAAACCTAGGCAATGCCATTCAGGACATAGGCATGGGCAAGGACTTCATGTCTAAAACACCAAAAGCAATGGCAACAAAAGACAAAATTGACAAATGGGATCTAATTAAACTAAAGAGCTTCTGCACAGCAAAACAAACTACCATCAGAGTGAACAGGCAACCTACAAAATGGGAGAAAACTTTTGCAATCTACTCATCTGACCAAGGGCTAATATCCAGAATCTACAATGAACTCAAACAAATTTACAAGAAAAAAACAAACAACCCCATCAAAAAGTTGGCAAAGGATATGAACAGACACTTCTCAAAAGAAGACATTTATGCAGCCAAAAGACACCTGAAAAAATGCTCATCATCACTGGCCATCAGAGAAATGCAAATCAAAACCACAATGAGATACCATCTCACACCAGTTAGAATGGCAATCATTAAAAAGTCAGGAAACAACAGGTGCTGGAGAGGATGTGGAAAAATAGGAACACTTTTACACCGTTGGTGGGAGTGTAAACTAGTTCAACCATTGTGGAAGCCAGTGTGGTGATTCCTCAGGGATCTAGAACTAGAATTACCATTTGACCCAGCCATCCCATTACTGGGTATATACCCAAAGGATTATAAATCATGCCACTATAAAGACACATGCACACATATGTTTATTGCAGCACTATTCACAATAGCAAAGACTTGGAACCAACCCAAATGTCCAACAATGATAGACTGGATTAAGAAAATGTGGCACATATACACCATGGAATAATATGCAGCCATAAAAAAGGATGAGTTCATGTCCTTTGTAGGGACATGGATGAAGCTGGAAACCATCATTCTCAGCAAACTATCACAAGGACAAAAAACCAAACACCGCATGTTCTCACTCATAGGTGGGAATTGAACAATGAGAACACATGGACACAGAAAGGGGAACATCACACACCGGGGCCTGTTGTGGGGTGGGGGGAGCGGGGAGGGATAGCATTAGGAGATATACCTAACGTTAAATGACGAGTTAATGGGTGCAGCACCAACATGGCACATGTATACATATGTAACAAACCTGCACGTTGTGCACATGTACCCTGAAACTTAAAGTATAATAAAAAAAAATTACACAGCTCCACCATGAAGTTTTAGCTGCTGGATGATTAAAGCTTTTAAAACTTTGTTTTGTTGATGGAGTTTTTTTCATTTAATAAGCAGGTCTAGGAGATCCTAATTAATTTTGAACTTGTAGAAAGTAAGCAGGAAAGGGTGGGGCTACATTTAAAAAGAACACAGCTAACACCATGCTAAATTTTTCCTTTGGCGGACAAAATTATAACAATATGTTTGGCATTAGTCTCTTACACCTCCTCATTACAGAGCAGTGCCAAAGGATCCCCCAAACATCCAGGTACTGTTTTACTTTGCTCTGATGACAGTTGAAGTTTTGGTGCCTCCTGTTTCTTCTCAACTAGAAAGGACATTCATTCTGCCCAGCTTAAAGTTTATCTCCCTTGTACTAGAATGTGCATTCTACCATTAAATCTAAAATTGCCTTGACATGTTGTTATAATACCTCGTGGATGTGGAAAGTTTATTGCAACCTAATGTGAAACATAGGAAAAGGTGCAATCTGGCCGTTCCTTGATGTGTTTCTCTACTGCCACAACAAATCCCGCTTTCTGTGTGGGGAATGCGATAGCCGGTGCATTTATTGAAGCCTTTCCTCTTATTATCCTTAAATTGTATTGCCACTTTTGTTTAGAAATAGTTGGGATTAGGTGCTAGTGTGTCTTCCCATATAGCTAAATTCTATACTGAAATTACAACTATGAGAGAATGCCTAAAGATCTCATTTAATAGGAAAAAGCTAGCTTTTTTAAAGACAGGTTTTATGATATTTCAATAGTACTGCAAGAGAACTCTGATATGGAACTATTGGGACTTACTAGATGGCAAGTTCCATGCCTGGTATTTTACTTAATACATTTGATCCTCAGGACAACCTTATCGTTATAAGACATTACAATAGGAAAAATGAGTTTCAGAGAGTAACTTACTCAAAGTCATGGAGAAAGCAGGAAGTAATTGCAGGTTTTGAATCTGGTTAGAATAAAATGTTTGAGGAATGCATTTATTCAATAATATTTTCATGGCTAAATTCCATATATTGCCAGACCGGTTTAGGGCAACAGTGCTGAGCAAGGTGTGGTCCTAGCACTGGGAATACACCAAAAAAAAAAAAAAAAAAAAAAAAAAAAGGCCAGACACAATCCCTGAATTCATAGAGCTCCCAATCAACTAGGAAGAAAGACATTTAAAAATTGTGTTTATCAGAACAAAGATATTCCATGCATAAGTGTTCATTGATAGCCAAATGGGGAAATAAGAGCTCAATCTCCCATTCTATCCTCCCTTCCAAATAAGAGAAAGAGAATCATGCTGGAGGAGAAGGAAAGTCAGTCTACATAAAAATATATACTTTTAATTTTTATTATCAAGTGTAGCATTGTTATAAAATGTAATGTATAAAAACATAAGTGTAAAGGTTAACAAACAATACTAAACCAAACATCCATGCACCCACCCCTCTGGCTAAGAAATGCCCTTTAAGATTCAATCTCCTCCTTGTTGATGTGCTACAAAAGTCAGTTGGTTGAAATTCTGAGATAAAAATTTGCAGAATCATGCTGTCTACTAGTAAGAATTAATACTTACTTATACTTGGCTATAATTAATAACATTTATATTTAACTTATATTTAAGTAATAACTTGTATTTTGCTTATTCTATTAATTACTATTCTTATAATAGTTTTATTTAGACTTCTTTATATTTTTATTGTTTCTAATAAAGATGTTTGAAAAGCTACAAGAGAAAAAAATGTGGAAGAGTTTGTGTCAATTTTTAAAAAATATATAGATATAATAATTTAGTAAATAACTGTTTCTGTGTAATAATACAATAAATAATTTCTTCTTCCTCTTATGAAAAATATGATTAAAAGTATTATAAAAGCATGAATTAGAAGTGGTGCCAAATTGTTTGTCTGGTTGTCATACCCTCATGTCTCAGCACACGTGTAAAACTTCCAATTATAATTGTCAACTAGAGAATTTGCTGTGTCTGTGATGCTCAGAGAAGTCTAGGCTGAATATTTAACTCTGAAAGCCATTGATACAAAGATGAAAATCCAAGACATGGAAATTGTTGAAGTTACTTAAGCAGAGAGTATAGATTAGGACATGAATGGTGTCTAAAACTAAGCTTTGTAGAACTCATCTATCTAATTGTCAAGTAAATGAGACTGAAATGGACTAGGAGAAAAAGAAGGAGTGGGCAAAGAAATGGGAGGGGTTTCTCAGAAGATTAAGGACATAGGTATGTATTTTAGAAACAAGGGAGTGGCCAACTGAGAGGCTAAGTAAGAGGAAGACAAAATATTATTAGACTTAGCAACAGGTAAATCATTAAGATAAGAGAGCTCATGTCCCAGTTTGCCCAATACTGTCCTAATTGAAGCCTGCTGTCCTACTGAAAGTGTTTCAATGATGTGGCTGTTCTAGTTATCAGTAACTTTAGCAAAGATCATTTCAGTAGAGTGATACAGACAGAAGTCAAAGTAGAATGGTTTTAAAAATGCATAAGAAATGAGAACATGGAGGCATTAAGGTGGATAATTTTTTAAGAGAATTATGAGTATAGAAAGAAGGAGAATGGATCATGAATGGAATGAAATGTGAGGTTAAGGGACTTTTGTCTCTTAAGAAAGAGGAAATATCCGGCCTGGCAGGAGAGGTTAAAGAGATTCAAGTGAGGAGAAGTATGCAAAGGGTAAGACTTCTGAAAGGTGGCAGAGCGGGATCCTGAGCAGGAGAGCAAGGCAGGGACTTAAAGGGGAGGAAGGACACATTAACAGCTGCAATGGGAGAGGAAGCACGAATGGAGAGCAATTATTACACTAGTAGTTGTGGATGTTTGCAAATGGAAAGTTAAGGTAATTTCAATCTTTTGACATATTTTCTTTGAAGAAAGAGGTTAGAATATTTACTGAGAATGAGAAGGTGTGGGGGCCGCATTATGGATTGAAGAGAGTAAAGAAGGTGTGAAAAGCTAATGTGTACACAGTGTGGGAGTATGAACAGAATAAAATCCTGTGATAGAATTGCTTGACAGCATTCAGGGCCTAGTTGAGAGAGATGACCATTACTTTATAAGGATACCAATTTGTACATTGTATGATTTGCTCCAGCAAACTATCTTAGAATTCCTTTTTTGAAAGTGCTTTCGTAGTCTGCCTTTCCATGTGGGAAAAAATCAGTTCCATACTTTAGTCACATTTCATGTTTAACCTGATGCCATATTTTTCAGCTTGATTACAAACCTTATTTACCAGCCTTAGCTTCACATGACCTTTGGCTATTTACATAAAATGCTATTTTTTAGCGTATGATATTTTGCTTTCATTTGGAACATTTGTAAGGATATGTTCAGATTCTTTTTTTTTATTATACTTTAAGTTCTAGGGTACATGTGCACAACGTGCAGTTTTGTTACATATGTATACATGTGCCATGTTGGTGTGCTGTACCCATTAAGTCGTCATTTACATTAGGTATATCCCCTAATGCTATCCCTCCCCACTCCCCCAACCCCAAGACAGGCCCGTGTGTGATGTTCCCCTTCCTGTGTCCAAGTGTTCTCATTGTTCATTTTCCATCTATGAGTGAGAACATGCGGTGTTTGGTTTTTTGTCCATTGTAAGGATATGTTCAGATTCGTAAGGTGACACCGCTCACAAACCTCAGAGACCCTTTGAGCCACAATAAAACCATCGGGATTATTGGAATGAGCGTTTCAATTCCTAAAATGAGTATGTGTCCCATACCCATATATACTGTCATTCTTAGTGCAACCTCCTTTTAGAGAGACTTTGGCACTTAAAGATGCACAATAAAGTAATAGGAATAGAGGTAGGGGGAAAATAGGTATGGGAATGGAGAGACAGTAGACATTTTAATTGTAGGAACAAAGGAACAAAGTGTAAAAATCCTATTTAAAAATGTTGCTAATAATCAATACTTCACAGTAAACAAAGTGCTTTTCATAGATTATAATTGACTAAATTCTCCAAAATAACTCTGAAATAGGTATTATGATTCCCCTGTCACACATTGTTTAACTGAAGTCAGATAAATGAAATTAAGACTAATGACTCAGATAGCCAAGTGAATGCAAAACCCAAAATCCAAACCTCAGCCCTTTATTATTTAAAACAATATCCTTTAATTTTACCATGCTTTTTTAGTGTATAACATCTATTTTGATAGTAATTTAAAATTAGCGGTTAGGGAAATATTTTGTGTGGTTGTTTTGTCATAAAATTAAAAGTCTGTTTAAATTGTTTCTTTAATATTTATTTGGTTGACCATCCGTGGAAAGCCATGAAATGCCTACAAACACTTTAATACTAATTAATACAGACTGGTGTTTGTGTCATAAAGCTTTTTAATTTATTCTTATAGTATTTTGAAATTTGTTTCCATGACTACAGCTTTCTAGCTAGATTACTTTTTGTCCCAATTATTCAAACTCGCTTAGATTTAAGCAAAAATAAAAATACTATTACATTGTCTGAGTCCCTCAAACTAAATGTTTTAAAACTTAGTTGCTTAAAATAACATAAAGAAGTTGTTAAAATTCAGATCCCAGGCATAAAATAACATAAAGAAGTTGTGAAAATTCAGATCCCAGGGTACCAGGTGAGAAATGATTGTTTAAGGAGCCTAGAATGGGTACCAGGAAGTCAGCTTCTAGGCACCCTGATTGATCTGATACAGGTGATCCTCAGACCACATGTTGAGAAATATTGCTCTTGAATTTTTATTTTTCTTTTTAATAGCTATTCTTTACTTTTGGATGCTGAAAACTTAGTTCTATAGCAAACCATATTATTCAGTAATAGTAATTATATAACTGAAACTTAGATCTCTTAACTGTGTATTTTCAGGTGATTCTTGTCTTTAAAAATTATTTATGATACAATTACTTTAGGATCTCTGGCTTCTACTTTTAAGAGAGAATCAGAAGATAATTATTCTGAATTGAGAAATTGTCAACATATTTTAAGTAACAAACATTAAAACATATTTATTCTTATCAGTGGTTAGTGAAATGCAAATTAAAACTTAATTGACATACGTTTTTTGACCTCAGATTGGCAAAAAATAAATAGCCTAATAACATCTAGCCCTGGCAAGAGTGTGAGGAAATCACACTCCACAAATTCATTACTCATGGGAATGTGCATTATTGCAATATGTTTGGAAAGATTTTGTTAGAAATGTAGTGATAGCTATTGGAATTAAAACTGTACATGCCTTTGACAAGATGTGTTTATATAATCATACGCACAAAAATAAGACTTTGTACCATTATATGTGCAAGACTGGGCTCTTAAAGCATTTTGAATGGGCCAAACAACAGCAATAATCAAAGAAAACCTTTTAATCAAAAGGAGAATTGCTGAATAAATTGTGGATTTAAAAGTTATTCATCTATTTAAAAAGAATAAGTTAGACATAGTGAATTGGATGAACGTTTATGACATATTTTAAGTAAAACAAAATTAGGTCACAGAGCAATTTGTGTAATGTGCTTCATTTCTTATAAAATGACAAGAAACCTTAATATATTTTTACAGACTCTAGCTCCTGTGTTGTCCAACATGGTAGCTACAAGACACATGTGAATAATTAAATTTACATTAACTAAAACTGAGTAAATATTTATAAATTATAACATCACTTTTTACCCTATAAATATATACAAGTATAATTTGTCAATTTACAACTAAATAAAAAATAAATTTGTAAAGCTAAATACAATAGAAAATATAACTTCTCAGTCTCATCAGCTACATTTTCAGTGCTTGATAATTGCATATGACTAATGGTACCTTACTGAGTGGTAGGGACAGAACATTTCCACCGCCATAGAAATTTCCCAGACTGACATGCCCTAGAAAATTCTAGAAGGGTACAAACTGAATTCATGAAGATGAGGAGCGGGAGAAGATTATTAGCATTTTATTTTACATTGCATATGATTGACTTGTTAAAAATCTGCATTCTTAATGATACAATTTTTAAATCCAATTAAGTAAAAGCAAAATAAGATATTTTGTTTACTTTATTCATTTGGGATGTGTTTTTAGAAGCCTCCACAGTGCTCATTAGAACAATGTATACTATTTCTCTTTGTGATTAAATATTTGGCAATTCACTCAAGGTCTACTCTAAAGTTTAATTTGCTGTCTTTCTAAAGTGACAGGACATGCATATGACAGAGCATTAGAAACACTTGGAGGACAAGAAAATATATAATCAAATTCTAACCTTTTCTTCTAGACTCAACTTTCTTCTTTCTCTGTCTCTCATGTAGCCAAGGACAGAGCTTTGCAAACTGTAAGCATTCAATATTTTTTTTCTGAGTTTTCATATGTATTTAGTTGACAAAGATAATTGGGCTCATATGTCTTATTTTTCTTTCAAAAATGCTGATGGAAAGCATAACTTGAGGGCATTTATTTTTGCTATTCTGCTCTTCACTTTCATTGTCTTCCTATCTAAGCTGTTAACTGATATTTATGAAGAGGTGCTCCCTACAAGTGTAGATGAATGAGTATAAAAGATAAAATGATGCATTCAGAAAAGGGCCCTGCCCCCACTACTTTGCTGTTGCCTCCTGACCAAAGGATTCCCAACAAGGGCTCTCATTCCACTGACATTGCCTTTACATGACATGGATCAGTGCATTCTGTCTGTAAAACTTTTTCCCTTTTAAAGCACAATGCAGTATATATAGGAATGGAAAGTTAGCTGTGATACTAGAGTTTAATCACTTCCTTATTACATTCATTCATGAAAAATAGAACATGTGTATTGCCACAAAGGAAAGGATGTGTATGTTGAGGCATGAATATATCTAATACTAACGCACAACTGTGCAGAATCAGGCCTTTTTTTTTTTTTTTTTTTTTTTTGGAGCAGATGAAAACCAAAGGACAATGGTTCTATTGCATTTGAATGAGAAACAGCCAACAAACCCTCAGCTGATATCCATGCTAGACAGAAGAGGAAAACAAACAAATTTCATTTCATTTTGCAATCATCGTATGTGTGTTTTTTAATAGAAAACAAACTCATGAAACAGTGCCCAATTTTATGCATGTTGCTGCTTTAGTTACTATAAACACTGGTGAACTTAGAGTAGTTATCTGGAGTTTGCTTGTCTAAATATTGATCTAGTACGATTTGTTGATTGTTTGTCCATTTAAAGTAGACTGTACAAAGTGTAAGGTGTGAAGGCTGATGTGGACCAGGATCTGTGAATTAGTTGCAGTGTATGCCAGTAGGGGCTGTTAGTGGTTTTGTTTCTTTTGAATTCCTGCATGCTGATTTAGAGCAGGTTAAAATGAAGACATGTTCCAAATACAGGGCTAATAATAATAATAATAATAATAATAATAATAAAAATTCTGCCCATACAGTTTCTATACTGAAATGAGAATTCCAGAAAAGGACCTATTGAAATCATCTCCTGAAGTCTATGATTGATTAATACCAAAATCTTCTCCAAATCCTGTATCAAGGGCTATTTATTCCAAATCTGGAATCAGGAAACAAATAACAAAGCAATGTTCACACCTAATCACATTTAAGCAAAAATAATACTACAGATTCTATTTCTGTGGAGTCATAGAAAACCTATTTTGTTCTTTTGAGTGCATTCCCTAAGGAGTATCTTTGGGAAAAACTAGAACAAATCTTCTCCCACCATTGTATTTTGGATGTACACAGCAAAGGAGTAAACAAACAAAGCTCTTCCTCTTTTTCTAAACTCTTTTTAGCTGTTGACAGAACTCTGTGGTTACTGAGTTGATGAACACATTGATAAAGGTTTTAACAGGAGTTGTCCATGTTTAAACCCTGTATCTCTCATCATATGGTTGTGGTGTAATGTGGTACCTAGCCCTGAGATATCCTAAGTGATTGGAGTGAATGGATGACTCTCAGCATGTCATATCCTACAGGTTTGGATGATCACCACTAGCATTCCAAGGCTTCAGCCTAATATGAAACGGATCTATGAATGAATGCCCAGCTAGGTATATAATCCTCTGCAGGCAAAATTTATGTTCACTTTAGGAGAATAAAAATCTAGAAACACAAATAGACACATACACGTGTGCACACTCACTCTCTCTCTCTCTCACACACACACACACACACAAAGTAATGAGGAAAAGACATGTAAGAATCACGAAGGTTTTATTTTTTTCGTCTCTGTTTAGATATAGCATCTAACATACCATAAATCATGGCCATTGGTTTTTTACTTAAAAGGTCATTGGATGTCCAAAGTTGCTAACAATGGGCTTTAAGGCAACGTGGTTGATGGACAAGCTAATTAACACATTTTCAAAGAACTGAATATCCATAAGACATATAGCAAGAAGCTAATTTTGTAGTGTCTGAAATAATGTAAAACCAATGTAAACACACACAGTAATACATTATTCTTGCACGTACTGAAGAGAAGGAATGAGTTAACCATAGTACCAGAGTGATAATAAGCAGTCCAAAAATGTATTAAGCAAATTTTGTATGCAGCCTGTTTTAATGAGTGCTTCATGGAATTGAAATAACAAATAGGAATCATTTTCTAACCTAAGATATTTATAATGTACTTGAAGGAACAAACTAAATATGCAGAAAGCATTTTGAAAATAATCACCAAATAATGTGGACTTTTTCCTTGCTACCAATAAATTCAAGTTTCCCAATCCTAAAAATAAAAACTATATCTTCTTTGACACCATAAATTCCTCGTGTTATTAGAAAAAGGAGCACACTAAAACAGAATTTAGCCTGATTAAAACAAAATTCTTAAGGTACTTCTTTTCTTCTCATATTAGTTTTCAGAAATTTGACTCCTATAGTTAAGCAATGTCCTTCAATGCAAATATAACAATGGCTAAGAGATTCATTATGTATATACACACACATACATTTACATTTATGTATTTTAGTGTTTTGATTCATGTGCAACTAACTATAATAGTGTTACAGCAGGTCCTGTTGAGTAATCTCCAGTTTTTTCTCACTAAAGAATTAGTAGTTAGATAGAAGAAATAAGTTCTAATGTATGATAGCAGACTAGGGTGACTATAGTTAGCAAAAACATATTGTATATTTCAAACTAGGTAGAAGAGAGGACTTGAAATGTTACCAACACACAGAAATGATAAATATTAAAGGTGATGAATACCCCAAATGCCCTGACTTCATCATTACACATGCTATGCATGTCACCAAATACATGTACCCCATAAATACGTAAAATATTATGTATCAATAAATCAACAATAAAATATAGACTCTCCCATAAATAAAAAAAGAATTGGTGAGAATCCTGAAGTATTGAAGCACTATTACCTTGACCTGAAGTCAAAGTAATAGTCTTTGTCCCCAGTCTGGTCTGTATTATTTTCTCACTCTCTCCGAATACACTTACACATGCTGTTTGTGTTGGTATGTCCACATCTTACTTTTTGGTTTTACTTTTAAAAGTGTCCATGTACTTTTATAAGTACAGATTCTAAGACATGCATTTCCATCAATTGATTTTAATGAGTACCTTGCTTTCTTTTTAGGATCTTCGCAAAATACTAGTAGTTTCATTTTCTAAATACAGTGACTGGCTCTAGCTTACTATTTCTGAAGTCTAACTGTTCCTTGATGCTTTCTCTTTAATAGCTCTGTTCTTCCTCCCAGATCACTATTCTCCATTATCTTGCCCTTCCACATGGCAACTGGGAAAGGGCATCTATTTAAAAATACTTAATATCCTTTTTTTAAACAACAGAAATATCACTTCTCATGTGAAATAGATGCAGCAAAAGAATATGGCCGGCATGAGCAGTAAATAACACATCACATATCAAAGAAAAGTCCATCTGGGAAATATATCAAAATAGCCATGCACTTTTATTGACATTTCAAGACAAAAAAATAACATGGAACCCCAGCTCTTCTTTCATGTCTGTACATTTGTTTAACTATAGCTTGTGCCTACAGAGGTAAGCCTGGGAAGAAAAGGAAGCAGTTTTCTTTGTTGTTTTTTTTTTATTGCTATTGTTGCTTTTAATATTAGGCAGCTTAGTTATATTTCAGAAATAGAAATCTAGGTAATAAGTCAGGAAGAAAGCTTGGTATTAAAGGATGCAATCTAGCACACTGCTATATTGACAGAAGGTAGAGCGGTCTGGAAGTGTCTGCCAGCACCTGATATATTGCACTGCCAACAGAAATGGGAAAGGAATTAACATTTTTAAGTGCTTACTAAGTGAAGCACCATGAAGTGGTCATCATTACCTTTCAACCCAACTGCCACGTCCTGCCCAGTTTTTCTTTTGCCCTCCCCACACAAAGAAGAAAAATACTTAATATTCATTTACCCAGTTTTGCCTCCAACCCAGACATAGTTTTGTAACCAAGTGAAGGCTATTGGTGTCAGAAGGGATACTACTGGCCATCTGGGAAGGATTCTCCCTGATAAGAGACATTCAAAGATAAATGCCCACACTTCTGCTTTGGACATTGTCATATAAGGCTGTTACAGCTGGAGCTACTGCAGTCAAGAGAATCACAGAGAAATTGACCTACACCTCTGATGCCATCCAGCTCTTGCACCAACCCAGAGAATCCCTGCCTCTGCATTTATTGTTCTTGGATAAAAATAAATTCCTCGAGTTGAAGTCATTTGCTGTTGAAAATTTTGTTTCTGGCGGTCACATGCATCCTAACTGAACAACATTGTGCCAGGTACTTGTGATATGATCCCTTTTGATGCTTATAATCATCCTGTTAGCTAAGCATTATTCTTTTATTTTAGAGATGAGGAGACTGAGGCTTAAAAAGATGGAGGGACTTGTCCAGTGTCCCAAAGTTCTTATGTACAGAAGTCAGAGTTTGAATCCCTGCGCCTGTGCCTGAAGCACCTGTGTATCTCCACTTACTCATTTTCTGCCATTCTATCACATTACACTGCCTCTCTGTACAGCAAATATTGACTGACTGAGTTAGTATTTCAATCTGGCAGGGAGAGTGTAGGCAGGTATGTCTGTTCTGAGACCGTGGAAAGCACCATAAGAAGTAAGGATTGATCACAAAGACAATTTTTGTTGCGAGACATTCAAAAAACTAAGAATAATTTTAGATATGTTTCTTTTAGGGTAAGAAGGCCGAGGCATACGTATTCTCAGCTATAATTAAATGTGGGTTCACAAATAGAAACTTAGCTTTGCAAATATTATTTGGAGACTACATGACTGCAAGACTTTCCACCACACATTCCATCTTCATTAGGGCTCTCTTGCCTGGTCCTCAATCCTCTAGTTTCTCACAAGTTCCACTTTGGCTGGAATGATTTTGAAATCTGCCTCTAGTAAATGCTGAATGTTTTCAAGTCCTCCCGATTTGAAATTCTACAGGATCCCTGTAAAATGGGAGGGAGAGTACTAAAGAAGGGCAGAGGATATAATATTTCTTTTTCAATACTGGTTGAATTTTTGAAGGGATTTGTTTCAGCAAATTCTGAGATCCTGGCAAGTAACATTGGTTTATTTGTGTGTGATAGCCCTTTTCTAGATGATATTTTGGAAGATGTAAGATTTTCCTGGTGGTTTCTCTTTCTCTTTGCTCTCCCAAATGAGGGGACCGCTTTCTCATTAGCCTGAATATTGAAAATTTCAAAATGCCTGTTGGGCCTCTTTTATTTGCACCAGCCATATTCTTACTGCATAGAAGTCCTCCTTTGGAAATTTTTCTTTTCTCCCCCTTTCTTCCTAAACCTCATCTGTAATGCCCTCTGGGCATTACATAATTTGAACTAATGTGTTTCTAGTGATTCAAATATAAATTATTAGATCATGTACATGTACAAAGTTATACATTCTCAAGACCTTACTCCAGAGTAATAACTTCCTTGTTTTGGGAATTTCAGCCCAAGTCAGAGAGTTTCTCTAAGGGAGCCAAAATGATGCCACATGGGCATTTGCTTTCTATACCAGCCAGCCCTACAGTTTGGCGGTGTGTCCAGGAGCCTTAAGACAAAAACCAGAAAGTGAACAGGAAAATATATTACTATAGTGTATTCTTTAATAAGAAATCGATTCTTGGGAAAACATTGGCTTAAGAAAGGCTTTATAAACTAAGCTAGCCACTGTTAATTTCCTAAACTCACTAAATTAACATTAAAAGCAACCAGAGTGGAAAAAACAAATAAACAAATCCGATTCTCACTGTTTCTAGACCAAGTCCCTAATATCTGTTAACCGGAAGTATTGAGGTAATTTAGTGGTCTCTCCACTTTTACACTTACCAGTACACACCTCTTCTCAGTCGAGTCTCAAAATAGCAGCCTGAATTATCTATACCTCTAAAAATGAAATGAAATCAAGACATGCCTCTGCTCAAAATCCTTCAGTGTTTCTTCTGCTCAGTCAGGATAAAGGACAAATTTCTGACAATGGCTTCACGGCCTTCCTTTGCTCTCACCCGATTCCTTCTTCATCCCCATCTTCTAGTCTCTTCTGCTACTCCAATCACACTGGCTTCCTTCTCTTCACAGAAACATCAGGCACACTTCTGACTCAGCCGTTAGTTACTTCCCTTGCTCAACTGCTATCTTCTCGGTGAAGGCCCTGTAATCATGCTATTTAAAATGTCAAAACCCCCATTGACCGAATGCCCCTCCCCAACACTCTGTCCCCCTTCCCTGCTTCATTTTCTCCAGAGCATTCCATAGTAAATATCACATACTGTACATTTGACTTGTTTATTTGTTATTTGTTTTCTTCCTGTTGTGTTGTCCCAGATCCCTGACTAGAACGCAGCTCTGTGAGGGGAGAAGATTTTGTCTATTTATTTATTTATTTTAATGCTGTATGTACAGTGCCTGTTACATATTAATTCTTCAATAACTATTTGTAAAATGAATAAACTTTCCACCTGCCTAGTCAGGTGGAACAATTTATAGTTGTAAAACTACAATATTACTTGGTTCTAAATAACTTAAGCAGAGAAATAATTTATTGAAATGAGATTGGAAGGCCAAACAACCAGACTCAGAAAACCCCTGAGGCTAAAAAACTTCTCAGGAATTAAAGGAGCTGGGCAGCAGGACACCTAGGCATGGTCTGGGGGCATCCTCACCCTGGATCATCCTCATTCATCTTCAGCTAAGGACATGCCCAGGGTTTCTGCACTTTATCCTCATCACCATGAGCAATTTCTAAGTGAAAGTATGCATCTTTGCATACTTCCTCTAGAGCTGGTGTGTCTGTGCCAGGCCTAGGTCATGTGCCAACAATCCAGCCATTAATGGCCAGGAGAGATAATATGTAACCCTTGTCAACTGCCAAGGGGAAGGCTGAGTTTCGCTCCCCACCAAAATGTGAATAATGAGGGATTCTTTGACATATGAACAGATTTAGATCATGAACAGCCAAAAAACAAAACACATACAAAAATGCACCTAATTTTAATCTATAATTATACATAAAAAGTGCCTTTTATTTGCTTTATTTTGTTTTTCTAGTTATTGATTTTAAATTTTCCTAGTGATACAAAATAGGTATATTAGCTCATTTAATGACTTTGGCTAGAGAAAATTAACACTAAGCCATACCAAGGTAATAAAAATTTTAGCCAGACCTCGATTTTTCCCTTGACACAGCCTATAATTTGTGGTCTATCAGTATTTACTCATTAGAAGAAGAAATGAGTGAATTGAGGGCCTTCAATGACCTATCTGATCTCTTCAGAGTAAACTTTTATGCAAAGGCTAAGAAGATATCTTTTGTATTCACTGAATTTGCATAATAAAATGAACTGCATCAATGGAAAGCAGATGCTCATCTGACTAAATCATTACTCATCCTATTCCCCACAGGGAAACAGTCATGCATAGTATTGAACTAGAGTTCAGATTTATTGCACAACTACTTTTATTTGGTATGGGAGTGTTCCAAAGATGAAAGCAACAAGCCCTCCCATCCTACAAGTCCTTTTTCAATATGACTTCTCTATTGATCTCATCAGACTCACTGAATCTGAGTTGGCCCTGGTGACTTGCCTTAACTCATAGAATGTTGTAGAGGGGACATATGTAACTCTCAGGCCTAGTCCTTAAGATGCTGTGCAGTTCCTCATCTTGACCTCTCTCAGAAGCCAGCTACCATGTAAGGAAGCCTGGGTTATGCACCTGGGGAAGTAACATGGGAAGAAAGGCCCTGGAGGATGAGAGGCACCACACACAGCAGTCAGCATCAACTGCCATACAATGTGAGTGGGGCCATCTTGGTGTTCCATCCTCATTTGAGCCACCAGTGGAATTTAGTCACATGATCAGCTCAGTTGATACCTTGGGGAGTAGAGGAACCAACTCTCTGACCCAGCCCATGTGCAAAATCATAACAAATAATAAATTGTAGTCTCAAGCCAATATGTTTTGGAATGGTTGGTTATACAATAAATAGCTCAAATATTTAGAATATAAAACTTTTGTGAATTTAATGACATTAAACTTTTTTTGAAAAACCATTAGGAAATAACTACTTTCCTTTGGGCTAAGGAAGAATGCAGTAGGTAAAAACTGGCTCCAGTTGAGCTATACTTATCAACACATCCCAAGCCATTTCTATCCTAGTTCCAACATCCTGGGCAGGAGTGATATCATCTACTTCCCCCAAGGTCCACAGTAACTTATCTGACCAGTAGATCCTTCTCTAATGTCTGAAGGTGTCTTTTAGCTTCTATGATGAATCAATGCTCTAACAAAAAAGGCAGACAGGACTGCTCTCTGATGATGTAGATGTTTTGACTGCTTTTAAGAGATACTGATTCCTTTTTTCTCAGCCTGCATTCTTCCCTCTCCTTCCACTCCTTAACTCTACAATGGAATCTTTTAGTTATGTATACAGTGAGAATTTTAGTCTAATTTGATGGCATATGCATGGCAACAGTAGGATGGTGGAGAAGAGATTTGGGCACAAATGATTCTACCATGTTGGAAGTACTTTTTTTTTAAACATTATACTTTATAGCAAATTTCACAACAGCCCCAAATTTCAGAACTATTCCAGGTAGCCATTTCAATGAAGTTTGGATATCAGACATTTAATTTAGATTCAGTCAATATTATAATAAAATAATAATGCTTAGTTATTAATTTTTATTTTTTTTAATTTATTTTGAATTACTTAAAATATTTAGTCTCTGATGTTTTGCTATATTTCTTTTTGTTTGTTTTTATTGTGATCAAAACACTTAACATGAGATCTATCTTCTTCACTATATTTCTTAAAGCAAGTTTTATATCCATTGTTTCCAGAAAGTTTCTGGTGCAGCTACACTTTCAGATATTTTTTAAAGCACCCAATAGTTATGTTAAAGAGATAAACTTAAGTAACATTATACATTTCAGTGAGGCCATTTTTTAGAAATTGAACTATGATCTTCATAGTGAGTTTTTGCTTATGTACCTAGATGACGCTAATATCAATTAAGAAACAAATTGTTATTGCACATCTACAAGGCACCAGTTCTAGGAAAGGCAATTTGAAAAATATGTTAGAAATATTAGATGTGGTTCCTCCCATAAAAGAGTTAACATTCCATTCAAAGTAGAAAAGCCTTAAACAAGATATGATGACTGTTAAGAATAAGAAAGTGCCTGGGTTCAGGCTCCACTCTACCACTTTAGGCAAGTACTACTCAGTGCCTCAGTTTCCTCCTCTGTAAAATGAGGTAATACTATTACTTATACCATAGATAATCCATGTAAAGTGCTTAGGGACATAATAAATATTCATTCATGTAAACCTTTATTGCTGTCAGATACTCTCCTGCCACTGAGAAGTGTATGTCTCCTTGGTCATGTTGTTTTGGCTCAGTATTCTACATCTCACTGTCCACATCTGTGAAAAGGCATGTTTCTAATTATATTCTTCGGTGCAGAAATTCAATTTTATATATCACTTTTAGAAAAAAACAAAGAATTACATACTAAAATGGGAAAATTTGTTGGCATGACTTGTGATCCTTATTATTACAATAATTAACATTTTTAAATCATGTAAATATAAATATGCTTATTTTAAAAATAATTTTGTTTTCTACCTTTAAAATAAAATGTTATTCAAAAACCTTAAAAACTGAAGGGATTGGAACTTTTGTTCATTTAATTTACATTGTCATTAAATCTGGATGTCATGAATTAACTTCTAAATATATCAAGATCAATAATTGTACTGATAGTTCAATCAGTAACATAGTTACTTGTTTATTTAACTAACAGGTTTTTATTTCTCTTGATTAAAGCACCTATTACATTTAAACTTCATTTTTTGAGAACATAAAATGATATGTTATGTATTTCACTCTTAGTTCTCCAAAATACTAGTTTTTGTTTTGTCCTATGTTAGTATATTAGATGAACTTGGTGAAGCCATCAGTCATCAGTCAAATGAAAGTCTTAAAAATTGACCTATCAAAACAGTTTTACATGCCTAATAGCTTATTGGTAGAAGTTAATGAGTGGCAAACTCATCTTAAAGGAGGAGTTATAAGTTTGCATACTTTATTAATTATATATCATTAAGAAGTTGTTTTTCTATACTTGCTGGGGTTTTTCATGTTATTAATCCTGGTTCTATTAAAGGAATAAGCATTTCCTCCCAGTGCCTGTTTTGTTACAAATATGTTAAACTGAACAAAGGGTCACTGTTAATAACCATTTGATAAAACGGTTGCATTTATTTTTTACTCAACATCATTTGCTTTCAGAGGACAAATAATCTACCTTCCATGATAATCAAGCAATTTGAAGAATGGGGAGGGGGAGGTGGGTAATAATTTTTTAAATCTTGTCTCTAAATTTAACAATAGTATGTTTCTATTGCAATTTATCACAGAAATTTTCAGAAAACAATTTGACCAAATAACAGGTTGATGAATTAACAACTCTTGTGAGCTCATAGCCACAGAGGTTTACAGCCTGCCATTCTAAATTAAAAGCATACAAGACTGTCTTTGAAGATTTTCTTTACTGGTAAGTTGCCTAATCAAATTTTGCCACATCACTGGTATGTTTTTGTCATGTGTTTTGAAAAAAAAGTAAGAATTATTAAAAACTATATATAATGAATTTAGACAAATTATATTAAAATTAAAATTAAAACGTTTTATATAAAAAACTATAGTTCCTTACAACATAGTGCAAAATAACTTACCTATCTTTTAAAAAAAGCAAGTAAACTCAAAGTAAATCTTCGGGGAAAAAGTTAAAAATATTATTTATGGAAGTCAAGCATTTTTTTTTTGTCCAAAAAGCCCTAGGACAGAAGCATTACATTCCCACAATTTAAACCATTACCTATAAAAAAAAACTACTTTAAATAGCATAGTACTTTATGCATTAGTATGATTAGTATATATGAGTATTATTAGTAGTATTTTTTGCTATTTTTGGATAACAAAACCTATGAAAATATTGGTGACCAGTAAAATCTGGACATGTTTTAAGTGATGGAACAGTAACTTTAAAATCCTTCTGAAATTTATGATTAAAATGAACTATGTTTCTTAAAGGTATGATGGACTATAAGAAGAGACAAGACTTTAAAATGTTTGAGTTACTAAGATTCTGTTCTCTAATTCCAGTTTTTAAAGCTGTGCTGAAATAACATCATATCCATTCTATAGTCTGCAAGGAAACAAAAATAAACTAATGTAACCATATTCTATTTACTTAGACTGTATATGAGTGCATCCATGCTAAGATACTATTCATTAGGTAAATATTTGAAAAAATATATTAATTAAGATAGGGGAAAGTAATCTGATTATAATAATCTAAAACATCTTTAAAACCACTTGAGTTTCATAGAAATTAAAGTAAAGGCATTTTCTAATTCCGTCAATAAGCAAAAAAGAAAAAGAAAAAAATTAGCATTCAGATCAATATATGCTACCTACATGAGAAAATTATATCAATGCTTGCTGAAGAATAAAACTTTTCTATTAAATTATTTTTTTAGATTGTTTCAATTTGCTGGGCTTTTTGAATGGCTTTTCTGGTCCAACTTTTCTGAAACATTTCCCCTACTTTACTGGAGTAAAGTTCAGCACATGTCTATCTTGAATGTACAGTAATACCCTTTACCTTGTCAAAAAAAAAAATCAATAGATTTGAATCTGTTAAACTTGGGAGCAGCTGTTCTGAAAATGCAGCCTCTCTGCTATGGTGGAGATTTAAGGCTATCACACAAAAATAAAACAACTCCAGGTTAACTCAATGGAAAATTGTGTGGGAACATCAGTGCAACAGTAAGCATTGTGACTCCATTATTTATTAAACATGTTTCTAGAAAAACCACTACTTAGGTGCAGAAGCCGGTGAACACTACCAAGATCTATAAAGCATTTCTAACTACGGTGCTTTGCACTAATTTAGTCTCAAGAAAGACTCCAGGTTTCAATTCAATTCTGCAAATATTTGTTGAGCAAGAGCATTCAATATTTGTTGTACAAGTGAACCCAGCACTCTGCCAAATGTCCTGCCTTGACAAAAATCTGAAATCTATATTTAACCTTAGGCAAAACTTTTAACCTAGCTGGGGCTCAATTTCTTCATAAGTAAAATGAAGAGATTGCATTAAACAATATCTAAGATTTTAAAATTCTATGATTATGGGATTGGCTTGGACATAGTGATATCATATTATCCTTTGCTTTTAATCTTTGCCTTTACCTCACCAATAGGATAGACACAGTGAGGCTGCCCATTCCATTTGATGCAAGGTACAGCAGTCATTAGAGGAAGGAGGGAACGTGCTCAGGGAGGCAGGCAAGCACTGTGGTGGAGAGCACGGCCTAGGGAGTGGGACTGTCTGGACTGGGGTTCTGCCCTTCTCAATCATATGATTTGGGACAGTTACTTTACCTCTTGGGGCTTCAGTGTCCTCATTCGTAAAATGGGGTTAATGTTTGTATTTACCTTATAGAGCTGTTGTAAAGATTAAATGAGTTAATGTACGTAAAGCACTTGGAACAGCGCCTAACACAAAGTACATATTCAACAGGACTAGCCATTATTATTCTGGTCCAAGGCACAGATGTCAATGGCCTAGTTCAAATCTAAGCACTAACATTGACTAGGACATCGCTTAGTTACTTTAATTAATAGTAGCCACCTCACATGATTACTCACAGAATTATATATAAATGAATATCTATATGTCATCAGCAACAGTATCTGACATAAAACACATAAATTAATAAGCAGTGGAGCCAGGATTACATATAACTACACTCTTTCCTAACACATAGCAACAGCCGGAACTCAAACATTGGGAAATGAGTTAAAAATGGATGCATGTACAGAAGTCTTCGGGCATTGGATTTTTATATATAACAGGTTTATAAATGTAATTGTAGTGAGTTTTTGCAAAATAAGTATTCAGAACAAGAATGTACAGCCTTTAATAACATGCAGAGTGTATAGTGAATGCTCAATAAATATTACCATTGATTGTTATTAAATCCTCTTTCTACAGAGCTGAAACAGTCTTCCTTGGCTTTAATTTAAAAGTTAACTTTAATATGTAATAAAAGTATATTCAATAATGGAATAAATTTTTACATAATAAAGTTTAAGGAGAAAATAGTTTTCTCATGACATAGTTAAACCTATGTCACAAATATGATACAGTAGCTTGAAGAATTACAGGAAAATTAACAATTATGGCTTAATAAAATCGGATTCATTGAAATGAAAGATATTCTGCTTCAGTTAAGTCCATTGAATCAAATGAATCCCTTGTAGTGTATAAAAGAATAACTGACAAGTGCTTTGGCTGCTAAGCTTCTCTGTACTCTTTGCAGAAACCACTAGTTTTTAAAAAGGAGTTCCCTTTCACTTAGCTAAAAATCGAAGTTACAAGTGCATCAAAATATTGTCTAAAGACACTGTTGCCCATGAATTGACACAAGGTGTAATGAAGGAGGATGTATGTCAAACCCCATTAGTAAATCCTTAGAGAATGTACATGCTATTGAATTAGGTTAATAATATATACAGTCAGTAATAAAGACTTTCTACAAAATTATTTTGTAGAAAGATATTATGTGACATCTACACGAAAGAATTTGTATAACCAAATATGAATGCCGGTTAGGGCAAAATGTCAGGATAAATATTACAACTTATGGTTGGAAGTAAGGCCCTGATAGTGTTAGACTCTATAGTTAGATGCACGATGCTCAAAGAGATAACAAAACAACCATTGACTCCAGCGGCTAACTTTTATTTTTTCGCCTCTCTGCATATGCTGCAACAAGTTCATTTGTGCAATATATAGCACATGCATAGTTAAAATTGGGAGTATTTCATCTGCATGTAACATCTTTCCTTTCCCATTGGGAAGGACTAAAATGGATTAGAAGTGGCATTATTGGGGAGGATTTTTGCTTTCAGCTAAGGTGGAATAAAAGATATTGAATTTACTCTCTTACTGGAAACTACTAACAACCCAGCAAAAAATAAAACATTTATGTTCAGGCATTGGACACCAAGTAATGCAGAACAATGATCCCCAACTTACAGCCTAGAGAGAGTTTTCATGATGCCATGAAGAGAGAGAAAACCCAAGTGGAGCTTAGAGCTCTCCCAGAGTTGAGGAGACAGAGGCAGGAGTATGGGGAAGGCAAGTTGGTTAGGGTTTTGAGGACAAAGTCCCAGAAAGGAGAAAATTGTAGAGAGTAAGAAAGCTCCAGTGATCTGCAGAGGGTCACCCTCCAGTCTTCAGCTCATTACTAATCAGCACATGTAAGAAGGAAATTCTTCAAATTTGTGGAGGCACCACCCAACAAAAAGGAGCAGGGGAACAACTCTTGGAACTTGCAAAGGCCCAGGAAAAGCTTGTCTTCCCAACAGCCAGTGTGGAAAATGTCGCAATTCACAGCACATCAGGAAATCAGAAGTGTATTGCCTTAATGGTGGGACAGGATCAGCCCTAGACTATAGGCTATTCTGTTCCTGCCTAACAAAGCTTTAAAGCAAGGCTCAGAAGATTCAAACTAATTTTTTCTGGTTTTTAATTTTTAATTTTGGCTTTAACTTAATTATACATATTTATGGGGTACAGAGTGGTATTTCAATACATGTATATAAAATATAATAACCAGTTAGAGTAATTAGCTTATCCATTTGTCATTTGTTTGGAGACACTCAAAATCCTTTCCTCTAGCTATTTAAAAATATACAATGTATTATCATTAACTATAGTCACCCTACAGTGCGATAAAACACTAGAATTTATTTATAAATAACTGAATCTCAGATGAAGACTCAGATAATATGTATAGGAATATAAAAATATCCAGTACCCCCAAAGGTAAAATTTACTACCATGTCTAGCATTCAATAAAAAATTACCAGCAATGCAAATAAATGGAAATGATTCACAATGTGGATGAAAACCTACCAATAGAAACATATCCAGAAGTTGCACAAATGATATGATTATTAAGCAAGGGCATTACAACTGTTATTGTAACTATTTTATATAATTATAGACATTTTATGTGTTTAAGAAGCTAGAGGAAAGATTGAACATGTAAACAAGACCCAGATTGAAGTCCTAAAAATATCTGAGGTGAAAATAACATTTAATGAGATTAACAGCAAATTAGACACTCCACAAGAAAAGATGAGTAACCTGAAGACATAACAATTAAACATGTCCAAAATTAAAGAGAGGATAAAAGACTAGAAAACAAATGGACAGAGCATCAGAGAGGTGTGAGACAACTTCCAGTGGCCTAACATATGTGAAATTGGAGTCCCTCAATGAGAAGGGAAAGAAGAGGAACAGAAAAATATTTGAAAAATTATGGTCTAAAATTCTCCAATTTTGATAAACACTATAAACTGATAGATCCAAGAAGGTCAATGCATGCTGAGTACAAGAAATAAGAAGAAAACTTTGCTAAGGTACACCGTAATCAAATAGTTTAAAAGTGGTGATAAAAAGAAAATCTTAAAAGCAGCCAGAGGGGCTGGACACAGTGGCTCACCTATAATCTCAGCACTTTGGGAGGTTGAGGCGAGCACATGAGTTCAGGCCAGGAGTTCGAGACCAGCCTGGCCAACATGGTGAAACCCCATCTCTGCTAAAAATACAAAAGTTAGTTGGGCCTGGTGGCACATGCCTGTAGTCCCAGCTACTCAGGAGGCTAAGGCAGGAGAATCACTTGAACCCAGGAGGTGGAGGTTGCAGTGAGCCGAGATCACACCACTGCACTTCAAACAGGTTGACAGAGTGAGACTCTGTCTCAAAATAAATAAATAAATAAAATAAAATAAAATAAACAAATAAATAAAAGCAGCCAGAAGGGGAAAATACATTATGTACAGAGTGGGAAGAAAGATGAAAGACAACAGATTTCTTCTTGGAAACAATGTGAGCCAGAAGATAGTGAAACATCTTTAAACTATTGAAAGAAAAAAGAAATCCCATGAACATAAAATTCTATAGACAGCACAAATACATTTGAAAAAGGAAAGCAAAAGACATCCTTCGATATAGAAAACAATAAAATGATTGATCATCAGCAGAAATGTCAACAGTGGTTCCTCCAGGAGAAGAAAAATGATATGAGATGGAAAGCTGCATTCAATTGATGAGCACAGGAAATGGTAAATATATGAGTAAACATAAATGACATTTTTTCCTTTTGTTTTAAAAATCTCTTTAAAAGCTAATTGTTTAAAGCAAAAGTAGTAACAATGTATCGTAAGGGTTAAAACACATGCAGAAGTAACATGTAAGTATGCTGTTATATGATACTTACACCGGGCACGGTAGCTCACACCTGTAATCCCAGCACTTTCGGAGGCCGAGGCAGGTGGATCATGAGGTCAAGAGATTGAGACCGTCCTGGCCAACATGGTGAAACCCCGTCTCTACTAAAAATATAAAAATTAGCTGAGCGTGGTGGTGCACGCTAATAGTCCCAGCTACTTGGGAGGCTGAGGCAGGAGAATCGCTTGAACCTGGGAGGTGGAGGTTGCAGTAAGCCAAGATCACGCCACTGCACTCCAGCCTGGAGACAGAGTGAGACTCTCTCAAAAAAAAAAAAAAAGAATAGTATCACTTGAAGGTAGACCATAATAACTTAAAGATATATACTATAAACCCTAAAGTCACAACTAAAAAATATAATGAAGTAGGGAGTCATACATAATAAGACAGCAAATGAGATAAAATGAGAAAAAAATAACATTATAGGTATAGCAAGTGTGAACTTTCACAGTCAAGAATTAGGTTTTCCAAAAATATGGTACTCTTGTCTGCTACTTAGCTCATGGGCCCATCTTACCTTTTCAAGGAACCTTAGCCACATGTAACTTAAAATGCATACTCTTTTAAGCAAATTCAGTCCATCCAAGTCTTTTTCATTCCTTCTTCCCTGATGTGTCCCTGAATTAATCCTTGTTCCTGGGGATATTGTTCTGATGTTATTGAGAGCAAGTTCCTGAACCAGACCCTTGTGTCTGATGTTAACTCTATGTTAACTCTGTTATTACTTATCTGCCACAGGCTGGTTGCTTAACCTTTTTATTTTTTGGTGCTTTTTCACCTGTAAAAAAGGGGGTAATAGCAGCTACTTTGAAGGATTACTGTGAAGAGTCAATAGATAACATATGTAGATGGTCCGAAGGTAGTGAGTTATCTCAATTGATTATTCAGTCAATTACAGATCAAACTCCTTGTCCTACTCTTTCCCCATTTTCACTACTGCACTTGATGTCTTAACTTAAAAAAATAACATGTGAAAGCACTTAGTACAATGCTCTTTGCTTGTCAAGCCCTAAATGAGTGACATTTTTATTCTTATCTGTATATAGTATTCTCTGCTCTGCTGCAGCCACATAACTGTTGATTTTGCCTTTCGTCTTCATGAGATGCCACCAGCTCAGTCAGTAACTGCACACTTCCTTTGTAGGTTTCAGAAATATTTTTGCAGTATTTACAGGCTGGGATGTTCCAGGATTCAGTGGCACAGACTTCCAGTCCAGCTTCCTGGACACTTCACTCCACCACTGCTTCTCTATCGCTCTGTCAGAAACATCCACTCTTCCCAGGCCAAACTCTACAAAGCAGGATGGAAATTCTAACCATGTTTTTCTGGGCCACCAGGACCTGACTTTCTAACTTTCAAACTAATATTTTCGATTGGAGCTTTTTATTTTTATTTTTTATTTATTTTATTTATTTTTTTTGAGACGGAGTCTTGCTCTGTCACCCAGCCTGGAGTGCAGTGGCACAATCTCATCTCACTGCAATCTCTGCCTCCTGGGACTACAGGCACCCACCACCACGCCCGGTTAACTTTTTTTTTTTTTTTTTTTTTTTTTTTTTTTTGTATTTTGTTGTAGAGATGGAGTTTCTCTGTGTTAGCGAGGCTAGTCTCGATCTCCTGACCTCGTGATCCACCTGCCTCGGCCTCCCAAAGTGCTGGGATTACAGGCGTGAGCCACTGCGCCCTGCTTGATTAGAGCTTTTTAAAACTTCTGTTTGGAAATTCAATTCTAACTAGCGACTTCTGTTACTGTAGCTATCCTGTACATGGCAGTCACTGTATGTGGCCAGTGACACTCTGCATACATGCTGAGGGCTATAATAGTGGTAAGAAGGGTGGCAGGAAGAAACCTAGTAATATGGTCAAGGACTGTCTGCTCCCTAGTGGCAGCAGAAAAGTTAATCATTTACTTAACTTTAACTGTTACTAGCAACAGATTAATTACGATGTATTGGAAAGTAATTGGTATCCACCATAGTGCCTTGTTGCCACAGTGAGCTGCTGCCTGTGACACTGGAGCTGCTTGTTACCAAACACAGGCAGAGATATGGAAACATCTGGAAGGTCCCTGAGGTACCATAGCTATTGAGGTGGCCCTGGTTATCTCTGGAAGCTGCAGCTGTCTCTTGATTCAGTCTAGAAAAACCGAAGTCCATGAGACAACAGGTTATCAGTTGAGTTTCGGCTCTGTTATGAACAACTCCATGGAACAATTTCTGAGTATTAGAGACGTAAACATCTTCCTGCATCTTCCTTTTATGGTGATTATCTCCTCTGCTAGTCCAGGAGCCTTTTGAGCAGTGGGACTTACTTACACCTTGACATTCCCTATAGACCCTCGCAGAATCTTAAAGGAAGCTGCTACAGACACCACCACCACTATATATGAAGAAACTATCCCAGACACTGCTCCAGGGGCTCCACAATCATAATTCTATTTAATCCTCATAGGCCACTCTAAGTTATATATTGCTTTCCTATTGATGGATAGAATGATTGAAGTTCTAAGTAGTTGTAAGGTTTGTGCAAGGGCACAAAGCATGGGGCCAACATTCTACCCAAACCTGTGTTACTCTCACACCTTATTTTCTGTCACTGCAATAAAATATCTCCTTCACATAACACCTCTCAGTGGTGGCTGTTTCTGAGCTTGTCTGCTTGCACTGTATCCATACACAAACCTGGTGGTTAGACTGTCTTTGGAGGGAATTTGAACACAAGAGAGTAGAAACAAGATTTGTGGCTATCAAGATAATAGAGGCAAGTAGTATTACCAAATATACAGTCCATTGCTTTAGAAATTTTGCAAAGAACAGTCAATAATAATTAGTTTTTACATACATCTAGTGAAAATATGATAAAATGTTGTTCAAAATTTTATAGCTAGAGGTGAAAAGAATTCAGAGGAAGTTGTCTGAGTATTCCTAATGCTTTCAATCTACAGCAGCCAAAGCCATATTTATTGTTTTCATAGAAAGTAAGAAGTTTGGGATCATAGTTACTAACTTTGGTCTGGAACTTCTGGCCTACGGCCTGTGTTTTAGAACTGCTAGATTGCATTGTACTCCAAAGAGGCATGTGACCAGTGAGCAAAACCAGATGGTGAAGTATGCAAGGCCTATCTTCTGCTGAACTCACTTCTCTCTTATGAAGCCCTCTGACCTCCCTGCCTGCCCCAGTTCTCAGTGCTCCGCTCCACACATCCAGGAGAAAACAAATCATTAGTGTTTTCAGAAAAATTTGTCTGTTAGACGTCTCTGAGACTTTATAACTACCCCAAAGGCAGAAACTCAAAATAATCTTTGGTGATACCGATGACTAATAGTGGTATTTCAACTTCTGTGTCTTCTGATTAAGGGAATTATTTTGGTGCCAAATTATACTCTGTAAGGGGCAAATTGTATTACTAAATCTGCCACTTGCCCTCTCCTCTCAGGTGGCTTTGCTTAGCACTACAAAGATGGTAGAAAAACAGTTTTCCAGTAGCCACATAAGAGACTATGCACAATTCCAGATTTGATTCCACACTAATATAGAGGTGGAAGAGTTGCTAATAGTAGAGCTCGATGAATGGAAAATTGCAAGCTGGTTTTTCGTTTAGGATGGGCTGCTGTTGACCTCGCTGCTGACCTTGCTGCTGACCTCACTGCTGACCTTGCTGCTGACTTCACCGTTTCTCCCAATATATGTCAGCTGAGTGGACTTTTGGCTGCCGGACATGAAGAAATCATATAATCAATTAAGCAATCAATCAACAAATATATAGTGGACTTCTGCAATTTGCAAGGCTCTGTGGCAAATTGTACAAGGTATGCAAAGATGACTTATAAGCAATATTCCTGTTTTTAAGTAGTATGTGACAACTACCAAATGAAGAGTGTACATGATATATATTACAGGAGTCAGAGGAGAAAGCTACTCCTGTGGCTGAAGTTCTAGAGAAAGTTTTGTTTTTTAGCAGCATTTGCCATATAGAGTAATATTATAGGAAAATAACATAATTTTTAAACTGAATACTTTCTTCATGCCAGGCACTGTGTTAAGCTGTTTACACAAATAGTATGCGGAATACTTAGATGAGTACATGGCACGTGGTAAATGCTCAATAAGTATTACTTTTTGTTTTTAATCATTGCATTAATCCTTCCATACCCTTTTAGTAGGAGCTATTATTTCCCACATACTATAGTTGACAAAATGGAGGCAAATTAAGGTTATATGACTTGTATAAGCTAGTAAGTGTGAACATAGATACTGACTCCAGAGTCAATAAGGTTGGTAAGTAAGGCAGAAGCTGGGGGCTGGGGTTGGGGTTTACACCCAAGGAGCACCAGGGGCATATGAATAGAAGTCATAACGTTCTAATCCTGTTCAGGAGGTCAGAAAGTTAACTAGGGTAGAGAACAGGATGAAAAGCTATGAGAGGTCTGCCTAGAAAAATAATTGAGAATGAATTATGATGGATTTCAATATTGACTGGGAAGGATATTTTCAAAATCTGCTTATCTTACACGTAGTAGAGAGCCGATGGTATTTATACACACACACGCACCTGTGTGCAGGCACATGCGCTGACATAAAGGAAAGGACGTTTTTGTGAAGATTAAGCTAGGGATATTATCAGAGCTAAGTTATCCATTAAGCACAGTAGGCACAGTCTCTAGAGCCCAAAGTACATTTAGCACATTTCAAATGTTTTATAATATTTTAAGTGAGAAGGACAAATGAATATAATCGTAATAATTAATACTTAATAATGAATACAGACTAGATTATGTTTATCTTTATAGCAATAGAATCATAAAATCTAATTTTTAATTTTTTTCCTGGACAGGGGAAAAGTGTTTGTGGCCCACAGAAATCATGCTGCAGCCCTGGGTGATATGCTGAGACATCTGGGGGAGGAAATGACTAGGCATAAGTAAAACAGGGAACTACTAAAATCCTTATGCATGCAGGCTTTGACTAAGTTTGTGACCATGACAGTGTAAAATGAAAGCCAAAAGCACTGCAAATAAAAAGCGTAGAAAAGTTAACTGCCTCTGTATGTATGGGCGTTTGGTGGAATGTGAGATTATGAGTTACATCTGGGGACACAAAATGTAAATTTGATTCAAGATAGTGGGCAACTATATGCATTTACTTTCTTTGCATTTCAATGAGGCAGGCAGTTAGCAAATGGGCATGATTATTTGCAGGCGGCTAAAAGCAATACAAGTGGGCCTAGACAGGTTAGCATAAGGACCCATCTCCCCAGTAGGAAGAAACTGTTACAACAGACTATAACAATGAAGAGATTGCAGACATCCTGCTTTAGGCACAGATAAGAATATAACAGGCCGGGCGCGGTGGCTCACGCCTGCAATCCCAGCACTTTGAGAGGCCGAGGCGGGCGGATCACGAGGTCAGGAGATCGAGACCATCCCGGCTAAAACGGTGAAACCCCGTCTCTACTAAAAATACAAAAAATTAGCCGGGCATAGTGGCGGGCGCCTGTAGTCCCAGCTACTTGGGAGGCTGAGGCAGGAGAATGGCGTGAACCCGGGAGGCGGAGCTTGCAGTGAGCCGAGATCCCGCCACTGCACTCCAGCCTGGGCGACAGAGAGAGACTCCGTCTCAAAAAAAAAAAAAAAAAAGAATATAACAAAAAATAAACTGGGTGGCAACTGGTTAAATCCAAGGTGACCGAAAATTACTCACTGTTGATCCTTGGCTTCACTATGCCCCATTACCATAACATTTCTGTGGGGAAGCCTCCCACTCCTATCATGCACCTGATGCCATGACACTTTCTAATTAACCATATTTAGTTAAGAAAAGGGTGGTACCCCCATTCCAGGTGTTGCTCACCCATTTCCTGGAAAGCCCCTCCCCTAATTATAGAATATTCTGTGCCTTCATCATGCTTATCCATATAATACATGAGCCCTGACCACATGGCATGCGGCTCATTCTTTTGAGCATGCATGCACTCCTCTCTTGAGTGTGTACTTGCTTTCACTCTGCAATAGAGTTTCTATACTTTCACTGTGGTCTTGCTTCCAAATTATTTTGTGTGGTGAACACAAGAAACTGAAATAGACTTCTGGAAGCACCAACATTTCTTGAAACAACAGAAGAGATATATTTTTCAAAATCTACCATACTGCTTAAAAGTAAAAGGCTGAAGCAGCAGACTAGAGAAAGTTCAGGACTCTGACTGACAAAGAAAAAATCAAAGCTGAGAAACCTGAAATAAGCACAGGGAGAGTTGCAGAATTCATGTCAGACTAAAGGAGCCTAAGAATAGAAACTCGTCATAGGACGAGGAGTGTAATAATTCGTTTAAAGGATTGTGGAAAACTAGATCAGTTCTATGTAGGGCAGCTGGCTGAAATGTTTGCCTCTGAGTATAAACCTAATGATAGCTTTCAAAACAAAGCAGAAAATCTGCTGGGCTAAGACAGTTGGTAAAATCTCAACATGACCTTGGTGCTAAAAACAAAATGATGCAGATCCTGGGTGACTTTAAACCCACACAGATATGGAATAAGGGCGGGAGAGAATAAATGGCTCAACACTGCAGTGAAATACACTGTAATGTTCTATTTCCTTTCATATCTCAGCATATGAGAGAAGTCCTGCCTTCCTTGCCAGCTTTCTGCCCATGAGCCCATCAGCCAGCATAATATTGCCCTTTCAACTTCAGAGTCTAACCAGATTTCTCATTATTTTGGGGGATGGGCTGGTAAAGAATCAGACATATAAAACTTCTAAGAAAACCCATGTAGGTAACTAATCAACCCAGTCTTCCATTTGCAAATCTATAAGAACAAAATAACTTAGGAAAAGGCAACAGCATTAAAGAAAATCCAATAGAACAGCTCAGCTATAGAAAATTTAAACATTTTAATTCATTCTTAGACAGACTGAAGAGGCTTTAAAAGCCATGAGTCAAGTACAAGCTGCCAGGAAAAAAAGATACAATAAGAGAATTTAAAGTAGAGTTCTTAGAAAATAAAATATGATTGCCAAAAAAAAATAAGTACACAACACATACATATACATATAGGTGAAAAAACAACTGATAGAGAATTCTCAGGCAAGATGGCCGAATAGGAACAGCTTTGGTCTGCAGCTCCCAGTGAAAACCAACGCAGAAGGCAGGTGATTTCTGCATTTCCAACTGAGGTACCTGGTTCATCTCACTGGGACTGGTTAGACAGTGGGTGCAGCCCACAGAGGGCGAGCAGAAGCCAGGTGGGGCATTGACTCACCTGGGAAGCACAAGAGGTTGGTGAACCCCCTCCCCTAGCCAAGGGAAATCATGAGGGATTGTGCCATGAGGAACTGTGCTATCTGGCCCAGACACTGTGCTTTTTCCATGGTCTTTGCAACTCACACACCAGGAGATTCCCTCAGGTGCCTACACCACCATGGCCTTGGGTTTCAAGCACAAAACTGATGGCTGTTTGGGCAGACACCGAGCTAGCTGCAGGAGGTTTTTTTTATATCCCAGTGGTTCCTGAAATGCCAGTGAAACAGAACCGTTCACTCCCCCTGGAAATGGGGCTAAAGCCAGGGAGCCAAGTGGTCTTGCTCAGTGGATCCCACCCCCATGGACCCCAGGAAGCTAAGATCCACTGGCTTGAAATTCTCACTGACAGCACAGCAGTCTGAAGTCAACCTGGGATGCATGAGCTTGGTGGGGGTAGGGGCATCCACCATTATTGAGGCTTGAGTATGTGGTTTTCACCTCAAAGTGTAGACAAAGCCACCAGGAAGTTCAAACTGGGTGGAGCACACTCTAGTACCTCAAAGCCACTGTAGCCAGACTGCCTCTCTAGATTGCTCCTCTCTGGGCAGGGCATCTCTGAAAGAAAGGGAGTAGCCCCAGTCAGAGGCTTATAGATAAAACTCCCATCTCCCTGGGACAGAGCACCTAGGGAAAGGGGCGGCTGTGGGCACAGCTTCAGCAGGCTAAACGTTCCTGCCTGCCAGCTCTGAAGAGGGCAGCGGATCTCCCAGCACAGTGCTTGAGCTCTGCTAAGAGACAGACTGCCTTCTCAAGGCAGTCTTGACCCCCAGGCCTCCTGACTGGGAGACACCTCCCGGGAGGGGTCAACAGACACCTCATACAGGAGAGCTCCGGCTGGCATCTGGCAGGTGTCCCTCTGGGACAAAGCTTCCAAAGGAAGGAGCAGGCAGCAATCTTTGCTGTTCTGCAGCCTCTGCTGGTGATACCCAGGCAAACAGGGTCTGGAGTGGACCTTCTGCAAACTCCAGCAGACCTGCAAAAGAGGGTCCTGTTAGAAAGAAAACTAACAAACAGAAAGCAATAGAATCAACATCAACGAAAAGGATGACCACGCAAAAACTCCATCTGAACATCACCAACAGCAAAGACCATAGGTAGATAAATCCAGGAAGATGAGGAAAAACCAGCACAAAAAGGCTGAAAATTCCAAAAACCAGAGTATGCCTATTTTCCTCCAAAGGATCACAACTCCTTGCCAGCAAGGGAACAAAACTGAATGGAGAATGAGTTTGACGAATTGACAGAAGTAGGCTTCAGAAGGTGGGTAATAACAAACTCAGAGTTAAAGGAGCCTGTTCTAACCAAAGGCAAGGAAGCTAAGAACCTTGATAAAAGGTTAGAGGAATTCCTAACTAGAATAACCAGTTTAGAGAAGAACATAAATGACCTGATGGAGCTGAAAAACACAGCACAAGAACTTGGTGAAACATACACAAGTATCAATAGCTGAATCAATCAAACAGAAGAAAGGATATCAAAGATTGAAGATCAACTTAATGAAATAAAGCAGGAAGACAAGATTAGAGAAAAAAGAATGAAAAGGAATGAACAAAGCCTCCAAGAAATATGACATTATGTGAAAAGACCAAATCTACGTTTGGTTGGTGTACCTGAAAGTGACAGGGAGAATGGAACCAAGTTGGAAAACACTCTTCAGGATATTATCCAGGAGAACTTCCCCAACCTAGCAAGACAGGCCAACATTCAAATTCAGGAAATACAGGGAACACCAGAAAGATACTCCTCAAGAAGAGCAACCCCAAGACACATAATTCTCAGATTCACCAAGGTTGAAATGAAGGAAAAAATGTTAAGGGCAGCCAAAGAGAAAGGTTGAATTACCCACAAAGGGAAGCCCATCAGACTAGCAGCAGATCTCTCTGCAGAAACCCTACAAGCCAGAAGAGAGTGGGGCCAATATTCAACATTCTTAAAGAAAATAATTTTCAGCCCAAAATTTCATATCCAGACAAACTAAGCTTCATAAGCGAAGGAGAAATGAAATCCTTTACAGAAAAGCAAATGCTGAGAGATTTTGTCACCACCAGGCCTGCCCTACAAGAGCTCCTGAAGGAAGCACTAAACATGGAAAGGAACAACCGTTACCAGCCACTGCAAAAACATACCAAATTGTAAAGACAATCCACGCTATGAAGAAACTGCATCAACTAATGGGCAAAATAACCTGCTAACATCATAATGACAGGATCAAATTCACACATAACAATATTAACCTTAAATGTAAACAGGCTGAATGCCCCAATTAAAAGACACACACTTGTAAATTGGCTAAAGAGTCAAGACCCATTGGTGTGCTGTATTCAAGAGACCCATCTCACGTGCAAAGACAAACATAGGCTCAAAATAAAGGGATGGAGGAAGATTTACCAAGCAAATGGAAAAGAACAACAAAAAAAGGGGTTGCAATCCTTGTCTCTGATAAAACAGACTTAAACCAACAAAGATCAAAAAAGACAAAGAAGGGCATTACATAATGGTAAAGGGATCAATGCAATAAGAAGAACTAACTATTCGAAATATATATGCACCCAATACAGGAGCACCCAGATTCATAAAGCAAGTTCTTAGAGACCTACAAAAAGACTTAGACTCCCACACAATAATAGTGGGAGACTTTAACACCCCACTGTCAATATTAGACAGAACAACGAAATGGAAAATTAACAAGGATATTCAGGACCTGATCTCAGCTCTGGACCATGCAAACCTAATAGACATATGCAGAACTCTCCACCCCAAATCAACAGACTATACATTCTTCTCAGTAAACATTGCACTTATTCTGAAATTGACCACATAATTGGAAGTAAAACACTCTTCAGCAAATGCAAAAGAACAGAAATCATAACAGTCTTTCAGGCCACAGTGCAATCAAATTAGAGTTCAGGATTAAGAAACTCACTCAAAACCACACAACTACATGGAAACTGAACAACCTGCTCCTGAATGACTACTGGGTAAATAAAAAAATTAAGGCAGAAATAAATAAGTTATTTGAACCCAGTGAGAACAAAGACACAACGTACCAAAATCTCTGGGACACATCTAAAGCAGTGCTTAGAGAGAAATTTATAGCACTAAATGCCCATAGGAGAAAGTGGAAAAGACCTAAAATCGACAACCTAACATCACAATTAAAAGATCTAGAGAAGCAACAGCAAACAAATTCAAAAGCTAGCAGAAGACAAGAAATAATTAAGATCAGAGCAGAACTGAAGGAGATAGAGACACAAAAAAACCTTTAAAAAGTCAATAAATCCAGGAGGTGGTTTTTTGAACAGCTTAACAAAATAGATAGACCACTATCCAGACTACTAAAGAAGAAATGAAAAAAGAATCAAATAGACACAATAAAAGGGGAGATCACCACTGATCCCACAGAAATAAAAACTATCATCAGGTGCTATAAACACCTCTATGCAAATAAACTAGAAAATCTAGAAGAAATGAATAAATTCCTGGACACATACACCTTCCCAAGACTAAACTAGGAAGAAGTCAAATCCCTGAATAGACCAATAACAAGTTCTGAAATTGAAGCAGTAATTAATAGCCTACCAACCAAGAAAAGCCCCAGACCAGACAGATTGACAGCCGAATCCTACCAGAGGTACAAAGAAGAGCTTGTACTATTCCTTCTAAATCTATTCCAAACAATAGAAAAAGAATGTCTCCTACCTAACTCATTTTATGAGGTCAGCATTATCCTGATAACAAAGCCTAGCATGGACACAACGACAACAACAACAAAATTTCAGGCCAATATACCTGATGAATACTGATGCAAAAACCCTCTCAATAAAATACTGGCAAACCAAATCCAGCAGCACATCAAAAAGCTTATCCATGATGATCAAGTTGGCTTCATCCCTGGGATGCAAGGCTGGTTCAACATAAGCAAATCAATAATCATAATCCATCATCACATAAACAGAACCAATGATAAAAACCACATGATTATCTCAATAGATGCAGAAAAGGCCTTTGATAGAATTCAACACCCCTTCATGCAAAAAACACTCAATAAGCTAACCATTGATGTAACACATCTCAAATTAATCAGAGTTATTTATGACAAACCCACAGCCGATATCATACTGAATGGGCAAAAGCTGGAAGCATTCCCTTTGAAAATTGGCACAAGATAAGGATGCCCTCTCTCACTACTCCTATTCAACATAGTATTGGAAGTTCTGGCCAGGGCAATCAGGCAAGCAAAAAAAATAAAGAGTGTTCAAATAGGAAGAGAAGAAGTCAAATTGTCTGTTTGCAGATAAGATGATTGTATATTTAGAAAACCCCATTGTCTCAACCCAAAAACTCCTTAAGCTGATAAGCAACTTCAGCAAAGTATCAGGACACAAAATCAATGTGCAAAATTCACACATATTCCTATACACCAATAATAGACAGAGAGCCAAATCATGAGTGAACTCTCGTTCACAATTGCTACAATGAGAACAGAATACCTGGGAATACAACTTAGAAGGGATGTGAAGTACCTCTTCGAGGAGAACTACAAACCACTGCTCAAGGAAATAAGAGAGGACACAAACGAGTGGAAAAACATTCCATGCTCGTGGATAGGAAGAATCAACATCATGAAAATGGCCATACTGCACAAAGTAATTTATAGATTCAATGCTATTTCCATCAAGCTACCATTGACTTTCTTCACAGAATTTGAAAAAAACTACTTTAAATTTCATATGGAACCAAAAAAGAGCCTGTATAGCCAAGACAATCCTAAGCAAAAACAACCAAGCTGGAGGCATCACGCTACCTGACTTCAAACTATACTACAAGGCTACAGTAACCAAAACAGCATGGTACTGGTACCAAAAAATATATGTATAGACCAATAAAACAGAACAGAGGCCTCAGGAATAACACCACACATCTACAACCATCTGTTCTTTGACAAACCTGACAGAAATAATTAATGGGGAAACATTCTCTATTTAATAAATGGTGTTGGGAAAACTGGCTAGCCGTATGCAGAAAACTGAAACTGGACCCCTTCCTTACACTTATACAAAATACTTTATACAAAATTAATTCAAGATGGATTAAAGACTTAAACATAAGACCTAAAACCATAACAACCCTAGAAGAAAACCTAGGCAATACCATTCAGGACATAGGCATAGGCAAAGACTTCATGACTAAAACACCAAAAGCAATGGCAACAAAAGTCAAAATCAGCAAATGGGATCTAATTAAACTAAAGAACTTCTGCACAGCGAAAGAAACTATCATCAGAGTGAACAGGCAACCTGCAGAATGGGAGAATATTTTTGCAATCTGTGCATCTGACAAAGGACTAATATCCAGAATCTACAAGGAAATTAAACAAATTTACAAGAAAAAAAAAACCCCATCAGAAAGTGGACAAAGTATATTAACAGACACTTTTCAAAAGAAGACATTTATGCAACCAACAAACATATTTTAAAAAGCTCATCATCACTGGTCATTTGAGAAATGCAAATCAAAACCGCAATGGGATACCATCTCACACCAGTTAGAATGGTGATCATTAAAAAGTCAGAAAACAACAGATGCTGGAGAAGATGTGGAGAAATAGGAATGCTTTTACACTGTTGGTGGGAGTGTAAATTAGTTCAATCATTGTAGAAGACAGTGTAGCAATTCCTTAAGTATCTAGGCCTGAAATACCATTTGACCTGGCAATCCCATTACTTGGTATATATCCAAATGATTATAAATTATTGTGCTATAAAGACACATGCACACATGTGTTTATTGCGGCACTATTCACAATAGCAAAGACTTGGAACCAATCCAAATGCCCATCAATCTTAGACTGGATAAAGAAAATGTGACACATATACACCATGGAATGCTATGCAGCCATAAGAAAGGATGAGTTCCTGTCCTTTGCAGGGGCATGGATGAAGCTGTAAACTATTATTCTCAGCAAACTAACACAGGAACAGAAAACCAAACACCGCATATTCACACTCATAAGTGGGAGTTGAACAATGAGAACACATGGGCACATGGAGGGAAACATCACACACTGGGGCCTGTCGGGGGGTGGAAGACAAGGGGAGGGATAGCATTAGGAGAAATATCTAATGTAGATGACCGGTTGATGGGTGCAGCAAACCACCATGGCACATGTATACCTATGTAACAATCCTGTCTGTTCTTCACATGTATCCCAGAACTTAAAGTATAATTTAAAAAAAGAAAACCTTATATCAAAGGCAAAAACAAACAAACAAACAAACAAAAACCAAAAACAAAACTGATAGAGCTGAAGGTCATATTAATAATGTGGATGATAAAGTCCAGAACCTATAGAAGGCAAAGAGATAGAAAATATTAAAAATAAATAAATTAAGAGCCATGGAGAACAGTGCCAGGAAATTTAATAAGCATCTAAAAGAATGGAAAAAATGAGGAAAGAATAAAACATGGAGGTAGAAATAACTAATGAAAAAAAATTTCCTGAGCTGAAGAAAGATCCAAGTATTGAAATGGAAATTCTTTGATGTACTCAACAGGAATACTGAAATACATGTATATTCAGACACATCCTGGCGAAACCTTTGAATTTCAAGAATAAGCATTACATTTTTAAAGATTCCATAGCAAAAAAAATAAAGCAAATAGCTAAGAATCAGTACTTTTCATTCTTCACAATAATTTCTAGAAGAAATGCAATAACGGCGTCAATGTCCTGAAGGAAAAAAAGATTTATAACTATGACACTATACCCAGCCAATTTTTCTGCAGATATTTGGGTAACATAAGAATTTTATTGGGCATGAAAAGCCACAGATTTTTCACGTGCATTTTCAAGAAAAAAATTAGACAAGATGTATTTGATGAACTCAAAATCAGTTTCAAAATTAATCCAAAAAGAAGACATGGTATATATTGTATACATTCCTGCATATGAATTTCAAAAAATCAGTGGATTTTATTATTAACCCTAAGCAATTATTGACAATTTGGACATCAATTTCAGTGTAGTTTATTACAAAATGAATTCCTAGAAAAAGGGCATTTCATAAAATAAATAATGAATAAGCATAATTACAAAATGATACATGGAAACTGTGGGGGGTGGTTTAGTTGATATATGGGAACAAAATTTTTTGTAAAGATAAAACTGCTCTTAAACATAAAGTCTAGTAATTAAAAAAAAAGTGAGAGATGGGAGAAGAGGCAAAATAAAGGCATGTTAATGATGTTTCTTTTTCAGAAGAGGGAAAATAGTTATTATGTGTCTATTTCACTGAAAAACAAAGTTTGCGTTTATATCTTAAGAAATTAAGACACACAATGAAAATAATTTGAATTATTTAAGCATTTAGAACTTCCAAACCACTAAAAGTGAAAAAGGAGCATGTAAAATGCGTTTCAGTCAGCAGAAGTTAGGAATAAAAAAAGAAGGCCCAAAAAAATACAAAAAAAAAAAAAGGATGAGGATGGGGAGAAAAAAAGAAATTGTGTAAAATGTGAAGTGTAAGATGGTAGGATAAAAAGTATAGTATTAGGGACTACAATAAATGTGAATAAATGAAATTCCCAAGTAAAAAACGACTCTCAAAGTAAATTAAACAAAATTTAAAAAGTAAAAAATTCAATTATATGCTGTATACAGGAGACCCATTCAGAATATAATTATTTTCCACTCAGTGGAACTTCTTTCTTCTTGAGACATTTGATTATGGACTCTGTGTTGAAAGCCAGAGGTCTGGGAGGCAGGATCTAAGGGGCTGTAGATTATGTGTCTGATAGTGACACTCAGAGGAAAACTGATAGCTTCCAAGATAGCTTGTCTTCATAGGAAGACAAGAAACACTGGACAAAATTGGCAATAAATTATATTCAACTACAAAAAATTTAATTAACTGAAACAATATAGCATCAGAATACATAAAAAGGGAGCAAGCTCAGAGTCTTATGAGTAGATTCACTGAAACCTTCAAAAAACAGATAATTCTTGTGTTAAATTGTCCAATCAGTCAGAAATAATAAAAACTCTCAAGTTAATAACAAACCAAATGCAGCACAATTTCATACACCAGAGTCAAGTAGAGTTTATGTAAGGAATGCAAGTACGCGAGTGAGGGGATTAGAAGATGCAGTGGAAAAAGGGTAGAAGTGAGAGGAGGAAAATAAGCAATTGCTTTGGGGGGCTATGGCCAAGAATTTGAGGAGTGATTTAATGAACTGGCTACAGATTTTCTAACAAAGCTCTAATATAAAGTGTTTTTCAATACTGACATTCCTAGGCAGGGTTTGATATGTGAGGACAATTCCTCGGTCTTTGTCAAAATATTATTTTCCAATGACCGAAATGGAGTTCGCTTTCCAAAGGAATTATCAGTGGCCTTTGGTACTGGGGACATATGCCACAAGGATAGGTCAATACATGATTCAGGGGGTATGGTTAAATATGCTCCCACATTTTTGCAGACATTTTGAGAGGGTGACATTTCTTTACTGTAAATTTTAAGAAGTAGAAAAAAGATATACTATAATTACAAATCTCTAATTCTAAACACATAGGGCTACACGCAAAATATTCCTAAATCAAATGCTAACAAAGGCCAAGGTAAGGAGGTTTCCAAGGTTTAGAGCTTAGGTTACTAGGATTGTGGTAGTACTCAAGACTATAAAAGGGAATTTAGCAGATCAACAAATTTTAGGGAGATATTAAAGGGTCAGGTTGAAGTGATCACAGGACTCCAACATGTAAATATCCATTGCAAACAGTTTCATATGTGGGACTGAGGTTTAGAAAGAGGGATCAGTCTGTGTTTATAGGTTTGGAAACTATAACAAGGAAGCATACTAGTCTAACTTGTGAGTATAGATGACCTGAAATAGAAAAAGACAATCAAGAGATGCCAAAAGATACAAAATGAACTTGGAATAAAGACAAACTTTATAGTGGTTAAATTAAGATGAAGGCAGGGAAACAGAAAGATCAAGAAACAAAGACTGTTGCAGACAAAGGAATGAGAAATATGCAAGCAGAGATCTTGAGATTCTAATCTACAGATTGTTTTAATCTTGAAGTTACAGAAACATTAGAAATAAATTAGATACCATTTATTTATTCTACAAACATATATTGAGCACTTCCTATATGTAAAATAGACTAAATGTCCTCACCTTTCTGATGCTTTTAATTTGACTTACAGAGCAGCAGACAAATTGGGTATGAAAAGATAATTTGTTTATTTTGAAGTAATAAGGGTAAATTCCTTCCATAATCATCCCCACATTTCTTTGATTCCCCTCTATGTCTCCTTAACAGTTTTCATCTTTTGGCTCACAATTCAGGCTTTTTTGTGCCAGGAAAAAAAATTCTTGTGTAGTGTATTAGTCCTTTTTCCTGCTGCTGATAAAGACATACCTGAGACTGGTTAATTTATAAAGAAAAAGAGGTTTAATGGACTCACAGTTTTTATTTTTATTTTAAAATTTTTAAAATCAGGCCCCATTTACAGATAAATGGACTTTCTATTTTTAAAGAACTAAATTTGTGTTTGAGTCTGAGCTAAATTCATGGGTGATATAGTAATCAATTTGTAGTCTATATTATGCTACAGACACTGCTAGTTGTCCCCCAAAACCTGTCCCTCTTCCTTAGAATATTATTTTGCTAGTGTTGCCATTCAAAGTACCATGGGCATCGTCTTATAGCTATAGTCACAGTACAATTTAAACTTAATAGTACAATTATAATATTCAACAACTCATAGAATTTTTAATTTGGTTTAAAATTCAAAGATACAATAATATGCTTGTGGCAATTAATTTTGTTTTTAAAATTTAATGATATTTATAAGCCAGTAATTCAGTACTGTATATATACCAACTGCAATGTGTACATGTGTTCACATACCTGTGCAAAAGTATTCATAACAGCACCATATGTGGTAGTTCCAAACTGAAGACTACTCAAATGTTCATCAATAGTACAACCCATAAATAAATTATAAGTTATACAATGGAATGCTATACAGCTACAAGACTAAACAAACTACAACTACACACAACAATATAGACGAATCTCACAAACACAGTGTTAAGAGTAGGAAGCCAGACACAAGTGAGTATGCATTGTGTGATTTATTTATGCAAAGTTCAGAAAGAGACAAAATTCATCTATGGCATTAGAAGTCATGATAGTGGCTATCCGCTGGTTGGGAGTGGAGGGACTTAAGGGAGCACCACAGGATAATCTGAGATTCTGCTAATTTTCTACTGGGAGCTGGTTAAATGAATATGTTCAGTTTGTGGAACTTGTGAAAATTTACATGGTGTATCATTATGATCTATGCATTTTTCAATATATACCTTGTACTTTGGTAAAATTTCCAAGATATATAATGATACATAATACAGAGTATTTATACATATGTAAATATTCCTCTTAGGAAAACTGGCATTACTCACCATATGGAGACCAGGCTATTAATAGACCAATAGCGGGAACAGAAATTTTAAAAGATTGGAAACACTGATAGCAATAGTCAATGAATTCTTGAAGGGAGCCCTTTCAAAATAAAATAATACAAAACTAAAAATACAAAATTAGGCACACAATGAATATTTAGAACAAGAAAGAAATTACAAAATATAACAAATATTTTTATTAATTACCTGTAACAGCTATAAAACTTATTTCTCTACATGTTATAATTATAAATTCTTTGTTTCTTCACATGATATGCTTTATAATATTTGGTAGAGAGATATTAGAAAGATTTGTTTCCCTGTATAGTATGGTCGATGCAATTTTTTAATTAAAAAAACCTGAGATTTTATAAACAGACATATTGTTTGATATTGTTAGTACATGCTTGGGCTTTAAAATCACAGGAATTCTGATAAAGTCTACTTCTTGCAATTCTCGTAAAAGTGTATGATGCTTTTATAATTTTATTCCTTACATTTTTAAATATAATCCCCAAACCACAGAACTTCCATTTTGATTGGAAATTTTAAAGAAGCGAATCTTCCATTTAAAATTATGCATATCTAACAAACAGGAAGAATTTTCAAGAGAACTAGTCTCCTTTCCCTCCACTACCTACATTCTTCCAATCTCTGTGGAAGGAACATGTTTATAATGGAAACACCTTTATGTTAAGACTCTGGGTAAGTCTACCCAACAGCAAGTAGGAGTATTCCTGGTTTTCCTGAACCAGGACAGATAGGGAGAACTTAATTATAGACAGAAGTGACAAATATATCTCGCTAAAGCCAAACTAAATGTATCTGTAACTCAGCTTCCCCGTACTTGGATCTCAGAAATGCCCATGACTACTCTCACACTCTCCACACAAGGCGAAATGTGAGGAAGGCTAAAGTGGATTGGAAAGAGACTGTGATCCCAACCAATTGCTGTTAAAATATTATAATTTTGAAAATGTTACAAAAACAAATGACCATATGAACCCAGTGCTAGCTCCCTTGCTGGTGCCTTGAAAGATGCCAGCGCAAGCTTCATTTGCTTCTCTATAAATTCACCTCTGCTGTTTTTCTTGCCTCACTGGTTGCATACAGCTTCTCCTGGAAGTGAGCTCTTCATCTCTAATTACTGTCAAAACACTACACGCACCTATGGTTGGCTCTTATGTCAGCTGTGATTGTCTCCCCACAGTCAACAACAATCTGTGTGGCACTATTGAAGTTTCTCCTTCAGTGACTTTTTATAGAATTTCATCTGACTGCTTCATAGACAGCCCTTTTTAGCTTAGTGGACAGTAGCTGGTGAGGTATCTGGGTTTTGTTATCGACCATTGTTAGGAGATGACCAGCTGAGCACAGTGGGAAGGCGGCCATTAAGCTTTGTTGCAGCAGCACTGGCTGTGCTTCAAGTTCTTAATGTTTTTCTCTTGCCATCTGATGTAGATTTGATACCAGCACATAGGGTGGAGCCTCTATGGATACACATACAACAGCAGTATTATCAGTGTTCACTTTGATTACACGGTTCTTGATTCAATTCATCACTTGCCCAGACAGGAACTGCATTTACTTACTTGTGCTGACACCTGACTCTGTTTTACACCTTGAAAAAGTACTCAGAGCTTTTATTTCCTTTCACCCGTAATGTAGATTTGCTCAGCAATATGATATACATTTGTGCTTACCATGGATTTTGCAAGCACTTAGATCAGAAGAATACTTCTATAAGGAAAATGTTTACCTAACAAAGGAATTTTTGCAGTCTAATGTTATTCTGTGTTGAGCATCTTCTCTTTCACCTAAAAAAGTAGTTCATTATTCTAAGTTAATTAAATTATTCTAAAGCTTTTGTATGCAGCACAGAAATTTATTTAAACTGGCAATATTGGATTAAATAACATGAATTTATTTTATACTAGCACTCAGAGAATCTTTAGATTATCCAATAGGTTGACAATAACCATTGAAAGAAGCTTTTAAATTTATAATTAAATTAATTATTCTTCTTCTTTAGTTGCACTAACCAAGTGCTTGTACTAAGTATTTCACAGGTATTATTTCATTTAATTCTCAAAGCAAAACTGTAAGGAAAGCAATGTTAGCCTTGTTTTGAGGAAACTAAGCCTCAGATAAGGGATAAATATGCCCAAATTCAAACAAATCTGTGATTCAAATATGGGTCTGCTAATACCAAAGCTAGTGTTTATAACCACTTTCTATCTTCTGTAGTTAGTAATTTGGCCAGCAAGAAAGGATAAATGTTTCTAACTATCTCTTTAAATATTGAATAAGTCAGAATTATTTCCCTATCTGAATGTATGATCGGTTTGGATAATTGAAAAAACTAATTTTTCATCTCACAATGTTGAAAGCAACTAAATCTTCATCATATTAAAAATGCCTTGAATTAGTATTTGGTTTGGTCTGCATTTTTTAGTTAATTAATTTTAGCTGTTCTAATTCCTATTAGGCAGTTTTACTCAAAGTGGGTTAAGCACCTGAGGATCTGTAGGCATGTTTGTTAAAGGAAGAGTTCTAGGCCACATTCCAAACCAACAGAATCAGACTCACTTGAGCTAATGTCAAGAAATATGCATTTTAAACTAATAATTAGATAGTGATTCTGAAGAGCCTATTTTGCCTTTGGATGATTTCCCCTTGCCTTTACCGTGATTATTTCCTGGGTAGTCATTTATATGTTCCTTTAAAATCTGGATTCATAATTTTAGTTAACTGGTTCTCTAAGGAAGGTCTCTCTGGTAGTCAATAGGCTTGTTCACAGATATTCTGGTTCTTCTCCATCGAAGCACATGATGAGATTGCATTTCCCTGTCCCCTTAAAATTAGATGTGGCCATGTGACTACCAGGGGCCAGTGGAAATGCATAGAAGTAACTTGTGCTCTGTTCTCTAGCCCCAGGAACCATCTACATTCCAGACAGTGGAGACTTTGCCAGCCTGCATTCTTGTGTGAAGCTTGGAGGGAGGAGAACCCCCAGCTGATCCCCACTGGATCTAATAGAGCAGGAAGATAGGAGCCTGGGTCCCTCACAATGTGAAGCTTCTATCCTTCCCTGAAAAGCCTACCACTGGATTTGTTTTACATGAATGAGAAATAAACCACTATTTTTCAGATTTTTATTTTCTACTATCCCATATATCCACAGCACTATATCTGACCATAATTATTTACAAACCAGGACTTTTTCACTAACTAATTGTATCAATTGATGGTGACATCCTTCATAAATCTGGGCATTTTTCTTCACTTGCCAACAAAAAGGTAGTTGTGGGTACTACGGCTCCAATGAAGATGAGATAACTGAGATGATACAGGCATCATACATTACATGCCTTCCGGAAGTGAGATGTGACTCTCATACATGTAAGCCAGTCTTCTAAAATGATATTCTGCATTTTCTGGATCACTCTGCCTGCTCATCTACTATCAGTGCAGCATCGGTCAGCACCCTACCAGGATAAATGGAGTTTATAAAGGATTTCTGGCCTCACTCAGAAACAGCTGGACAAATGAGTTTTACGAACTCATCAAAGATCCGTAAGCAATTTATATAGGAACTTCAAATTAGCTGATAAGCACTTTTATTTTTGGTCCTCGTTTATTTATTGCCACTTCACACTGATCAACTTCAACTAAAATGTTGCTGTTTTGTGGCAATCTTCTAATCATCATTTGTGTAGTATTCTGAAGTTGGCAGGGTATCGAGGACTCAGAGTTCAATACTTGAATTTTACATTTGAGGAATGTAAATGGCTAATCAAGAGCCATCCGCTAAATTCAAGTTAGAACTGAGAGCCCCGGACTCTCAGTTCATCGCTCTTTTCTCTCAGCTAGGCTTCCCTAGAAGGCCATTTCAGATTCCTTTCCTCTACTTGAAATTTAATCTTAACTCGTAGCATATACTCACTCAGCATTTAGCTGAGTGAGATCTTTCAAGCTGGGTCCAACTTGTGCGTTTCTTCCAGTCTTATCTCAATATCTCTCTGGCATTTTGTGTGTGTGTGTGTGTGTGTGTGTGTGTGTGGCCCTTCTTAATGTTTTCTCCTGAATTCCTGAAGCAAATTCCTTCTTTAATCATTCTCCTTCTTTTGGGGCATCTGTACTCTCTCTCAGCCAGTTTCTTCTCTCCTGCTTACACATATACCTAGGTCTTTCCTATTTTTATATAGTGGACATATTTTAATGTTTTAAATAAAATTTATTGTACTGTCTGAGCTTTCAAATTCTTTTTCATTCTCGGGGCAGCTTTGCTCAGAAATGGTTATTGCAGATCATTTATTACTCACTGCTTTTCTTTTTCTTTATTTAAAATTTTAGATTCAGGGGTATATGTACAGGTTTGCTACATGGGTATATTATGTTATGCTGAGGTTTGGGGTATGGACCCCGTCACCCAGGTAGTGAACATAGTACCCAATAGTTAGTTTGTCAGCCTACATCCCTCTCCCACTCTCCCTGCTCTGACTGTCTCCAGTTTCTATGGTTTCTATCTTTATGTCCTTGTATACTCAATCTTTGGTTCCCACTTATAAGTGAGAACACGTAGTATTTGATTTCCTGTTTTTACTTTTCACTTTTTTATGGGATTTTTTTTGTCATTCTGTGACACTCTTTTTCTCTTTACCCCTTTTCCTGTTGTTGATAAGAAATATCCTTGTATTCTTAATAGCTAGCATAGTGCCTGGCATATGCTGAGTGTTCTGTAAATTTTTTAAATAAATAAATGATTAAAATAGTAGAAAAATTATGATAACCCTTAGGAAACCTGACTCTTCATTAAACATGCTTAAATAGGAACCAGGCTATGTGTACAAATATAAACATAAACATACATACAAAGGAGGAGCTCAGAAGCTTTTTATGTGCTCACTATGCATTCATCTGTTCAAAGCCCCTTACATGTTATTGTCTCATTTGATAATAATAATAGTTATTATTATTTTAATGGTGACTGCAGATAGTGCTCAGAATGGGTTAGGTACCATTTAGATCACATTACTGTGTATTCACAAGAACTCTATGTGGTAGGCACTTTTTTACCTTAACAGAGACACAGAGAGAAATAGCTTTTGCATTTACACAGCTAGTGAGTAGGAGAGTGAGGACTTGAACTTATGCATTCTGACTCTAGAGTCTATACTCTAATCACTCTTATCACCCAAGGTCTCACAAGTAGAGTGGGTGTTCCAAAGAAAGCATACTCTGTATCCTACTCCAAGGACCATTTCCCTAAAACATCTTCCTTTCCAGCTTCCATGGTAAGTGACTAAATTTTTTTATTATTCAGTGATAATCTTTACAGAAGGGACTTAAAGAACTGAAAAATAAACCCTACAAAGGTATCATGCAAAATAAAAATGATATAAAGCTGTAATCAATCATTGACATTTTAGCATAAAATTATTTATCAGATAAACATTATTGGTCCTTGACTCTTAAGGAAATTGGACATGAGACAGACAGTAAGTCAAGTTTTGAAATTTGGACAAATTAAAAAGCCTTTGAATCTGCTACCATCAAAGTACTCTATACTGTGTGATTACTTCTGTCTTGCCTGATTATGCCTAATTTTGAATATATTCATTTTATTTTAGATTATATATTTCACTTTGCATCATATCATTGGGACCAATGATTTCTTTCTTTAGCTCAAGCTGCATATCTTAAGAAGTATTATTAATAAGCATAATTTAGACATATTTCTCTCACCTGAAGAAATAATCTCCAATTTTATAGTATAAGTCTAGTGGGAAAGCTGTGTCTAATATAGAATTTTGCTTTAGCAATTACTTTTATTTACATCTTGTTTCAAGACACAGCCATTGAGCTAGGTATTCCTGGGTGACAGCCAACCTCTAATTTTTATTTATTGCCTGCGCCAACTTTGTGCTTTTTAAGCTTCTAATAAAGAACACTTGGTTTAAGCAATTTTGTAGTCATCCCTCATGTATGGGACCTCATGTAACATGTTTTGTAATGACATACATCATCTTTTATAATAAAATTTCATCTTATGAGTCTTTCAAGTAGTAAATCCCTTTTGATTTCTCAGCAGGATAAAGTTCTACATGTATATTATACATGAATCATCTGTTTTCTTTAGCAATTCACTGATCTCATAAAGCATGCATCTGGGTAAAGAACTACTGAAGATTTAAACCTCCTTTATTTGGATGAGATATGTATTGAAAATGAAAAATTGTTAAGCTAACAGTAGCAAATTCCATGTATTTGGAAGAGTGATTTCATCAAGCTTTTCTCTAATCCATTGGATTTTAAAACAATTCATAGTTACTTAAGAGTTTACTTAAATAGTAACCCTCAGACAGCAGAACTTTCTCTGGAAGCCTCCCTCAGGAAATAGTCTTGTGTGTTCTCTTCCTTGAATAAAACTAAATGGCAAGATTAGGCAATGGATGGATACTTTCTAATTGTTCACTTTTAGAATGCTAGAACTCACGTTAATTTCAGAGGAACTTCAACTTTCATTTTTCAAGACATTATTATAGAAACAGAGCATTTGGTGAAATGTTAACAGGATATCAAATTATGGATCTTCCCATTTGGAAGTGTTATTAGCCAGAGTTCTCAAGAAAGAAAGAACCAATAGGATGGGTGAATAGATAGATAGATCAGTGAGAGGGGATTTATTGGGGGAATTCGTTCATGCAATTATGGAGCCAGAAATGTTCTACAATAGGCCCTCTGCAAGCTGGAGATCCACGATGCTGGTAGCGTGGCTCAGTCCAAGTCTGAATGCCCTGGAACAAGCAATGCTGTAACTCAGTTTGAGGCCAAAGACCCAAGAACCCGAGTATGGAGAAGCACTGAAGTCCAAAGGTCAGAGAGCCTCAGGTTCTGGTGATGTCCAAGAGTAGGAGGAGAAGGATGTCTCAGCTCCAGGAGACAAAAAGAGAGAAAAATCATATTTCCTCTGCCTTTTTTGTTCTATCAGGCCCCTAGCTGATTGGATGGTGCCTCCCCACATTAAGGGTGAATCTTCCCTACTCAGTTCACAATCACACACACCTATCTCCTCTGGAAACACCCTCACAGACATATCCAGAAATAATGCTTCAACAGTTCTCTAGGTATTCCTTAATCCAGTCGAGTTGACATCTAAAATTAACTGTCACAGGGAAGTTAGGCCAAGATCCCAAAGCTGAGAACAGTAAGTGCCAAGTACTCCCACGGTTAAGGCAAGATGGGCCATTTATAAAGGAAGTGGCAAAAAAAAAAAAAATGTTCTGCCAGTGTTGGTTCAGATTGTATCAAAGAATAATTCAGTAGGAGGTAAGGGATGGGAGGGTGTCTTAGATCTGGCTGTTACAACACATTACAATAGACTGCGTGACTAAAGTAACAAACATTTATTTCTCATGGTTCTGAAGGCTGGAAGCCGGAGATCAGGGTGCCACCACAGTTAGGTTCTTGATGAGGGTCTTCTTCCTAGTTATGTTTTTGCATGGCCTTTCCCTGGTGTGTGCATGCAGGAAGAGCTCTCTCTTTCTTCTTCTTCTTTTTTTTTTTTTTTTTTTTTTTTTGAGATGGAGTCTTGCTCCATCACCAGGCTGGGGTGCAGTGGCACAATCTCGGCTCACTGCAACCTCTGTTACCCAGGTTCAAGCAATTCTCCTGCTTCAGCCTCCTGAGTAGCTGGGTTTACAGGTGTGTGCCACCACGCCCAGCCAACTTTTGTATTTTTAGTAGAGACGGGGTTTCACCATGTTGGTCAGGCTGATCTCGATCTCATGACCTCGTGATCTGACCGCCTCGGCCTCCCAAAGTGCTGGGATTACAGGCATGAGCCACTGTGTCCGGCCTCTTTCTTCTTTTTATAATGGCATTCACCTCATCATGGAGGTCTCACCTATGTGACCTCATCTACACCCTCAAAAGACCCACACCTCCAAATACCATTATATTGGGAATTAGGGCTTCAACATATAAAGTTTGCAGTGACCCACACATTCAGTCCATAACAGAGAGTAACGGTTATTTCAAGAAAGAGTTGCCCATGTTCTTGGATATTTGAATTTCATCCATTAAGAAGGTCAAAGTAGGCAGACTTCAAGAGGGCCACTCAAAGTCTTAGCCCATGAGCTCTGAAGTTCAGAAAAAACACAGAGACTAGAGCTTGACTTCCATCTGGAAAAGTTGAACAATTGGCAAGTTTTGCCAAAAATTAATGGAAGGGGAAAAATTTGAGTAGGAGCAAGGTGAGCCTCCCTGCATGGTGGAGCACAGGTATATCTTTTTTATGGCCCAGAGATGACCCATGGTAGGTAGACTGCCATAAGCCCTCTTGACAGGTTTTACCCAAGAAGACCACCTAGAGGGCTGAACCCTAGTGGAATAGGATACATTGCCAGAGTCCGGAGGTTTGAGAGCAATCATATCTGGATAGCTAAAGGAAATACGAGTGGTATAGTATAGCAACTGAACATCTGAGAGAGAAGATCTCTAAGGGACCCACGGAGGCACCCCATAAAAGAAGCATTTGGTCATCTAGCTCACCCAGAAGGTACCAATATCTGATTACATTAGGGGAAAAAAAGGAAATTATGCTTTCACATATGACGGTGTTTTTAAAAGCTATGGCAGCTTCTGGAGAGTTTACCCATGAGTGCAAAAGAATAAACCAACAGAGCGACTTTAATGGGGATGGTAAGAAACAATAAAGTTGCCTTCTGTTTGAGCCCTAGTGAGTGCAGCTCGATGAACTAGTTGAAATCATACAGATTTTAAGGGAAGAGAGTTGGAACTCTGTGATTATCCAAAAATGAGTCTCAGAAACATTGCAATGTTTCTTTTCACAAAGGTCCTTAAGATAAGATAAAGAAAATTAATTTTAAGAAAGCCCCATTGAGTTTTAGAAGCTGAAGTAAAGTATTCAACCAGAATATTAGAGCTGAAAAGGAAGAGATAATTTTTATTGGATATTAACTAGAAAGGAGTAGATATCAAATAATATTTCTTACCCTGAATGTTGTCTTGAAATAGTCAAGCATGAAACCAAAAACATAGGCGATAGAATTAAGTGTTTATTTCCTATTACTACCATAACAAATTTAGTGGCTTAGGCAATACAAACATGTTATCTCACAGTTCTGTGGGTCAGAAATCCAATGGGCTCATCTGGTTCCCCTGCTCCAATTTCACAGGTCCAAAATCAAGGTGTTGGCAGGGCTGTGTTTCTCTCTTGAGACCCTAGGACAGAATCCTCTCTTACTTATTCGGAGTGTTAGCAGAATTCAGTCTTGCAGTTCTATGACTGAAGTAATGGTTTTCTTCCTGGCTGTCAGCTGAGAATCAACTCCAGCTTCTGAAGAATGTTGTATTTCTTGCCTTGTGGCCCCCTTCTTTCAGCTTCAAAGTCAGAAATGGCAGGGCAAGTACTTATTATGCTTCAGATCTCTTCTACATCTTCTATTGTGGCATTTCTCTGGCTGCCTCCAGGAAAGGTCTCCTTTTAAAGACTCAAGTGGTTTGATTGAGCCCACCTAGATAATCCAGGATAATCTCTCCATATCAGGGTTTACACCCTTAATCACATCTGCAAAACTCCTTTTGCTGCCATTTGAGACAACATATGCACCAGTTCTAGGGATTAAGCTATGGACATCTCTGGGGAGACATTTTTCTGCCTACCGTGGTGTTAATGCCTGACAGCCTCTATTTTCAAGATGAAGTAAGAAATTAAGTCTTTAGGTGATAGTGAGGTAGGGAGTGGTGTAATTGAAGGATTGAAAGAAGGAATAAGATCCAGAATAGCTATAGGGATTAGTGAGAATAGAAATAAATTAAGAGTTAAAAGCAAAAACAAAAACAAAAGTTCCTGTGTTGGAAATAAGAGATTGTGAGAGACTTAGGCACCCTCTGGCAAACCAAGTATAAATAAGAGTCATGTAATTATTACACTTGCTGATCTGAGAAGGCACTGGTAATTCAAGATTGTATATATATATGTATAATAGTATATATGTATACTATTATACATATAGCTCTTAGATATATAATTATATATATACGTGTATGTACATATAGCTCTTAAATATATATTTATAAATATATATTTATAGCTCCCTTGGAAGTTCACATGTGGTTAAATAATTTGCATTTGAAATTTTTCACTTCTTTCTTAAATAATCCTAATCATTAACTTTCAATTAATATGCAAATATCATTGCTGAAGAATATAAGTAATTTGATACTGTTTTCCACTTGATAACCAGAGCACTGATTTTCAGCAGATGGAGAAACTACCAGGGGTTATGGAGCGTGTAAGGTGGGATAGAAGTCTCATAACCAAGAGGCTTATGAGATTAGAAAAAAATATATTTAATACATAGTTTAATATTACGTTTTAGAAAAGAAAAAATGCTTATACATTTTGAAATATAGACTGAGTATTAGTTGAGATACATTTTTTAAAAAGTTTTTAAAAAGACTGAAAACACTGATTTAGAGAAGAACCTCTAGATTTCTTTAAGTTTTATTTGTTTGGCTTGGAATATATAGGCCTCTCTGTGTGAAGTCTGTGTCATAAGGCTAGGATGATCCTTTCTTAAAGTTTTTTTTGTGTGTGTGTGTGTGTGTGTCTGTGTGTGTGTGCATACGCATATGTATGTATGTGTTTGTTTTTGCTCATCGCTTATTGCTTTTTTTTTAATTTTCGGGAACCATAGTCTTTGTTCTGCCACTGGATCATGGTTGGGTACAATTAATGATTGCTTTTGCCTACCCTAACAGATCTCCCTCAATTCAAGTTGGCATAGTATATAGCTAATGTTGGAAGTTTCTTTGATCTCAGCCACTCCAGACCAATAGTTATGGTTTGGCCTACAATGGCTGACTATAGAAACATAAACTAAAAAGAGCTATGAAGTCAGTGTTCAATATGGTACACCATTGAGAACTGAACAGGACCCTGAGCATCAAGTGCATGTCTGTGGCAAAGAAAAGTAAAAAGTAGAACTATCTAAAATAGCAATATCATGGAGTATAGAGAAATAATGGCTTTACCAAACAGTTCTCTCTTATTATTCTTGATTAAATAGAAACTGGCTGGGCATGGTGGCACATGCCTGTAGTCCCAGCTGTGGCATTCAGGAGGCTGTGGCTGGAGGATTGTTTGAGCCCAGGAGTTCAAGGCCGCAGTGAGCTATGCCTGGGTGACAGAGCAAGACTCTGTGTCTAAAAAAAAAAATTTTTTTTAAGTACTGTAAATATATAGACTCCAAAGTGTAAATATGCTGAGGAATCCCTAGCCTCTTTGCACCCCACACAAAGACATTGCAATCATGGTAGAGGAACAAAATGCAGATTCCCAAGTGCTCTTCTAAACTCCCTTTACTTCCCAGATAAATAATGGAAGAGAAGATTAAAATGATCACCTTTCATTCTATTACACTTATCTCAACATTTCAAATTGAATTTCTAGGTTTTTAATCTTTAACAGAGCAGACTCTCCTTCTTCTTCATCTTCTCCTTCCCTTATCCTTCCTTCATGGTAAGTTCAGTCCCAAAGCCATTAGTGGGGTTGCTCAAGGCAGACATCTATGCCAGAGTTGGGGTAACTGCAATGGCCCAACATTGCAGAGGGCAAGTGGGTGAGGAGGGCTTCCCTGTGGAGGGACAACCTGTGCAAGGTGTAGAGCCCTAGCAGGCTGAGGAGGGCATCACCCAGGAAGGCAGCCCAGAACAGGGTATCAGAGTGTGAGCAATTTAAGGTGGTGTCTATAGGGGGAGTGCCTGGACACACAGTGCCAGAGTTTGCACAGAAGTGTTATGCTTGATGGGAATGGTCAGTCCCCAGGTGGGGTAAGGAAGGCATTCTCATGGTGAGGCAACTCAATACAGGTATGTCAAAACTCTGGTAGTGTAAAGACGAGGTCCATACATAGAGGTGAGCTGATATGGGGTATTGAAGTCTGGGGAGACTATGGAGGGTATCTATGCAAGAGATCAGGGCAGGCTGACCTGAAGTGTCAGGACCCAGGCAGGGTAAGGGAGTGTCCTTGCAAGAGAGCAGCCCAGCCCAAACAAGGTGAGGAGATCAAGGTGAGAAAGTTCCCCAATAAGGAATGTCAGAGCCCAGGCAGATGAGCAGAGTGTACACACAGGGTGGGAGGGGGTCTGGTACAGGAAAGCAGTGAAGAGTATATACATGGGGGAAGAGAGTGACAGCAGTTGTGGGAGATTAGTTACTAAAAGATTGAGCAAATAAGTAAATGTATGAAGATAATAGAAACTATATCTCTCAACTTTGGAAAAGGAAATTCCAAGTATGGAAAAGAAAAATAAAAACAACTAGAAGGTAAAAGGAGCTTTGCTTTGTTAGATTGGAATTAGAGATATCAGTGCAAACTCATGGTTTTCAATCTATATAAATAGATGAAGATACATCTGTAGTATATAGTATAAATATAAATGTTAATGTGAGTGTGTGTGCACGTGTGTGTTGGGAGGGCCCAGGAGTAGCTCTACATCAATAACCTCAAGGATTCCTAGAACTCAGATCCCTATACCATTCTCCATCATTTGGCTGATTCCAAGGCTAGGGTAGGGAATCAGCAAAATGATTCTGGAACATCTTTTTGTGCCAGAAAGAAAGTGCTGATAGAACCATGTGGACACATTAAAAGGAAAGAGAAGCCAGTATTAAGGGCCTCACACTGGCCAAATGGAAGACAATTTGAACATAAAATAAAAGTCATGGATTATGAATCTTGAATAAAATAGGAAACCATGAGTATATATTCTTTAATGGGGGACAGGATATCTATAGACTTAAAGTAATTCTCTATAGAATACTTATTAATGACAAAGGGAAATCAGTAATTTTACTAATTTTGGAGAACTGTGGCAGAAACCCTCTTAACCAAGTGATTAGAGAACAAGATTGTACATAGGACAAATTGAATTGTGCGTTATCCAATAGGATGTAATGAGAAGAGCACAACCTTTCTGTAACATTCTTGCCAAAGATGCATAAGCTGAATGTAATAAGGAAACACTGGAAACCCCAAATTTAGGGTTATTCTACAAAACACCTAGCCTGCAATCTTCAAAAGTGTCAAGGTCATTAAAGTCAAAGAAAGGCTGAGGAACTGTTCTAGATTTAGAAGCCTCAGGAGACACATCACTGAAATGCAGAGTGTGATTCTGAACTGGATTCTTTACCCTTGAGGATATTTTTGGGATGACTGGTGAAATTTGAATGGATTAGATAATAATGGTGTGTATCAATGTTAATTTCCTGATTTTGATGGTTATCTTATGGTTTTGTAGAATAATTTCCTTGTTTGTAGAAATTACAAACTGTTATCTGGTAGTGATATCCCCTTAAAAAAAAAGAAACCACCCACTGTATTAGTTTCCTAGAGCTGCTGTAACAAATTACCTAAAACTGCATGAAGTAAAATAACAAAAATTTATTCTCACAGTTTGGGAGGTCAAACGTCTGAAATCAAGACATCAGTGGAGTTGGTTCCCTCTGAAAGGTCCAAGGGAGAATCTATTCCCTGCACCTCTCCTAGCTTCTGGTGGTTCTGGCAATTCCTCGCATTCTTTGGCTTACAGACATATCACTCAAACCCCTGCCTCCATCTTCACTTGGCTCTCCCCTGTGTCTGTTTATCTCACATCTTTCTTTTCTCTTATAATGATACCAGCAATCGTATTTTTTATTACACTTTAAGTTCTGGTGTACATGTGCAGAACATGCAGGTTTGTTACATAGGTATACATGTGCCATGGTGGTTTGCTGCACCCATCAACCCATCATCTCATTAGGTATTTTTCCTAATGCTATCCCCCACTAGCCCCCAATCCCCCGACAGGCCCCTGTGTGTGATGTTCCCCTCACTGTGTCCTGTTCTCATTGTTCAACTCCCACTTATGAGTGAGAACACGTGCTGTTTGGTTCTCTGTTATGTGTTAGTTTGTTGAGAATGATGGTTTCCAGCTTCATCCATGTCCCTGCAAAGGACATGAACTCATCCTATTTTATGGCTGCATAGCATTCCATGGTGTATTTGTGCCACATCTTCTTTATCCAGTCTGTCATTGATGGGCATTTGGGTGGTTCCAAGTCTTTGCTATTGTGAATAGTGCTGCAATAGACATACGTGGGCATGTGCCTTTATAGCAGAAAAATTTGTAATCCTTTGGGTACATATCCAGTAATGGGTTTGCTGGGTCAAATGGTATTTCTGGTTCTAGATCCTTGAGGAATTGTCACACTGTCTTCCACAATGGTTGAACTAATTTACACTCCCACCAAAAATGTGAAAGCATTCCCATTTCTCCACATCCCTTTCAGCGTAAAAGCATTCCCATTTCTCCACATCCTTTTCAGCGTAAAAGCATTCCCATTTCTCCACATCCTCTCCAGCATCTATTGTTTCCTGACTTTTTAATGATCACCATTCTAACTGGTGTGAGATGGGATCTCATTGTGGTTTTGGTTTGCATTTCTGTAATGACCAGTGATGAAGAGCTTTTTTTTTTTTTCATAATTTCGTTGGCCACATAAATGTCTTCTTTTGAGAAGTGTCTGTTTATATCCTTTGCCCACTTTTTGATGGGGTTGTTTGTTTTTTTCTTGTAAATTTGTTCAAGTTCCTTGTAGATTCTGGATATTAGCCCTTTGTCATATGGATAGATTGCAAAAGTTTTCTCCCATTTTGTAGGTTGCCTGTTCACTCTGATGACAGTTTCTTTTGCTGTGCAGAAGCTCTTTAGTTTAATTAGCTCTCATTTGTCAATTTTGGCTTCTGTTGCCATTGCTTTTAGTGTTTTAGCCATGAAGTCTTTGCCCATGCCTATGTCCTGAATGGTATTGCCTAGGTTTTCTTTTAGGGTTTGTAAGGTTTTAGGTCTTATGTTTAAGTCTTTAATCCATCTTACATTTAAGTCTTTAATACACTCAGGATAGATTATGCATCTATTGTATAAGGTGTAAGGAAGGGTCCAGTTTCAGTTTTCTGCATATGGCTAGCCAGTTTTCCTAACACCATTTATTAATAGAGAATCCTTTCCTCATTGCTTATTTTTGTCAGGTTTGTCAAAAATTAGATGGTTTTAGATGTGTGGCATTATTCCTGAGGCCTCTGTTCTGTTCCATTGGTCTATATATCTGTTTTGGTACCAGTACCAGGATGTTTTGGCTACTGTAACCTTGTAGTATAGTTTGAAGTCAGACAGTGTGATGTCTCCAGCTTTGCTCTTTTTGCTTAGGCTACACAGGCTCTTTTTTGGTTCTATATGAAATTTAAGGTAGTTTTTTCAAATTCTGTGAAGAAAGTCAATGGTAGCTTGATGCAGATAGCATTGAATCTATAAATTACTTTGGGTAGTATGGCCATTTTCATGATATTGAGTCTTCCCATCTATGAGCATAGAATATTTTTTCCATTTATTTGTGCCCTCTCTTATTTCTTTGAGCAGTGGTTTGTAGTTCTCCTTAAAGAGGTCCTTCACATCCCTTGTAAGTTGTATTCCTAGGTATTTTATTCTCATTGTAGCAATTGTGAATGGGAGTTCACTCATGATTTAGCTCTCCATTTGTCTATTATTGGTGTATAGGAATGCTTGCGATTTTTGCACATTGATTTTTTATCCTGATACTTTGCTTTCAGCTTAGTAATCAGAAGTTGCATATCAGCTTAATAAGATTTGGGGCTGAGAAGATGAGGTTTTCTAAATATACAATCATGTCATCTGCAAACAGAGACAATTTGACTTCCTCTCTTCCTATTTGAATACCCTTCATTTCTTTCTCTTGCCTGACTGCCCTGGCCAGAACTTTCAATACTATGTTGAATAGCAGTGGTGAGTGAGGGCATCCTTGTCTTGTCCCAATTTTCAAAGGGAATGCTTCCAGCTTTTGCCCATTCAGTATGATATTGGCTGTGGGTTTGTCATAAATAGCTCTTAATATTTTGAGATACATTCCATCAGTACCTAGTTGATTGAGAGTTTTCAGCATGAAGGGGTGTTGAATTTTGTCAAAGGCCTTTTCTGCATTTATTGGGATAACCATGTAGTTTTTGTCACTGGTTCTGTTTATGTGATGGATTACATTTATTGATTTGCATATCTTGAAACATCCTTGCATCCCAGGGATGAAGCTGACTTGATTGTAGTGGATAAGCTTTTTGACATGCTACTGGATTCAGTTTGCCAGTATTTTATTGAGGATATTCACATCGATGTTCATCAGGGATATTGGCCTGATTTTTTTTTTAATGAGTTAGGGAGAAGTACCTCTTTTTCTATTGTTTGAAATAGTTTCAGAAGGAATGGTACCAGCTGCTCTTTGTACCTCTGGTAGAATTTGGCTGTGAATTCACCTGCTCCCAGGCTTTTTTTGGTTGGTAGTCTACTAATTACTGCCTCAATTTCAGAACTTGTTATTAGTCTGTTCAGGGATTCAACTTCTTTCTAGTTTAGTCTTGGGAGGGTGCATGTGTCCAGGAATTTATTCATTTCTTCTAGATTTTCTAGTTTATTTGCATAGAGGTGTTTACAGTATTCTCTGATGGTAGTTTGTATTTCCGTGGCATCACTGGTGATCTCCCCTTTGTCATTTTTTATTGTGTCTATTTGATCCTTTTCTCTTTTCTTCTTCAGTAGTCTGGCTAGTGGTCAATCTATTTCGTTAATATTTTCAAGAAACAAGCTCCTGGATTCATTGATTTTTGAAGGGTGTTTTGTGTATCTATCTCCTTCAGTTCTGCTCTGATCTTAGTTATTTCTTGTCTTCTGCTAGCTTTTGAATTTGTTTGCTCTTGCTTCTCTAGTTCTTATTATTGTGATATTAGGGTATTGATTTTTGATCTTTCCCGCTTTCTTCTATGGGCATTTAGTGTTATAAATTTCCCTCTAAACACTGCTTTAGCTGTGTCCCAGAGATTCTAGCATGTTGTGTCTTTGTTCTCATTGGGTTCAAAGAACTTCTTTATTTCTGCCTTAACTTTGTTATTTACCCAGAAGTCATTCAGGAGCTGGTTGTTCAGTTTCCGTGTAGTTGTGCAGTTTTGAGTGAGTTTCTTAATCCTGAATTCTAATTTGATTGCACTGTGGCCTGAGAGACTGTTTGTTATGATTTCTGTTCTTTTGCATTTGCTGAAGAGTGTTTTACTTCCAATTATGTGGTCAATTTTAAAATAAGTGTGATGTAGTGCTGAGAAGAATGTATATTCTGTTGATTTGGGGTGGAGTGTTCTGTAGATGTCTATTTGGTCCACTTGGTCCAGAGCTGAGTTCAAGTCCTGAATACCCTTGTTAATTATCTGACTGGTTGATCTGTCTAATATTGACACTGGGGTGTTAAAGGGGTTATTAGGTCCACTTGGTCCAGAACTGAGTTCAAATCCTGAATATCCTTGTTATTTTTCTGTTTCATTGATCTGTCTAATATTGAAAATGGGGTGTTAAAGTTTAAGTCTCTTTGTAGGTCTCTAAGAACTTGCTTTATGAATCTGGGTGCTCCTGTATTGGGTGCATATAGTTGGCTCTTCTCATTGCATTGATCCCTTTACCATTAGGTAATGGCCTTTTTTGTCTCTTTTGATCTTTGTTCGTATAAAGTCTGTTTTATCAGAGACTAGAAGTGCAACACCTGTTTTTTGTTTGTTTGTTTGTTTGTTTGTTTTGCTTTCCATTTGCTTGGTAAATCTTCCTCCATCCCTTTATCTTGAGCCTATGTTAGTCTTTCCATGTGAGATGGGTCTCCTGAATACAGCACACCGATGGGTCTTGGCTCTTTATCCAATCTGCCAGTCCATGTCTTTTCATTGGAGCATTTAAACCATTTACATTTAAAGCTAATATTGTTGGGGGTGAATTCGATCCCATCATTATGATGCTAGCTAGTTATTTTGCCCATTAGTTTATGTAATTTCTTCATAGCGTCAATGGTCTTCACAATTTTGTATGTTTTTGCAGTGACTGGTACCAGTTTTTCCTTTCCGTATTTAGTGCTTCCTTCAGGAGCTCTTGTAAGGCAGGCCTGGTGGTGACAAAATCTCTCAGCATTTGCTTATCTGTAAAGGATTTTATTTCTCCTTCGCTTATGAAGCTTAGTTTGGCTGGACATGAAATTCTGGGTTGAAAATTGTTTTCTTTAAGAATGTTGAATATTGGCCCCACTCTCTTCTGGCTTGTAGAGTTTCTGCCGAGATATCCGCTGTTAGTCTGACGGGCTTCCCTTTGTGGGTAACCCGACCTTTCTCTCTGGCTGCCCTTAACATTTTTTCCTTCATTTCAACTTTGGTGAATCTGACAATTATGTGTCTTGGAGTTGCTCTTCTCAAGGAGTATCTTTGTGGCGTTCTCTGTATTTCCTGAATCTGAATGTTGGCCTGCCTTGCTAGATTGGGGAAGTTCTCCTGGATAATATCCTGCAGAGTGTTTTCCAACTTGGTTCCATTCTCCCTGTCACTTTCAGGTACACCAATCAGACGTAGATTTGGTCTTTTCACATAGTCCCATATTTCTTGGAGGCTTTGTTCATTTCTTTTTATTCTTTTTTCTATAAACTTCCTTTCTCACTTCATTTCATTCGTTTCATCTTCCATCACTGATACCCTTTCTTCCAGTTGATCGCATCGGCTCCTGAGGCTTCTACATTCTTCATGCAGTTCTCGAGCCTTGGCTTTCAGCTCCATCAGCTCCCTTAAGCACTTCTCTGTGTTGGTTATTCTAGTTACATATTCGTCTAAATTTTTTTCAAAGTTTTTAACTTCGTTGCCTTTGGTTTGAATTTCCTCCTGTAGCTCAGAGTAATTTGATTGTCTGAAGCCTTCTTCTCTCAACCCGTCAAAGTCATTCTTCGTCCAGCTTTGTTCCGTTGCTGGTGAGGAACTGCGTTCCTTTGGAGGATGAGAGGCGCTCTGCTTTTTAGAGTTTCCAGTTTTTCTGCTCTGTTTTTTTCCCCATCTTTGTGGTTTTATCTACTTTTGGTCTTTGATGATGGTGATGTACAGATGGATTTTTGGTGTGGATGTCTTTTCTGTTTGTTAGTTTTCCTTCTAACAGACAGGACCCTCAGCTGTAGGTCTAATGGAGTTTGCTAGAGGTCCACGCCAGACCCTGTTTGCCTGGGTATCAGCAGCGGTGGCTGCAGAACAGCGGATTTTTGTGAACCGCAAATGCTGCTGTCTGATCGTTCCTCTGGAAGTTTTGTCTCAGAGGAGTACCCGGTCATGTGAGATGTCAGTCTGCCCCTACTTGGGGGTGCCTCCCAGTTAGGCTGCTCGGGAGTCAGGGGTCAGGTACCCACTTGAGGAGGCAGTCTGCCCATTCTCAGATCTCTATCTATGTGCTGGGAGAACCACTGCTCTCTTCAAAGCTGTCAGACAGGGACATTTAAGGCTGCAGAGGTTACTGCTGTCTTTTTGTTTGTCTGTGCCCTGCCCCCAGAGGTGGAGCCTACAGAGGCAGGCAGGCCTCCTTGAGCTATGGTCAGCTCCACCCAGTTTGAGCTTCCCGCCTGCTTTGTTTACCTAAGCAAGCCTGGGCAATGGCGGACGCCCCTCCCCCAGCCTCGCTGCCGCCTTGCAGTTTGATCTCAGACTGCTGTGCTAGCGATCAGCGAGACTCTGTGGGCATAGGACCCTCCAAGCCATGTGCGGGATATAATCTCCTGGTGCACCGTTTTTTAAGCCTGTCAGAAAAGCGCAGTATTAGGGTGGGAGTGACCCAATTTTCCAGGTGCCATCTGTCACCCCTTTGACTCGGAAAGGGAACTTCCTGACCCCTTGCACTTGCCGAGTAAGGCAATGCCTCGCCCTGCTTTGGCTCGCGCACGGTGTGCTGCACCCACTGTCCTGCGCCCACTGTCTGGCACTCCCAAGTGAGATGAACCTGGTACCTCAGATGGAAATGCAGAAATCACCCGTCTTCTGTGTTGCTCATGCTGGGAGCTGTAGACCGGAGCTGTTCCTATTCAGCCATCTTGGCTCGAGCCAATATTTTAATCAAGATTTGTCTGATTTCAAAGTCCATGTTCAGGTTTACTATGAGTCATCTTAATAACTTATCTATCTGAAGCATCTTTTCCCCATGAAGCATGTGTGTAATGCCCTGAAGATGCCATTTATCCTTGTCCCACATATCATACCCAAGGTTCTTGTCTCCCTCATGCAGCTACAGTGCCCAACACTTTTGCTGCACCTGTCATAGGACTTTACTGCCTCCTTTTGTGGTCATCTCTTAAGACAGAGAGCTCAATATCTTCTCACCATCTCCTACGCTCTTTGGGGAAAACTTGTGATGAGGAAAATAATGCCGCAGAAGAAGCTTGTCTGTAGATGGTAATGTGATTCTAAAATCAGCAGGAAATTATTTCATTTCAGGCAGACAGGCTGATCTGAAGATCAAGGGAATGGGAGGGGAGGGGAGGGGAGGGGAGGGGAGGGCAGACCCAGTTACAAAACCAAGGTTCTTTTTAGAACAATCTTTTCTCAGTTGTAGTCTACACTTACTCTAGCCGGTCTCAATCATTTCCCTCCTGGCTATTACCTGTCAGTCCAGTCCTTCATCATTGACTCATCTCTCGGACCCTTTTTTCACCAAGGATGTTGATACTTTTCCTCCCCACCCTTCCTTTTCATAATTTTTCAATAACTCTAATTAATTTCTATATTTATGACACATTCAATGCTCCAGGTCCATTTTCTTGATCTACTTTACAGTAACAAACTTCACTTCTAACCCACTCACATAGCCGTCCACACCTCTAATGCCTTCAACCCTGAGATTTCTCTCTTGAACCCTCCTCTCTTCCCAGCTCTTCTACTCCCTCAATTTTAATAAGTTTGCTTTTTGCTTTTGTTGTGACCTTACCTATTGTCCAATTTATGTATTCTTAGTTTCAAGTATACTAGAGTCTCAGCATCATTTTCTGCTTATCACACCCCCTTTCAACAAGCAGGTATGACCTTATGCATTGATGCTATAAGTATGCTCCAGGTCACTTGATTGACAGCATAAATCAATCTGCTCCAACTTCTCCAAATTTCTGAGTTTGTCATTAATTTTTCACTTTTTTTTTTTTTTTTTTTTGCATTTCACTAGTCTCAGGGCTTGACTCACAACACTGAATTTATGGTTATTACCTTATTTTTTCTTTCTGGGTAATAGACTTAGTCTGTGCTATCTATAGACATCTGGATAAATATCTTTCCTGGAATTGTTCAATCCTGTATCTTATCCTTGCTACAGCATTTATAAGTTAAGATAGTACTAATTCTACCCACCCCCATATATAACATCTAGATAGATATCTACCCAGGCAGAATCCCAGGGCTCATGACGTCAAGTACATACCAACCTATTTCCTTCTTTCAGTTTTTGACTGCTTAGTGGAAAGTATACTCCATGAATCCATAAATCTGATTTGCATTATTAAATCCCTACTGATTTGCATTCTCTAATCCCATTCCAAAATTTCAAAATACTGTGAAAGAAAATTGCATAATTATGTTGGTTGGAAGCCATTAAAATTTTATATTTTCCAGGCTCAATGAGATAAGCAACTCTTTTAATCATTCTTACTCAGTTTCTAACACATTCCTTTCAGTGACAGTTAAAAAAATAAAGCAGACAAAAGACTTAATGGTTCTTCTCAAGCCCGTGATGCTCAAAAAAGAAATGATAACCTACTTTATATATAACCTACAATTTGTATATCTTGTAAGAAAACCCTCAATATCTATTATTTCCAACATGTTATTCCTTCATCATCTTTCTCTCTTCTGTATTAAGCTTCTTTGGCAGGGATGACAAAAATAAACTCTTCCCCCTTTGAAAAATTGAATTTATCAGAAGGGAATTTATCAGAAGGTCATGGTATCAACAAGAAGCCTAGAGACGTGGACTTGAAAATGTGTGGGAAGTGAGGAAGCCCCAGAGAGGATTAGAAAATAGTCTCTTTGATGACAAAAACAGCTTGGTATTGCAGGCCTGATTTCTTGGATGAATACAGCTATTTCTAGTCTCTTGTCATTCTGCTTTCTGGAAAGAGAGCATCTAAGTGACTTACATTATGTTACAGAAGTTGCTTCTCAGCTAAGTGGAAGCAGGGCCTCCAATTATCCATCAAGCTGTAACTGATGGAGAGGCAGTACTTCCCCAAAAGGTAATGAAGAAGGGCAAATTAATATTATGAAATCAAAACACAACAGAATTCCACCATACTTCCTGTCTCTGAGAAAGAATTGGTACTACTCTTTCTCAATTTTCACACCGGTTTCTTGGTTTATTCCTCGTAAGACTTTTTTTGTATAACCTTCCTCTGCAGTATACTCCTAATAGTGGATTTTCTTTTTATCAGGTTGAAAACCATAATATCTTTTCAGGTCTCCAAATTAGAAGCTTCAGAGTCATCGTCGACTCTCTAATCTATTTTCCATAGCTATTTCACTGATTTTAAAGTTTTGTCGATATTATGCAAAAAACGTCTCTTCAATTAAGCTCCTTTATCTTTGCCTCAGTTCAGGCTGTCCTGGACAATTGCAATAACATCCTAGATGATTTTCTTTCCCTCAAACTTTCCCAATCTAGAATTATTTTTCCAGTTGTCAAAATACCAAAAAGCAAACAATAATCTTATCATGTTATTTACTTGCTTGAAAAGACTGTATATGGGAAGTTGTGCATAGGTTATATACAAATACTACATCATTTTATATAAGGGATTTTAGCATCTATGGATTTTGGTATATGCAGGGCTGGGTCCTAGAACCAATCCCCCACAGATCCTGAGGGACTATTGCATATGTGCACTATATACTAACACACAAACACACACACACACACAAATACACACACACACACGTATGTGTCTATATACTATTCTTTTTCACTAGAGAACTCTGGCTAATGCATACTTCATTCATTTGGCAAATATTTATTGAACACTTTGTATGTACTAGGTTCTCTTACAGGCACTGGAAAAACCAGAAATAAGCAAATAGACAAAAATCCAAGCCCTCATAGAATTTATATTCTAGAAGGCAACACAGAAATTGAACATGAACAAAAAAGTATGATGTGGGAGATATAAAGCGTTATGGAGATAAATAAATCTTGGAAAAGGGGATAAGGAATGCTGGCGAGAGGTTGCAATGTAAAATTGGTGTTCAGGGAAGGTCTCACTAAGAAGACAGAATTTTGAGCAAAGACTTAAAAGAGGCAGGAAAGCTGGTGGCAATCTGGGTGGAAAGTGAGGCAAGAGTGTAGTTATCATGTTCAATATCAGTATGTCATTGAAGAACAAGTAAACTAGTGTGAAGGAACAGGGAGAAGAGAGGGAAAGAATGATAGGAGAGGGGAGCAAATTAAAAACAGGGGCCATGCCAGGCCCCTGTATAAGTGAACATACAAATATATATATATTTATTTATATATAAATCAAAAAATAAAAACAGGAGCCAGATTATACAGGACTTTGTAAGCCATTGACTCTGAATAAAGAATTTGGGCAGAGAACTGACAAGATCTGACTTATTTTTCTAAAGGTTCACTCTGGTTGCTGGGCTGAGCATAGACTTTGGGGGAACTCTTATTACACTATAGTTATTAGTTGTTGATTTATCTCTAGCATCTCTCCCTCTTCGAGCACAAATCCTGCATTTTGTTTATCTTAAAGTGTTTGTTACTTGCAGGTGTTTGGGAGACTTACTAAGTAATCTGCGTTTGTTGAATTAATTCCATTTCTTCATCAGGCATAAGAGAAATATATGTATTAAATGAAATCAGAAAAGATTACATTAAGTTTAATTCCACAGACAAGCAAAACTAAATTGATAAAGACGGTAGACTGTAGAAGGGGAAAAAGAGAAGAAAGTTAAATAAACTCAAATATAGTTAGGTAAAGAATATAGTTTTAAAATAAAAAATGAAATACAATATTGTTCCTAGGGTTCAAAAATGAATTAAGACCTAATAGAGTACAGAATTCTAGCATAATAACAGTATAAACTAAACAAATAAAATGATGCCAACTATATCGTAATGCAGTATGTCCCTACTAAAATTAAATATGCTGTAACTCTGAAAAATTGGCCATTTTTCATATGGCTGTGTCAAACAGCAGCATAGACAAATCACCAAATAAGTATTCCACAGTTAAATAAATGTGTATCCCGAATCTAACTCAAATTATGTGCTTGGGTCTTGTATGTTACTTCCAAATACAACCTGCGACTTCATTGATTTTTCAGACAATTCACAGGTTTCACTGAACTTATTCTTTTGCACCAATTTTCTGGCATTTGAAAGGCTGTATTCATAAGTTTAGCTAGAAAATATTTATAAGCCCTATGGTGCCAGGCACTGGCAAATGTCCTCCCCTGGACATGTACTGAAGGGAACAAGCCACACAACTCCTTTCCCTCCCACATAATCCCTATGATTCACTGGAATTGGATGACCTTCCTGGGAACTCTTTACTGTGGCCTCTGTGGGTGCCAAAAGCCCAAGAAAGCTTGCTGAGTTGTTCTCATTCAAATACTGCGCTTGCTGGGTTCTTATTCAGGCCTCTTTAGACACACTTCCTTCTTGCTCAGCAAAACTGCTAATTGGCACAGAAAATATCCTAGCTTTGTCCATTTTCTATAGAAGTTGAAAATGCTTCTACCTGACTGTGCTGACAGAATTATATTTTCAATGGTATGAATACTCCAGACATTTCAATGACAACTTTGGGAACAAAATAATACATATAATAGAGTTGGTTGGTCTTAAACAGCCTCATGCCTCAGTATAAGTGACCAGAAGCAAAAATCCTCCAAAATTAGGGGCTAAGACATGAGCGTTTGGGATATAATCATTTACATTTGACAAAGGCTGCACATAGTGCCTTTCTGTTTCTGTGATTTTTACCTTAATTGGTTCATTTTCACTATTATACATTTAATCTGTTTGTCACTAGTAATAAATAAGCAGGGCTGTTGTGATTGGTTGCCAATAATTATTTTTCCATCAGCTCAAGAAAGCATGTTGCAATGCCAGGAGTAAAGAAAATTCTCCTTGTATTTGTCATTGGCCAGGTGCCCAAGTCTCATATATGTCTTGGTGAGGGTGCTGTGGGGAGACCCTTTAATTCATATTTTTCGGTCCTGCCTCCTTCTCACGGACTTGTGTAGAGGGAAAAAAGAGCTATAATTACTTGTAAGAGCACTTGGATCAGGTGACAAAATTATTGAAAACCTTTTAAGCCATGATTAGCCATTTGAATGTTTACTTATGTCCACTTCCAAGAACTACCTTAAATTATTTGCATATGTTTGTATGTATGCAACTTGTTTGAATTTATGGAGATGTATAAAGGTTTTGTTGAGTCTTCAGAAGACAGAGGATAATGATGCTCTTTAGCTGTGATATTTTATGCTCGTCAGATATATTGATACATACTGCATTCAGAAATATCAGGAGATTATTAATATTTTGCCTTGTATTTCTAATTGCATATTGTTAGGTTTTGGGCTATTCACTGACAAGATTGTAATTCATGACATCATTGTCCTTGTGTTTAAAAGATCATGCCAACACAATGACTAACCAGGTAGATGGTTATATACGGAAAAATCCAGTCATTGGTATTCATTTCTGTACTCCATGTAAAAGAAGTTCATTTATGCTGTCCTGTTTTCAGTGCTAGAAGTTATTTGATTCCATGAAATTCTATGTGCTCACAATATGCCCGGAACTGTGGTATAAATACTTGAATGGACAAAAAAGAAGTCTCCCAGAGAACTTTTGTTTAGATCCTGTTTGAATTGTGATTCCTAATTCTTGCCAAGTTGTTTGTTGAAATTAACTTTTAAAGAACAGTTTCAAAGGGTAATAGTTTATTCTCTCCCCAACTTCCCCCAAATTAAAGAACCATTAATTTGTGAAGCAAAATTAAAAACAATTTTCAATAACACAGTGAGTCAAATGGATGGGTGCTTGAGTAGGAAAAAAGTGCCAGATAAAATAGAATTGACAGTTCTAGAAATAAACCCAAAATACACATGGGAATTTAGTGTGTGGCAGATCCATTATTTCAAGTCAGTGGGGAAAGATCAATTAGTTGACAGGCATTGTTGAGACAGCTGGCTAGTCACTTGGATGAAGAGGAAGCTGGATCTGTATTTTAGAACCCAAATAAATTCCTGGTAAAGCAATGATTTAAAATAATAATAACAGTAATAATAATAATGCTAAAAGGAACCATAAAATTAGAAAAAATATTATTATAAAATGAGCAAGGTCTTTTTAAAAAATACATTACCTATAGGATATAGAAAAAAGAAATGGCACAGTTGACTACAAAACTATTTTAAAATTCCATACAGAAAAATTATACAAAATACAGCAGAAAAATGTCCATATAGCAAAAATTACCAGAAAAATGTCAAAAGAAAAATCAGAAAATATTTGGTGAACATATAATAAGCAAAAGCAATAATTTTCTAGACATACAAAAACTTTCATAGACCTGTAAAAACATACCAGCTGAAAGAAAAATTGGCAAAAATGTAAAACAAAGAGTTCACAGAAAAAGAAACATAAATAGTTAATAACCACTGATTTTACAAATATACCCTGAAAACCTACATATCCCAGGATTATTGAAGGTGCTTAGCATATATCAGAGAAAAAAACAGATAGAAATTTCTGTGCTTCAATACATTCTATTATAGGGGTGATGGTGGAGAAGACAATAAATAATGTACCTAATAAGTAACTAATTATACAATATGTTAGAACCGTGGTTCCCAAACTGTGTGCCAAAGCACCCTGGGATGTTACAACAAAATTATAGGTTCACTGCAGTTTATTTACATTTTTAAGGGAAACATAGTGCTATGGTCTAAATGTTGGTGTCATCCCAAAACGTATTTTGGAATTTAATCTGCAATGTGATAGTATTAACAGGTGCAGCCTTTTGGGAAGTGATAAAGTCATAAGTGTCCTGCCCTTAAGAATGGGATTAGTACCCTTATAAAAGCAGGTGAAGGGAGTGTGTTTGTCCTCTTCCCCATTTCTTTCTGCCATGTGAGGACAGAGCAAGAAGACATTGTCTACAGCAATGGGCCTTTAACAGACACCAAATCTGCTGGCATGTTGATCTTGGACTTCCCACCCACTAGAACAATAAGCAATAGATTTATTTTGTTTACAAGCTACTCAGTCTAAGGTATTTTGTTATAGCAGCAGGGACATACTAAGTCACACAGCAGTATCTGTCAGACAATACACAAATTACTAGCTGAGAAATCTTACATTTTCAACATTAGAGTATACTAAATTTCTTTTAGTGACATCATATCTTTTCAAAGCCAGCTTTTTGGTGGTTGTGACAACAAGCAAGTAACTGCATAAAAAGCAATGTGCATTGGGAGAAGAGGGCAGTGTTGTCCATTATGACTCCAAGCATTGACAAGCCATTTAGGGTTCAATAGGCATACACATCCCATTAATGAGTAATTGTTGTTATTTTCAAACAGCATATACATATCATTTTCTTTCAATTTATGTATATTATTTTTTTCAAATGACTATTAATTTGTTAGTACATAAATACTTATTGTTTGAACCTATTTAATAAATGAAATTATTAGATGTTTCTTTTGGCCAAAGGTGCTGTGAAAAATTATTGAAGGCATCATGAATTGATAAAGGGCATCATGAATTGATAAACTGGGGACCTCTGTGTTAGAGGGTGATAAATGCCACCAAAAAAAGAGTGGAACACATTAAATTGGTCTGCAAATGCTGAGGGTAAGAATAGGGTGGGTGGCTATTTTAAATAGGGTGTATAGGTTGTGTTTCACTGAGAAAGAGACATTTAAGCAAAGCCTGGAAGAAAGCGAGAATGTTCCAAGCAGAGGGCACAGCCAGTGTAAGAGCCCAAAGATGACAGTGGGCTTCAAACATCCAAGGAGGCCAGTGTCACTGGAACATAGTTGATATGGTTTGGCTCTGTGTCCCCACCCAATTCTCACCTCAAATTGTAATTCCCATAATCCCCACATGTCAAGGGTGAGACCAGGTGGCAATAATTGGATCACGGGGGCAGTTCCCCCATGTTGTTCTCATGATAGTGAGTGAGTTCTCACTAGATCTGATGGTTTTATGAGCATCTGGCATTTCCCCTGCTTGCACTCACTCCATCCTGCTGCCCTATGCAGAAGGTACCTGCTTCTCCTTTGCCTTTGCCATGATTGCAAGTTTTCCTGAGGCCCTCTAAGCAATAAGGAACTGTGAGTCCATTAAATCTCTTTCCTTTATAAATTACCCAGTCTCAAGTATTTCTTTATAGCACTGTGAGAACGGAATAATACAATAGTGATTCAAAAGGAAAGTGAGAGGAAGTAAAGTCAAGCAGGGGCCAGGGGGGCAAGTCACACATAGGCGAGTAAATAACTTTGGTTTTTGCTCTGGGAGACATACAGAATCATGGCATTTAAAAATAAGCTTTTATGAGGCTAGCATCACCCCAATACCAAAACCTGGCAGAGACACAACAAAAAAAGAAACTTTCAGGCTGATATCCCTGATGAATATTGATGCAAAAACCCTCAATAAAATACTGGCAAACTGAATCCAACAGCACATCAAAAAGCTTATCCACCATGATCAAGTTGGCTTCATCCCTGGGATGGAAGGCTGGTTTAACATACAATAATCAATAAACATAATCCATCACATAAACAGAACCAATGACAAAAATCACATGATTATGTCAATAGATGTAGAAAAGACCTTCAATAAAATTTAACATCCCTTCTTGCTAAAAACGCTCAATAAACTAGGTATTGATGGAACGTATCTCAAAATAGTAAGAGCTATTTATGACAAACCCACAGCCAATATCATACTGAATGGGCAAAAGCTGGAAGCATTCCCTTTGAAAACTGGCACAAGACAAGGATGTCCTCTCTCACCACTACTATTCAACATAGCATTGGAAGTTCTGGCCAGAGCAATCAGGCAAGAGTAAGAAATAAAGGGTATTCAAACAGGAAGAGAGGAAGTCAAATTGTCTCTGTTTGCAGATGACATGATTGTATATTTAGAAAACCCCATCGTCTCAGCCCATAATCTTAAGCTGATAGCCACTTCTGCAAAGTCTCAGGATACAAAATCAATGTGCAAAAATCACAAGCATTCCTACACACCAATAACAGAGAGCCAAATCATGAGTGAACTCCCATTCACAATTGCTACAAAGATAATAAAATACCTAGGAATACAACTTACAAGAAATGTGAAGGATCTCTTCAAGGAGAACCACAAACCACTGCTCAAGGAAATAGGAGAGGACACAAACAAATGGAAAAACATTCCATGCTCATGGATAGGAAGAATCAATATCATAAAAATGGCCATACTGCTGAAAGTAATTTATAGATTCAATGTTATCCCCATTAAGCTACCATTGACTTTCTTCACAGAATTAGAAAAAACTACTTTAAATTTCATATAAAACCAAAAAAGAGCCCATATAGCCAAGACAATTTTAAGCAAAAAGAACAAAGCTGGAAGTATCATGCTACCTGACTTCAAACTATACTACAAGGCTACAGTAACCAAAACAGCATGGTACTGGTACCAAAACAGATATGCAGACCAATGGAACAGAACAGAGGCCCCAGAAATAATGCCACACATCTACAACCATCTGATATTTGAAAAACCTGACAAAAACAAGCAATGGGGAAAGGATTCCCTATTTAATAAATGGTGTTGGGAAAACTGGCTAGCCATAGGCAAAAAACTGAAACAGGACTGCTTCCCTATACGTTATACAAAAATTAACTCAAGATGGATTAAACGCAAGACCTAAAACCATAAAAACCCTAGAAGAAAACCTAGGCAATACCATTCAGGACATAGGCATGGACAAAGACTTCATGACTAAAATGCCAAAGCAATTGCAACAAAAGCCAAAATTGACAAATGGGATTTAATTAAACTAAAGAGCTCCTGCACAGCAAAAGAAACTGTCATCAGAGTGAACAGGCAACCTACAGAATGGGAGAAAATTTTTGCAATCTATCCATCTGACAAAGAGCTAATATTCAGAATCTACAAAGAACTTAAACAAATTTACAAGAAAAAAAAAAACCAAACAACCCCATCAAAAAGTGGGCGAAGGATATGAGCAGACACTTCTCAAAAGAAGACATTTATGCAGCCAACAGACATAAGAAAAAATGCCCATCATCACTGGTCATTAGAGAAATGCAAATCAAAACCACAATGAGATACCATCTCCTGCCAGTTAGAATAGCAATCATTAAAAAGTCAGGAAACAACAGATGATGGAGAGGATGTGGAGAAATAGGAATGCTTTTACACTGTTGATGGGAGTGTGAATTAGTTCAGTCATTGTGGGAGATAGTGTGGTGATTCCTCAAGGATCTAGAACCAGAAATACCATTTGACCCAGTGATCCCATTACTGGGTACATACCCAAAGGATTATAAATCATTCTACTATAAAGACACATGCACATGTATGTTTATTGCAGCACTGTTCACAATAGCAAAGACTTGGAACCAACCCAAATGCCCATCAACAATAGACTGGATAAAGAAAATGTGTCACATATACACCATGGAATACTATGCAGCCATAAAAAGGATCAGTTCATGTTCTTTGCAGGGACATGGATGAAGCTGGAAACCATCCTTCTTAGCAAACTAACACAGGAACGGGAGACCAAACAATGCATGTTCTTAGTCATAAGTGGGAGTTGAACAATGAGAACACATGGATACAGGGAGGGGAACATCACACACTGGGGCCTGTCTGGGGATGGGGGGCCAGGGGAGGGAAGGCATTAGGAGAAATACCTAATGTAGATGATGAGTTGATGGGTGCAGCAAACCCACCATGGCACGTGTATACCTATGTAACAAACCTGTACGTTCTGCACATGTATCCCAGAACTTAAAGTATATTAAAAAAAGATAACTTAAAAAAATAAGCTTTTTAATATACATAAATTCCAAAATAAATATTTTAGTTTAGTCTAAAAACACACTTATATTTGAATTTTCTCATATTTCAATAAACTCTACACCATGTAGAGTTGAAATACATAAAATTCCAACTACTATTATGTATGTTTCCAAATTCATATATATTTTAAAATAAATAAATGTAGCTATTATCTCAGAAAACAGCTTTCTACCTTAGAAGTGGATCATTTAATGACATCATTGCTTAAGATATAAAGTGGTCATACAGAATATAACAGGCTACAAACAAACGATTTGCTTGCCATTCCATTTTCACCTACAGAAAAAACCCTTCAGGTAATTTAGCAAAGTAGTGCTCCATCTTAAATTTAAAAACAATTGTGTGTATAGAATAGAGGGAGATAATATTATTTTACAATAGTTTTTCACCATCAAACATCTAAAGAATTATAAATAGTGAGCAAATTATTTTTAAACAGTAATCTTTAAGGTTACATTTTCTGAAAACTTTTGGAGGAATGTTATGCTAACACATTTTAAAATATTTTAAATGTCAAATATTCTATATTATATAAATATTCTCAATTACATACATGATCTCCTTTTTCCTGAGATTAAAATTTGATAGTCTTTGTGACCCCACATAAATACTATAACTTGAGTTCATTTCAGAATGAGAACTAGGCAAATTAGTATAGAGACAAATTAGTATTAATTATAGACAAATTAGTATTAAAGTTACTGTTTATATCCTGAAAAGAGCAATATACCATCAGATACACTTAAGTCACAGCACAAGTATTATTTGTGTAAATATTATTTTGTTGAATAATTTTTAATGTAGTAAACAATACTGGTAACTGAACATTTTTCAATTAATAGAAGTAGAGGAGCTGAGTGGAGCAAGATGGCCAAATAAAAACCTTCACCAATCACCTGCCCTGTAGGAACACCAAATTTGACAAGTATCTACACAAAAAGCACCTTCATAAGAAACAAAAATCAAGTGAGCAATCACAGTACCTGGTTTTAACTTCATATCTTTGAAAGACATACTAAAGAGGGTAGGAAAGACAGTCTTCAGTTGTTGACACCATCCTTCCCCCATTTGCTGGTAGCACCCACATGGCATAGAGAGAGAATCTAAGCGCTTGGGGAAAGGAAAATTCAGTGCCTATGGGACTGTGCATTGAATTCAGAGTTGCCTTGTCAGAGCAGAAAGCAAAACTAACCTGGCTGAACTCAGCAGATACCTGCCCACAGAAGGACCATTTAGACTAGCTCTAGCTAGAGGGGAATAACCCATCCCCGTGGTCAGAACTTGAGTTCCAGCAAGCCTCGCAACCACGGGCTAAAGTGATCTGGGGTCCGAAATAAAATTGAAAAGCTATCTGAGCCACAGGGACTGCAATTCTTTTTTTTTTTTTTTTTTTTTTTTTTTGACGGAGTCTCGCTCTGTTGCCCAGGCTGCAGTGCAGTGGTGTGGTCTTGGCTCACTGCAAGCTCCACTTCCTGGGTTCACGCCATTCTCCTGCCTCAGCCTCCTGAGTAGCTGGGACTACAGGCACCTGCCACCACACCCGGCTAATTTTTTGTATTTTTAGTAGAGACGGGGTTTCACCATGTTAGCAAGGATGGTCTCGATCTCCTGACCTCGTGATCCGCCCGCCTCGGTCCCCGAAAGTGCTGGGATTACAGGTGTGAGCCACTGCGCCCGGCCAGGGACTGCAATTCTTAGGCAAGTCCTTGTGCTGTGCTGGGCTCCAAGCCAGTGGACATAGGGGACACATGACCTAGTGAGACATCTGCTGGGGTGGCTAAGGGAATGTTTGTGCCACCCCTCCCTCAACCCCAGGCAGTACAACTCACAGCAACAAAAGTAATTCCTTTCTTCTGCTTGAGGAGAGGAGAAAGAAGAGTAAAGAGGATTTTGTCTTGCATCTTGTACCCACAGTAAGACAGGGCTACATCATCAGGCCCCCATTCCAGACTGTAGCTCTTGGACGAGGTTTCCAGACACACCTTAGGCCATATGGGAACCCACTGTCTTGAAGGAAAGAACCTATTCCTGGCAGGTTTCATTACCTGCTGACTAAAGAGGCCTCGAGCCCTGAATAACCAGTGGTGATACCCAGGTAGCATGCTGTGGGCCTTGGGTACGACTCTGAGATATGCTGGCTTCAGGTGAGATCCAGCATGTTTGCTGGGGTGGTGGCTGTGGTGAGAGACTCCTTATGCTTGAGAATAGCAGAGGGAAAAGAAAAAGGGACTTTGTCTTGCACCTTAGGTACGAGCTTGGTCACAGTGGGGTAGAGCACCAAGTAGGCTCTTGGGGATCCACTTTCAAGCCTTGGCTTTTGGATGGCATTTCTAGACCCACTCTGGGCCATAGGGGACCCCATGACCCTGAAAGGTGAGTCTCAGGCCTGGCAGCATTCACCACAAGCTGACTGAGGAGCCCTTGGGACTTAAATGAACACTGACAGTAGCCTGGCAGTACTTCCCTTGGGCCTTTGGTGGTGGTGGTCATGGGAAGAGGCTCCTCTGTCTGTGGAAAAGGGAGGAAAAAGTGGGAAGGACTCTGCCTTGTGATTTAAGCGCCAACTTAGCTTCAGTAGTACAGAGCAGCAAGTAGATTTCTAAGGTTTTTGATTCTAGTCCCTGGCTCCTGAACAACATCTCTGGATCGACCTGGGGCCTCAGAAAACTCACTGCCCTGAAGGAAAAGACACAAGCCTGGCTGGTTTCACTACCTGCAGATTGTAGATTCCTAGCACCTTGAACAAACATAGGCAGTAGCCAGATAGTGGTTATAGTGGACCTTGAACAAGACCTAGTGTTTTGCTGGATTCAGGTATGACCCAGTACAGTCTCAGTGGTGGTGACCACTGAATTGCCTGTGTCATCCCACCCACAGCTCCAGGTGGCTCAGCACAGAGAGAGAGGGAGACAGAGAGAGAGAGAGACTACATTTGTTTTGGAGAAAGTGAAGAGAGTGAGAGTTTCTGCCTGGTAGTTCAGATAATTCTTCCAGATTTTATCCAAGACCACAAAGGCAATACCTTTACAATGCTGTAAGCACAACAGCATTACTGGGCTTGGGGTAATTAGGAGTGCTCCCTAATGCAGATATATCTTCGATCACAACACCCAAGTTCCTTCAAATACCTGGAAAGCCTTCCCAAGAGAGACAGGTACAAAGAAGCCCAGACTGTGAAGACTACAAGAAATACCTGACTCTTCAATCCAGAGACACCAACATATATCCACAAGTATCAAGACTATCCAGGAAAACATGTCCTCACCAAATGAACTAAGCAGGGCACCAGGGATCAATCCTGGAGAAACACAGATACGTGACCTTTTAGACAAGAATGCAAAATAGCTGTTTTGAGGAAACCTAAAGAAATTCAAGATAACACAGAGAAGGAATTTAGTAATCTGTCAGATAAATTTAACAGAGATTTAAATAATCAGAAAGAATCAAGTAGAAATTCTGGAGCTGAAAAATGCAATTGACGTGTTTAAGAATGCATCAAAGTTTCCTAATAGCAGAATTGATCAATCAGAAGGAAGAATTAGTGAGCTGGAAGACAGGCTATTTGAAAATACACAGTCAGAGGAGACAAAATAAAAAACAATGAGAGAGAAAGAGAGAGAGAGGTAGAAAGTTTCTTGAAAGAGACAATAACAAAGAACTTCCCAAACATAGAGAAAGATATTAATATCCAAGTATGAGAAGGGTATTGAATATCAAGAAGATTTAACCCAAAGAAGACTTCCTCAAGGCATTTAACAATCAAACTCTCAAAGGTCAAGGATAAAGAAAGGATCCTAAAAGCAGCAAGAGAAAAGAAACAAATAACAAACAACGGAGCTCCAATCTGTCTGGCAGCAGACATTTTAGTGGAAACCTTACAGGCCAGGAGAGAGTGGCAAGACATATTTAAAGTGCTGAAAGAAAAAAAAAACTTTTACCCTAGAATAGTCGTTCAGGAAAAATATCCTTCAAATATGAAAAAGAAATAAAGACTTTCCCAGACAAACAAAAACTGAGGAATTTCATCAACACCAGATCTGCCTTATAAGAAATGCTGAAGAGAATTCTTCAGTCTGAAAGAAAAGGAAGTTAATAAGCAGAAAGAAATCATCTGAAGGTATAAAACTCACTGGTAATAGTAATTACACAGACAAACACAGAATATTACAACACTGTAATTGTGGTGTATAAAATACTCATATCCTAAGTAGAAAGACACAAAGATGAACCAATCAAAAATAATAACTACAACTTTTCAAGAAATAAACAGCACAATAAGATATAAATAGAGACAACAAAAATTAAAAAGCTCGGAGACCAAGTTAAAGTGTAGATTTTCATTAGTTTTTTTCTTGCTTGTTTGTTTATGAGATCAGTATTAAATTGTCATCAATTTAAAATAATGGGTTGTAAGATATTATTCGCAAGCATCATGATAACATCAAATCTAAAAACATACAATGGATACCCAAAAAATAAAAGGGAAGAAATTAAATTATACCAACAGAGAAAATCACCTTCAACAAAAGGAAGACAGAAAGGAAGTAAAGAAGTAAGAGAAGATCAGAAAACAACAAAATGACAGGAGTAAGTTCTTACTTATCAATAATAACATAGAGTGTAAATGAACTAAATTCTCCAATAATAAAAAATAGAGTGACTGAATAGATTTTAAAAAAATAGAGTGGCTGAATGGATAAAAAAGAAAACAGACCAAATGATCTGTTTCCTACAATAAACACACTCTACCTATAAAGATACATATTGACTGAAATTAAAGGGATGTAAGTAGATATTCCATGCCAATGGAAATGGATAAAGGGCAGAAGTAGCTATACTTATATCAGACAAAATGGATTTCAAGACAACAATGGTAAGAAAAGACAAAGAAGGTCATTATAGAATAATAAGGGGGTCAACTCAGCAAGAGGATATGACAGTTGTAAATACATATGCACCCAACACTGGAGCACCCAGATATATAAAGCAAATATTATAAGAGCTAAAGAGAGAGATAGGCCCCAATGCAATAATAGCTGGAGATTTCAACACCCCTCTTTCAGCATTGGATAGATCTCTGAGACAGAAAATCAAGAACACAATGTTGGACTTAATCTGCACTATAGAACAAGTAAACCTAATAGATACTTACAGAAAATTTTATCCAATGGCTGCAGAATACACATTTTTCTTAGCACACAGATCATTCTCAAAAATACACCATATGTTAGGTCACAAAACAAGTCTTAAAAGATTTAAAAAATTGAAATAATATCAAGCATCTTCTATGACCATGCTGGAATAAAACTACAAATCAATAACAAGAGGAATTTTGGACACTATACAAGCACATGGAAATTAAACAATGTGCTCCTGAATGACCAGTGGGTCAATGAAGAAATTAAGAAGGAAATAAAAAAAATTTCTTGAAACAAATGATAACAGGAACACAACATACCAAAACCTATGGGATACAGCAAAAGCAGTAGTAAGGGGGAAGTTTATAGCTATAAGTGCTTACATCAAAAAGGAAGAAAAACTTCAAATAAATAATCTAAAAATGCATTTTTAAAGAATTGGAAAAGAAGAGCAAACCAAACCCAAAATAAGTAGAAGAAAAGAAATAATAAAAGTCGGAGCAGAAATAAATGAAATTGAAATGACAAAAACAATACAAAAGATCATCGAAATGAAAAGTGGGGTTTTTTTTGAAAAGATAAACAAAATTGACAAACCTTTAGCCAGATTAAAAAAAAGAGAAGACCTAAATAAATAAAATCATAGATGAAAAAGGAGACATTACTGATACCACAGAAATTCAAAGGATCATTAATGACGACTGTGAGCAACTATATGCCCCAAATTGACAAATCTAGAATAAATGGGTAAATTTCTAGACACAACCTACTAAGATTGAACCATAAAGAAATCCAAAACCTGAACAGACCAATAAAATGTAACAAGATTTAAGCTGTAAAAAAAAAACCTCCCAGCAAGAGAAACCTGGGACCTGATGGCTTCACTGCTGAATTCTACCAAACATTTAAAGAAAAGCTAATACCAATCCTACTCAAACTATTTTGAAAAATAGAAGAGGAGGAAATAATTCAAAACTCATTCTACAAGGCTGGTATCACCCTTATACCAAAACCAGACAAAGGCACACACGCAAAAAGAAAACTACAGACCAATATCCCTAATGAATGATAACGCAAAAATCCTCAACAAAATCTTGCAAACTGAATTTATCAACACATTAAAAAGATCATTCATCATGACCAAGTAGGATTTACCCCAGGGATGCAAGGATGGTTCAAGGTTCAACATACACAAATCAATCAGTGTGATACATCATATCAACATACACAAATCAATCAGTGTGATACATCATATCATATCAGAATGAAGGATAAAAACCATATGATCATTTCAACTGATGCTGGAAGATGCATTTGCTAAAAGTCAACTTCTTTTCATAATAAAATCCTCAAAAAACTGGCTTTAAAAGGAACATGCTTCAACATAAGAGAAGCCATACATGACAGACCCACAGTTAGTATTATACTAAATGATGAAAAACTGAAAGCATTTCTTCTAACATATAGAACACGACAAGGATGCCTACTGTCACCACTGTTACTCAACAGTACTGGAAGTCCTAGCTTGAGCAATCAGAGAAGAGATGGATATAAAGGGCATCAAAATTGGAAAGGAATAAGTAAAATTATCCTTGTTTGCTGATGATATGATCTCATATTTGGAAAATCCTAAGGACTCCACAAGATAACCATTAGAACTAATAAACAAAGTCAATAAAGTTTCAGGATACAAAATCAACATCCAAAAATCAGTGGCATTTCTATAGGCCAACAGTGAACAATCTAAAAAAGAAATTAAGAAAGTAATCCTATTTACAATAGATAAAAATAAAATACAAATCTTAGGAATTAACTAAAGAAGTGAAAGATCTCTACAATAAAAACTATAAAAACATTGATGAAAGAAATTGAAGAAGACACACAAAAATAATGGAAAGATATTTCATATTATGTATTGGAAGAATTGTTATTGTTAAAATGTTCATGCTACCTGAAGCAAGCTACAGAGTCAATGCAATCCCTATGAAAATACCAATGACATTCTCCACAGAAGTAGAAAAAAGAATCCTAAAACTTATAGGGATCCACAAAAGACCCAGAATTGCCAAACCTGTCATGAACACAAAGAACAAAACTGGAGTAATCACATTACCTGACTTCAAATTAAACTACAGAGCTATAGTAGCCAAAACAACATGATAATGGCATAGAAACAGACACATAGACCAATGGAACAGAATACAGGACCAAGAAGCAAATCCATACATCTATAGTAAACTCATTTTCAACAAAGCAAGAACATACATTGAGGGAAGGACAGTGTCTCTAAAGCTGCTGGGAAAATGATATCTATATGCAGAACAATGAAACTAGATCCCTATCTCTCATAATATACAAAAATCAAATCAAAATGGATTAAAGACAAATCTAATACCTCAAACTATGAAACTGCTTGAAGAAAATATTGGAGAAACCTTCCAGGATATTGGAGTGCGTAAAGATTTCTTGAGTAATACCCCTTAAGCACAGGAAACCAAAGCAAAAATGAACAAGTGGGATCACGTCAAGTTAAAAAACTTCTGCACAGGAAAAGAAACAGACAATCAACGAAGTGAAGAGACAATCCACAGAATGGGAGAAAATATTTGCAAACTACTTTTCTGACAAGGGATTAAAAAACAGAATATATAAGGTACTCAACAACTCAATAGGAAAATATTTAATAATTTGATTTAAAACTGGGCAAAAGATATGAATGGACATTTCTCGAATGAGGACATAGAAATGGCAAACAGGCATATGAAAAGGTGCTCAATATCATTGATCATCAGAGAAATGCAAATCAAAACTACAGTGAGATATCTATCATCTCCTCCCAGTTAAAATGGCTTGTATCTAAAAGACAGGCAATAACAAATGCTGGTGAGGTTGCAGGGAAAAGGGAACCCTCGTACACTGTTGGTGGGAATGTAAATTAATAAAATATATGATCTAGAAATCACACTGCTAGGTATGTACCCAAAAGAAAGCAAGTCAGTATATTGAAGAGATATCTGTACTCCCATGTTTATTGCAGCACTATTTGCAATAGCCAAGATTTAATAATCCATTTTAGTGGATCCAGTTTTTTGGGGGACTCAAAACTGATACATTTGGTGGATTCTTTAAGAAAAATAATATAGATATTATGAATATAGAAGTAGGTAGGAAAATAAATATTTTAAGAATGAAAGGATATAACAAAAACTGTGTTATAAGAAGTTGACAAATACAAACATTATGATAATTTTAAAAATAGTATCTTGATTAGTTAACTGCCATACATATACCTATAACAATTATTTTCCCTTTTGTGGTTACATACGTTTTTATCACTTCTTCATATGGAAATATGGGAATATGTTTTATAGAAATAATTTAGTATTCCTACCACTATCACACTACCATGATTGATATGATTGATCAATTTTATTTACTTATTTTTTTACTATTGGTAATGTAGAAGTTTTCTTTCATCTTTACAGCTCATTTTGGCAATATCATGTAAATTTTTAGAATTGTCAAATTTGGTAAAAACTCTGTAAAGTTTTTTTCTTATACATGAGCTCTGTAAGATTTGAGGACATTTTACATTTTTCTTTTGGTGTGATTAATTTTTAATGTTTTAGAAATTGATGACATTCATTAACCAGTTTATATCTGATACCCTTGTTGTGAAGATGTATTATGTTTTAAGTTATTTTCATCAATATAGTATTTTGTATTAAATCAGCAAAAAATTAAAATCATTTGCCATTGTGTTCTAGTGACCCACTTTCTTTATTAATTTGATTGTAAAGCAGTCTAAGGGCCTATTTATAACTCCTATTGGAAAGTTATATTTTCCTGTTAACACATTACTGCTTTTGATGTGATACTGTTTTGTTACAGTTTGCATCTCAAAATTAGAATAATTTAAATTTATTTTCTAAATTATTTATATTGATTTTTGTTTCATATCAGTTTATTTTGTATTTAAACATTCTCTCAGTTCTTTAACAAAATAAATACAAAGATGTCAGAAAGAGATCCTTTATATTCATTTTATATGTTTGAATCAGGAGCCCATAATTTCATATTTGTTTTTATAAAACTTTTAAAGCATCTTTTAAAATCGGAGTTAAATGTACATGAATTCCACTAACTTTTTCCTTCTCATGTGTTGGAGCTTTTTAAGTCTTTAAAAATATAGTTCTAGCCTAGGTGACAATGAAACCCGGTCTCTAAAAACATAAGAAATAAAGATAAAAATATATTTTAGAAGTAATTAAAATATTGTTAATTATGTTGCAAGGTCTTATAATAAGAGAGCATTTCACTACACAAAAACTCTTAAAAATCCAAGTTTGCATGTATTTAAAATACTCCGTCAAAAAGAGAAACTTGAAAAGAAAATATGATATGTGCAAAATATCAAAGTAATCAACTTCAGGTACTGTGGAGACTGCTTTTTCTCTGTGATATTAGGGAATAAATCAATCAAGATACATACTCTGTTCTTACATTTTAAAAAAATGCTTGCAGCTGGTCTGTGACAAACAGGAGAATGAAAAGACAAACCATAGACTGGAATAAAATATGTGCAAAACACATACCTAACTTGTATAAAAATATACAAAGAACTCTTAAAACCCAACAATAAGTAAAAGAACAACCCAATTTAAAAATGGACAAAAGATTTGGACAGAAATCTCATCAAACAAGATACACAGATGGCAAATAAGCATATGAAAAGATGCTCAACATCATTTGTCATTAGGGACTTGCAAATTGAAACAATAATGATATAACATTACCCTCCTATTAGAATGGCTAAAATCCAAAAAACTGACAATAGCAATTGCTAGCCAAGATGAAGGACAGCAGGAACTCTCACTTATAGCTGCTGGAAATGCAAAATAGTAAAGTCACTTGGGAAAACAGGTTTGCAATTTCTTATAAATCTAAACATAGTCTTACCATATAATCTGGCAATGGTGCTCCTAGTTAGTTATCAAAATGAATTGAAAACATGTTCACACAAAAGGTTGCACACTAATGTTTACAGTAGCTTTATTAATAATCATCAAAAAGTGAAAGCAACCAAGATGTCTTTTCTTTTAGGTGAATCGATAAACAAACTGTGATACATCCTTACAATGAAACATTATTCATTGACAAAAAGAAATGAGCTATAAAGGCACAAACTACATATATGAATCTTAAATGCATGTTGTTAAATGACAGAAGCCAGCCTGAAAATGTTCATACTGTAGGATTTTAATTATATGACATTCTGTAAAAGGTAAAAGACGTTAAAACACCAGTGGTTCATGGAAGTTCAGGGAGAGGGAAGAATCACTGAATACATGAAGAATGAGGGATTTTTTTAAAGGGTATTTAAATAATTATGTATGATAATATAATGGTGGATACATGACATTATGCATTTGTCAAAATATGTATGTGAGGTCACTTGTTTTATGCTTCCAGTGTACTTTCAGGAGCATAAAACATGTGACCTGATGTACATATTTTTTAGCTTTGTAACTAAAACAGTTTTGTTAAATTCTATTGTGTTTCTTCATTATTAACAACCAAAAAAAGGTTTTTTATGGTTTGTTTATAACTGTATAGTCTACATTACTATTTTCCTGACAGGAGAAAATTTCTGTTTTTGTGAAGCACTAATAAAAGCTGAATTTCTACTTAGAATTTCACCCATCAGGGGACTGTTATGATTGTGAGAATTTTCCACAATGGGCTGCCGGGTCCATTCATTTCAAACCTTGTTTCTCCTCCATTACACACATACTTTTGATGCCAGGTCTATAGGACATGTTCACATCATGATACAGCCTCTGGCCACACACCTTTGGGTCATGATGCCCTGGTGAGCTGTTGCCATGATCAGTAGGAGTGTTGCTGAAAGCCATTCCCACACGAGAACAGCCACTGATAAATAGAAGTCGCTGCAAATTTTACAAAAACGTATTACGATGTGAACACATTCCTAGGTCCCCTCCTGGAACTTATAAATAACCTGGATAAGTAAGAGTTTTTGAAATGTAAGCTTCAGAAAATCATCCTTTAGCTTTTAGGAGTCTTTGAAAGTTATCTTTTTTTTTTTCTTCAATATTCAAGGTGCCATAGTAGTCAAGATAATAAGCTAAGAGTGAGAATGGGAACAAGGTGCGTGTTTTGGAAGAGAAAATAATGTATGAAATAGTCTGTTTTGAGAATAGAACAGCAAATGGACTAGGGAAATATAGTACCTACTTGAAGTTCATGGGAAGGAATTTACAGAGAGACCAGTAGACCTGAAGGTGCATTGTGCTCTAGCCATATTAGCCATACAAGTATAGACAAAGAGTGAGTAGAGAATGGGATTTGAGCCGGGCTATGGTTTACCAGACAAATACTAGAAAGTGAGAGGGACCAAGGGTGAAGAAGGTGTATGCAGGAGGACAATGATAATGCCAGACCACAGATTTTAATAACTGCCTAGGAAGGGAAGAGAGGGCATCAGAGATTGACAGTAGTAAAAAATGGTAGAATCAATAGGTTGACAGGCCCAGTGAGTTAAAGGATTGTTAGGATTGGGGTATATGAGGGAGCAAACTGGAAAGATACAAAGTCGTGCTCAGAGATGGAATGAATGCAATTGACACACGAATGGGTTGCAGTTAATGGCAACAGCAAGGTGTGTAGGAAGACCATGAGACCGATCGGTTAGAATAGTGTTGAAGGCAAGTTTCCTAGGAGGACAGAAATTCAATAACCTGAAAGTGAAGAATGTTTAAAGGCCCATTTATGGTTATAGTAACACCCTCAAGAATTAAAGCAATAGTATTATACAAATGAATCCAGTGACAGTTATCCACCTAGGTGCTAAACCCATCAAGAAACGAGGTGTAAAAACCTGGGAGTTAGTACATGAAAGCAGAAATGAGTGGCAGTGGGTATATAATCTGATAGCAGGAGATTCTAATCTACAAGGGTCTAAGGATGAGAAAAGAATGACCCAGAAGCTGCAATGAGGAGCAGGGAACCCACCTCCAGACCCAGTAACACCTGTAGGGGGAATAGAGCCACCAATTGAGAGTGCTGCTGAGGCTGCTATGTCCTTGGAAGAGAGCTTCATTTAATTTTGAGTTAGGTAATTAACAAAAAGTTCTGATAGTATGTTAGATTTTGCTGAGTACTGAAATTCCAAAGGGCACACATTATATTATAATCGTAATGCCTATCTATAATTTCCTGGTTATTATGGTGCAGTGGGTAAAGATTTATCTAGGCTGATGTAGTGTTCTGCGTTCTCCTAATAAATGAAAGAGATAAAGTTAGAGACTAGTATTGTATATACATGTATATATAGTTTGTACATGCCAAAAAATTCTAGAAGTTAATGAGGAATAATTAGCAGTGTTTACCTCCAGGGAAACTAACTTTAATGTTCAAGGGGGACTTTTAACTGTATTTTATACCCTACTCTAGTGCAATACTGCAGTGTACAGTGTAAAAGAGTTAAAATGTAAATACTTGTTGGCTCCTTGGTATTAAGAAATTGTTAATAACTTTTCTTAGGTATAACAAGGGTATCAGGGTTACGCTTTCTGAAAGTTAACAGAGATATACATAGAAATGTTTCCAGATCAAATACTTTTAAGTACTTTCCTGAAAATGATACAAAATGGGGAGTGGATAGGGAGTTTAGATAAAACAAGATTATTCAGGAGTTGAGTAAGGTTGAAGTAGGGTTATGGTTATATGAATTTATTACACTATCTTATCGACTTTTGCATATATTTCAAATTGTCCATAATAAAAATCTTAAAAAATAACTTCTCAGTACAACAGGTGATAGCTATTTAGATCACATTTTGTTTCAATTCCACTAATAATTTGCACTAAATTTTAGGACTGCAGTTATATTAGTATTTATGGGCCCAACCTTCATGTTGTTTATGGATTAAAGGCAAAAACAATCAGCAATCCAAAACAAAACAAAACAAAAAAGATGAGATGGCTCAAGTAGAGCCTTGTAGGCTGTGTTGAAGAGTTTGGGCTTTAGCTAAAAAATAATGAGAAGCCATCCAAGTGTTTTAGCCAGAAACACACACACACACACACACACACACACACACATACACACACACACACACACCAGATGTCTCCCTATTATTGACTATAATGTGATGAACTGATTGAAAAAGGGTGAAAGTAGAATCATGTGATCAGTTAGGAGGCTATTCTAGTTATCTAGTCATATATTGGTCGAAGTTGGCAATATAAAAGGTAAACAGAGGAGAGAGAATCAGCAAATTCTGAAAAGAAATGGTGGGTGAATAAGTGTGGTGTCATATAGCAAGGGTATGTGCTTGAGAGTCAAATAGCAACCAGTGGTTAAGCAGGATGATTATCTACTGCCTAAATCACAGGATCCGTAGTGCGTTTTGATCTCGTCATTCCTCTTCTCAGAAACAAGCAAAGGAGTCTAGGCTTCTCAGGGACCCTAAGAATAGTGTCTGCACTCACTGTTACATTGAAGGGTCTGGTCTTATCTCTCCGTGTGTCTTTTTATTTGGTGTATGCTAAGGACATACCTGTTTGAGTTGGTAAAATAAGCTTAGAAATTTTATAACTTCTTTCTATGGAAAATGCTGCCCTGACTGGGCATAATTCTCACTATAAAAATTTGTCTCATCCTTCTAAGTATTAGCCCAAACATCAATTCCTCCACAGTCTCCCTTATTCTGTATCCATTTCTCCTTCCTGCATGCCCTAAGCACATTAACTGGACCTCTGTTTTGCATGTAGGTATTTACTTCAGGGACTATACATATTATACTGCTTTTCTATATCTGTATCTATTTTCTGTATCTATATCTATTATAGTGCTTTTCTATATATCTATTGCATTTCTTTTCTCCAGACAAGTTATAAATCTCTTGAAAGCAAACGTCGTGTTAATTCATTTTTTATTTTCCTTGATTACTTATTTTAGTAATCAATAAATATTTATTGAATTTAAATAATTTCTTATCCCCTTGTGTCCATATTTCAACAAAATCTAGATTAATGACAAAAGTTTCCATAGAAAATTTTGACTGTAGCTTAATAAAATCTAGATTAATGACAAAAGTTTCCACAGAAAATTTTGACTGTAGCTTAATAAATGTTCAACCATGTTGTAGACATATGTGATAACCTTAAGATATAAAATGACAGGGTAAATTTATGAGAGTGCATAAAATTCTTTATTTAGAACAATAAAGTATATGTATATATCATGTAATTTTAAATTCAAACCTGTATAAAAAAGGGTTGGGACATACACCTATTTTAAAAAGTACACATACAGTATATACACATACACATCACATTTTACAACCTTTTTTATTTAATTAAATTTCAGTCATAATAGAACTATTTAGAATAGTGTCGACATACATTTACATTATTATATGCAAACTCCAATCTATGACTGAACTGAGGGTATATCTGCGCATCCATCTAAATTAATACTTTTCAAGTCCATTGATTTAAAAAAATGGTGGCAAGTGGACACTATAATCACATATTAACCCTTAGAATATAGAATAGAATATTTTGATTGGAAAATTATATTTAGTGAGTATTGTAGCTCAGAGATCAAGTACTGGAAAACGGTGTGGTTTTTAGTTTAACAGTTGTTTTAATTTTATTGTTAAAAACATCATAAGGATGTAGTTGGAGATGGCAGTTATAAATAAATTTACAATGCTTAGTAAACATTTCAGGATCACAAATATCCATTTTAGCATGGATTATTTCTTGAAAAAAACACCTTGTTATAAAATGAAAGTACCATTATTTTATTTTTACAAACAAAGGCATTTCAAGACTAGTTAATGGAAAGCAGCAACATTATGAATTGTGTGATCAAACTCCACAAATGAGCTAATTAGAATTTCAATCTGAATGGTTTTATTTTAAAGCCAATTTCAAAATAATATTGTTTCAAAGATAAGCTGGTTTACTTTAGATTTCTTATCCCACTTTCCAATTTTAAAGTGTAATTAATGAATTACCCCTTTATAAATTGATTCTAAAATATCTTTTGGCATTCAAAACCTTCATGAGCATTTTACATTTTCTGCTCTTAGTTTTCAATAAAATGAGAAGATTTAAACGCTCACTTTGGTGCATTTCCAAATGTTACACACATCTTATAGTTTCTCATCCTGACTAATATGACTAAAACGTACTACTGGTTTTCATTCTTTGGAGGTGATCCAAAATGTTTATTCAAGCAAAGGAAAAAGCCATCTCTTGTGTAAATGGTGATCCAATTCACCCTACTTAAGACTGAATTTCACTTTTACTAATGGACACTATTTACATTAGAAACAAGAACAGCAATGACTTTTTATGGTCAAGATACTTATTCACAGAATCCAGAGTTGGATATTTTGTATGGGTTAGTTTCAATGCTATTTTGTCTTCTTTGTCGGTCATATTGCAATAGGACTCACCCCTAAGGAGTGATCTCTGAGTTTACCATATAGATAAATAAAAAATTGAGACCCAAAGAAGAGAGGTGATTTACCATATCAGTTAATGACAGACTGGAGGCTCCGGATATCTTTTGCAACATCCATCCCACCATGCCAAAATGCATTTTTGAAGAATATATTTTTTAAATATACATAATGCCTAAAAGCTCCAAACTGAAATTACATTTTGAAATGAAAACTTGGCTGCAGTAAAATATTTTTAAAATCCATGATTTCTGAATGAGTTTTTCTCTTTATTTATAACTTTAGTTGAATTAGAGTAGGAAAACGTGCCCCAAAGTTTCTCCAAAGTACTTTAAAGCTCAATGAAATGTATTTAATTCTTACTAAAACCAATACTTCATTAGGTATGCATATTTTTTCATAATTTTCTTTTCACATACTTTTTAAGAGAATAGGCTACTTGTTCTATTATTGTATTGAAGAAAAATTAATTTTTCTCTGACTCATTAAAATGTGGCAGTGTGGTAAGCACATTAAATTACAATACAATATCCAGGAACACTTCATTATCACTCAGGAGGCAACATTTATCATAAAGCCATTTTCTAAATAGACCTGGTTTCTACCAAAGAGGTGCAAAGCTTTCAGTATCATTGAGAATCTACAGACTTCTGAGATCATTTTAAAAGGTAATTTTGAAACCTTCCAAGATGGAACTGTCAGATACATGGCACCAACTGAAAAGGCGATTTCATGGTTTACTATCTCAGCAGTGAGTTTTCCATGATTTATGAAGAAGGATATTCAGAACACATCTGGGATAAAATAAGCAAAGATAAATATATATTTTCATCTCAAAGCAGAAATAACACAGTTAATGTCCAAGCAGCTAGCATCCAAAATAATGTTCAGCATTTTTCTATTGTTCATGCATTTTATTCAACTTTAGTGTTTTAAAAATTGGCAATCCATGTAACTTTCAATGGACCAACACATTTAATAAGCAGGACACATCTCCCCTCTCCTACCATGTCAGATTTAATAACTTGCTGAATTTGTTTATTTAACTCCATTGATTAAGACCATGTCCATGAGTGTTAAAACCCAGCTACTAGGTTTGAGGACAAAAGTACACATTTATTATACTCTTAAGCACATTAAGCAGGATTTTCATATGCTCAAGCAAACTGAAACCATTGGTTAAATAAATCAAACTACTAGATTGAGAAGTATCTATCTTCTCAATCTATACACAACCTACACGCATAACTCATATTAATCTGTATCTATTTTCCTGAAAACAGTCAATGCCACACACTGAGACAGGACCTATCAGCAATTTAAATTGATCTCTGGTTTTATTACTAATCAAGTGTACCATGTGATATCTGAGGGCCTGAACACCTTAATGCAGCTTCTCAAAGCACCTGGGTTATATCTTAGAGAAATTACTCATATTTAAGGAACCACAGCATGTTAGAGAAGAAAGGGACTGTAGGAATCATCTGGGCTCTTTGGTACAAAAAAGAGCAAAGGCCACTTACTGGAGTTGCATCTGGATTTGCTTTGAACAGAAGCTAAAATCCAAATATACTAGAAATTCTTGGACTTTTGAAATGAAAGGAAAGCTAGCAGTTAGTTTTTCATGCCCTTTTGTGTCACTACATTGAAAACTGTCATCTTACGGTTGTAGAACATGGCAATAATGTTATCACAAAGATTAAGTTAGAATGGAAAGCTTTGGATTCCTTTATGTGTACATTCAAGACATGTTAAAAGAACTTTCATCAAAATAAACCATAAGAAATCATTCTTTGACTTTAGTCAGATGTTTTCTTATTATAAAAAAAATTGGCAAGGGATATTCACATAATGTCTTACAAGTTCTAGTTTAAAAGCACAATGTCCATCTTGGGAATTCCTGCCAAATTCACTCTTAATATGACAAACACTGTCACACATTTTAAATAGCAAACTGACATGCATAACTACATAAAGCTTTCTTTTTAATTCATAAACCTTAATGAATATAGAGTGCCCGATTTTAACTAAATGGATCCTTTAAACAGATAATGGTGATTATACTATAAATAACTAAAGTTTCCTGATTCCTTGCATTATAAGTAACCTAGTTTTCAACACCCATATTAGCATGTGGGCGTGGTTTTCTAACCTTAGATACTAAATGTCATAATTTATTTTTAGGCTCTCCCATGGTGGAAATTGAAATGGGACCATCTTACATTCAGCATTTTCTCCTAAGTCCCTTTACATAGCTCTGTAATAGTTTTAGAATATAAACACATCATAACACATTTTGCAAACACGATTTATACACCCTATAGTGGTCAAGGGAAAAGGCGGACTTTCCCAGGATGCCAATGTCCTTCTTGGCAGACTGTTCTGATGTTCAGTGTTCTTAACTTCTTCCTGCGATGACTCTTTTGGAGTCTCCCCTCTGCCAAGGCATAATTCAGTACTGGCTCCCTTGCATAAATGGAACCAGGCAACCATTTGCATTTGTATAGTGGGATATGGGTGAGCATGGTTTACATCAGGAAGAGATCGAAATCAGACCCATATCACTAATCGGCAACTATAAAGCTGACATGTTGCCAAATCCAATCACAGTTCCCACTGCTTTCTACACTGTACAGTGGCTGACACTACTGAGTTTTAAACATTTTTTCCAGATCCCTTTGAGAAAAATTGTTACCCTCACTATCCAAGCTGAAATCTACTTGCAGAGACCAGGATAACTACAGGCTGCAGTTTGTATCTGAAGAATAAAGCTAGGTGTTTTTTCAGCATTTAGACATTTCTGGAGCCATGCAAATGGTACATGCAGTCTGAGACACGTGCTTTCTCTTCCAACATCAGCTGCAAGTTCTAAATGAGACCCAAGTCCCGCAGTCCTTAAAATAGAGTCCTGCTCCATGCAAGTTCTTCTTTATAGATGATTAATTCAGTGCCAGTTTCACAGTAAAACATTCTGTTCCAATTTCTGAATCATCCATATAAAGTCATGGGTAGCAAGAACAGATAAAGATGTGGTCTGTCACTCCAGACAGAATATGAATTTGTTTAAAGCTGCTTCATTTATGAAGCAAACATGAACTGTTACCAGCCTAGAAAGGAAGGAAGAAAAGAGAGATTATGGTGTATCTGCCTTCTGCCTTTTTAAAAATCTCAATAGCCGAAATCATATATGACCACAGAATGAGTAACAAATTTGCAATGTATGCTTCACTTATATAGCAGAAAAGAACTTCATAAATATTTTCTTAGATGCAGTGATCAGTCATTTTCTATGATCTCCTTGGTAACACATTATCTGAAACAATCTTACTTTTTGTTTATTATCTATGTCCTCCCATTAAAATGTAAGCTCCATGAGGGCAGGGAGCTTCTCTATCTCTTTTACTGCTGTACCTCCACTCTTATAATAATGTCTGGCACTTAATAGACACTCAATAAATATTTCACCCTGTGACTTTCATACCTCCTGACATTCTACCAATGATCTCAGTTTGTGATAATATAATTATCAACTTAGTTAGCTTTGAATTTCTCTAGCAAGATTATAAAAGGTAGTAAACAGGGGTGAAGGGAGAAGGATTGACGAACAAAGTGTCTGGAGAGTGGAGATTAGAGAAATGGAGATAGATGGAGTAGCATGAAAGAGATCCCTAAGACAGGTGGAGAAGCTGGTCAATGGCCACCAACAAGTAATAGCCTCACATGGCCACTGAGCCGCTCTAGTATCTTGACTATCTAGTTAGGTTCTAGCAATCATTTCTTCCAGCTGAGGAAATAGCAGCAGAAAGATTTCGTTCAATACTTCCAACCAAAAAAAGAAAGACTGTAATCTTGGCACCGCATCCCAACAAAGTTCTGGGGAAAGTTCGTTTGGCCTCAGCATAGCTTATTGTACTTGTTGAAGCATGAAAGCCATATTTTGTTTTAGTTATTCAGTACTTGTGTTAATCTACTAGCTTTCAGATGTTTCAACTTTCCAGTAAAGTATTTGTATTTCCTTCTCTACTTAAAAAAAATACATATAGATGGTATCATCCCATCTTCAATCCCAGTCTCTAAATAAATGTGTTTTGCATTTCTCGTCTTCTCTGCTCAATCTCTTTCACTACTTTTGTCCTTGTTTATCAACCCAGCATCACAGATCACTGTTTTTAAAGTATTGAGATCATTACACAGATTAGCCATAAAATTCCATAGTGTAATAAGAATTGCAATATTTTTCCAGTCTCTCTAAATGTAATATATTAAAAACTGTCTTATACAACAATTTACCAAGCAGAGAACTCTAGAAGCTAGACAACCTGTATTTAGGAAATCAGAATTAAATCTAGAACAAAAATTAAGAGATACTAAGATAAAACTTCAGAAATCCAAAATATATAGAAGATATTTTAAAAGCATGGTTAGAAAGCAAAAGGGAATCACAAAAAGCAAAAGGATGTATTTTTTAAATGTATAAATAATTGGAAACACAAAGCTTAATATAGAGAATTAAATATAGGACAGGCATGGTGGCTCACACCTGTAATCCCAGCACTTTGAGAGGCTGAGGTAGGCGGATCATCTGAAGTCAGGAGTTTGAGACCAGCCTGGCCAACATGGTGAAACCCTGTCTCTACTAAAAATACAAAAATTAGCTGGGTGTGTTAGTGCACATCTGTAGTCCCAGCTACTCTGGGGGTGAGGCACAAAACCCCCTTCAACCCAGGAGGCGGAGGTTGCAGTGAGCTGAGATCACGCCACTGCACTCCAGCCTGGGCTACAGAGCAAGACTCTTAAGAAAGAAAGACTCTCAAGAAAGAAAGAGAGAGAGAGAGAATTAAATGTAGAGAAGATTGGAAATCTATTTTTGATTTTTGTCCCCGGGTCACTTAGCAAAGAAAATAAACGTAAAGACTGGCACCTGTTTTCCCATAGAACAAAACTACAATTTTTATAATGATAACCTGGGTTCTTGCAAGAACCCTTGTGAAATAAGAAGAGTACATTTATCACTAACCCTCATTACACATGAAAAACCAGGGTTTAAAAGACATGAACTGATAACTGATATAAATTCATCTAGTATTCTACACCAAAGAGTCAAGGCTTGAATCCAAGCCTAATCCTTTCTAATCATCTGCTTTACAATGTATCTACAGAAACCAAACTCCCAAAGCTTTGAAAGTCTTAGGAAACATCTAGCAAAGAATCACAGGTCTTGCTATTTGGTAACCAACCATTGCCAAGCCTTGAGGCCTAAATTTCCAAGCTTGTCTTCAGCTTGTCCTTTATTCCAATTCTAAGATTTATTTTCTTCCCCCTTAGCTCAGATATACCAAAATTTTGTTTGTATTTCTTTAGTGAACCTCTCCACAATCAAACCCATGCTATTTACTATCAACCACACGGGGCCATTTCTGTGACTAAGCAATTTCTCTTTCAAGGTCTCAAATAAGATTCTTTGCAGATAACTCTCAAATTGCAAATCATTCTTTCCAGGCCTGACTGTTATCTGAAGTTCCAGTCTAACATATTTGGCCACTGGTTAGTTTCAATAATATTTACCAACAGCTTCTTCTCCTGATTTTCCATTTCCTGTTAATGCCACCGCACTCTGGTAAGTCCCATAGTCTCCAAATCATTCTTGAGTTCTGCCTGTGATGCCAAGTCTCACATCCCATTAGTAACTAGGATTTGTTGATTCTTTTACTGCAATGTCTTCAAATGGTCTATGCTTTCTTATTTCCTGGCCCTGATGCTAATTCAGTTGTCATTCTCTCTCACATCTTATTTAAAGACTGGCCTGGTAAGTGGACTCAATTTCTCTAGTTAACCACTCCCGTACATCTTGCCATACCAACACCCGATTAGTTTTCTCACACCTCAGCTTTGATTGTCACCCACATCTTTCCTACACCATTTTCTCCCAATACCTCCTTATGTGACACAAGGCATTTAAGCCCCATTCCTGGAATTCAAACCCTTTCTCAAACCGATGCTCACCCTTTCTTCTCAGCATTTAACTCTTTATATGTGACTTCCACTGGAATCCAACTGTCCAAACTGACCCTTGAACACAGTTTCTACTTTGGGACTATACTGACTTAGTTTACGCCATGTGCTCAGTACAGATGCTACCTCCACCACTTACAAAGTGAAGCTTTTCTCCTATTGTTAGTGATTTCTCTCTCCTTTCAAAAATAGGTAACTGTATTTGGGTGTGCTCAATTCTAATATGTCATTCATTCCAGTATCTAGAACTGTGTTGAATTCACAACTTGTATGAACATATGCAGAGGCCTGGACTTTGATCAAAGTAACTCTGTAAACTTTTAGTTCACTTTTAAAAATTGGTTATTATGTATATGTCTGATTTCCTTTTGTAGGCTATAAACAATTTGAGGACACAACAAAGTTATATTAAGCTTTGCATCCATCAATGCACCTGCTAGAGTTTGTTGGAATCACATTTGTGGGAAGAGTAAAGAGCAAAAGTTTCCTGTAACGTATTAACATAAAGTTTTTAATGTAATCCATCTGTTTTATTTATCTATCTTAATCTTTGCTATCCACAACCCAATATGAAAAAGGTTTTTGTAGGATGCTACTATGGATATTTGGCATAAGCTATGTGACCAAGTAAATTTTTAACTTTTCACATAGCTGTTCTCACGCATGGTGTCAAATAAACACACTTCAGTTAATTTTTTATTTTTATATTTTGAGACCAGGCCTTGCTCTATCACCCAGGTTGGAATGCTGTGATTTGATCATGGCTTATTACAGCCTCAACCTCTCGGGCTCAGGCAATCCTCCTGCCTCAGCCTCCTGAGTAGCTGAGACCATAGGTGCATACCACTATGCCCACCCAATTTTTAAATTATTTGTAGAGATGGGGTCTTCCTATGTTTCCCAGGCTGGTCTCGAACTCCTGGGCTCAAGTGATCCTCCCACCTCAGCCCCCCAAGGTACTGGGATTACAGGAATGAGCTACCACTCCTGGCCTATTTATTCCTAGGTGCAACTTTTTTTGTTGTTGTTTCTAGTTCAATACATTCCTTCCACGTTTGTTCCTTGTAGTTAAGATATTAAACCCTCCTTCTTTTCATTTTCCAATTATAGGTTATTTCCTTAAGAGAACTAGCCCATATGTTCTCTATTCTAGTGTTCCAATATTTGTCTTGATTTAATTTGTTTTAGTTGGTGAAACTTCCATTTCAGGGAGAAATCCTTGCCATAAACCTGAGTCATTCCTTGTATTTTTCCCCTTCCTTGTTAACCAAGAAAATGATTATAATCCAAATTATATCTATTTTTTAAATGTATAATTGCAACTCCACATTTTATTTCTGTCTTGGCATTTTTTACTACGGTTATTCTTATTTTTTAGAAGATTTTCTCTCCAACCACATCACAGTTTGTTCTCCCAGACCTTCCCTCTACTACACACCTATCTAGGAACTAGACTTAAGAGTTCCTTGGAGGGTTTTCCATCTCTGCTGGTAGAAGGCCAAATGTAAGGGTTTACTTCATATAATGGGTAGTCAATAGATGATTACAAATGATATACACACATTTTTACTTTGGGGTTTTCAGATTCTGAGGACGAACTGGCCCTTTTCTACCTCTTTTCCTACTTTTCCCTCAGCATTTGAATTCTTATGTACTCATAGACACATACAAGTTTATTTCTGTTTTTATTTTCATATATTTTATTCTCATCTTATTGTAATTCTGAGATATTCATTCATCTTTCCATTAATTTATTCAACAAATAGTTATTCATCATTTATATGTGCACAGTATAAGTGACATTGTTTAGTGGGGCTCCAAAACTAAATTAAGAAAAAAAAATCCTGCCCCCTAAGAGTTTATGGTTTTGAAAAGGGCACAAAATGTTCATTTAGGTGACTGTGATGTCCTACCAAGTGTCATATGAAATCTATTTAGAGGGCCAGAAATAGAGATTATTTTCATTTGGGAAGTCAGGTTTTTGTAGGTGGCAGTATGTGACCTGAGCCTTGGTGGAGCTTTGCAGAGATGACGAGTAAGGCACTTTGTGAAGGAGAATGAGTCATGTTTTCATTCATTCTGCCATCTATTTCCCATTGACTACTGAATAAGTGAGCTGGGTTTTTTTCTGGATAATTCTGGCTTCTTTAACCTGGCTAATGTGATTCATTTTATACATGAGTAATAATTCATACCTTAAGAAAAATAATTTATTAGTTAATTTCTCATGTGATTATATTCCCCCTTGATATGCATACCTTGCTGTCTCATTAATCCAACCCAATACATTAAATACACACATTCACACAAAAGATAAAAACAAACCCTACTTCAGAAGAACAATCTTCTTTGCCATTTGCTTAAACTTTCATTTAGGGCTGAGTCACTCACTCAGTCTCTCATTCAACAAACATTTATAGAGAGCCAACAATGCACGGGCAGCAAGTTAGGTGTTGAGGGTACAGCAAGAAACAGAAAGACCTAACTCTTTTCTTGGAATGCTAACTGACTATTCAACACATTCATAAGTTGTTTGACTATGGTTGCTTTAAAATACCATCTTTTTTCCTCCTAAACAAATGGCCTGGGTTTCCGTATCCTAATCCACTCCCAAATGTCATGGGACGAATGTCGTAATTAAAACCACATGATTAAAGACCTGTGTGCCAAAACAGGATCCCAGCAATGCAATCCCAAACCAAACAACAGAGGACATTACTTGAGCATTTGAGCATTTAAGACTCAATTAACCATTTAATGTGTGGTTTGTGAATGCCACTTGAGAGAACTGAAATGGCTGTCAAGAAGAAGAAAAGGAAGGAAAAAAAAAAGAAAACAGTGAATCTCATCTTATGGTTCAAAGGCAAAAAAATGAATTTCTAGGAAAAAGCATGGTTTCAGCTTGGGAAATATTGCTTCGGAAAATAAAAAGTGTCAAGCAAACGGTCTATCCATTTACATTATTTGACAGGAAGAATGAGCCTAGAAAGAAGTGGCAATGGGCAGCAGAAAATAGAGGGTGCTATTCATGCTACGGACATGTTAATCAAGAGTATGATTGAAGGTAAAAGTGACAGAGTGTGTAGAATAAAGTATTACAGTGTTAGAGAAATGTGCAACATAATTATATCATGTTATCTTGAGTTGTTAAAAAATGTTGCTGTATAACCATAAAAGTAAGCTCATACAGGAGGCAAGATAATTTATGACTCAGTTCCACTGAAGAAGATTAAGTCTAGAGACAAATCTCTGAACCTGGGACAGGAGTTAAAGCTGGAAGGGCAGTGACTTGCAGGGTAAAGAAGGAATCCACCACAGACTATCTAGGTAATAAAGAGGAGAGTAAATAATCCTTTGACAATGAGGGAATGCACAGAAGAAATGAGGAATTTGAAAGAGGAGAGAATATTCGCATGCAACTGTGGTAAATGCTCTCAGGATTCCATGCCAGTAACAAAAATAACAGCCAATTAGCAGAAGCAAAAGTGAGGGACAGCATGAATCAATACTGATTAAGTTAATGCAGCTGTGGGTCTTCCCGCAACAGTATCTGCAGCAAGGGAGCAGAGAAAGCAGACGGGACAGGAGATAATGATACCAGTACCTTCTAGCCACATCTTACTCTCCTTTCTCCCACAATCCCTCCGCAGACCCACACAGTCACAGCACCTGTCTGCCATGCGTTTATGTTCCGTGCATCCTGGGCTCTGAACTATTATAATGCATAATTATTACTAGTCATGTGGAAGGTGGCAATTGACCTGGAAAATCTTACTCTCCTGACTCTAAGATATTTGGATGTTTTCTCTTTTTCCTGAAAATGGCAGGGAAACATTCTGGTTTTCTCTTGTTTCAGCATCTAACACATGGGATACAGTCATGTTATAGTGGTCACACCTAAATAAAATTGATTCCATATATTTTTATTCTATTAGTAATACTTAATTTTAGTCCTAATTTGCTATATTTCCCTTGTCTAATTAATTTTCTGGTCTCAAAAACAGTCTAAGTAAACATACAACTGTTAATTTTTGTGCATATCCCACACTAGATGAATCCACTAGTCAGGACAAACACTGCTTACCTTTCAAAACTGGAGAATACACAATGAATTAGATATGCACATTTCAATTATGTAACAGCTTCAGCCAACATACTGACATCTGCTTGATAGAAGACTTACTAATGAAGTTTGTTTCTAAACTTTGGCATCTCATATGCTGTATAGTTCTTGCTAAATATTTCAGTTTGAATTAAAATTTTTACAATCTACCCATCTGACAAAGGACTAATATCCAGAATCTGCAAAGAACTTAAACAAATTTACAAGAAAAAATCAAACAACCCCATCAAAAAGTGGGCGAAGGATATGAACAGACACTTCTCAAAAGAAGATATTTATGCAGCCAACAGACACGTGAAAAAATGCTCATCATCACTGGCCATCAGAGAAATGCAAATCAAAACCACAATGAGATAACCATCTCACACCAGTTAGAATGGTGATCATTAAAAAGTCAGGAAACAACAGGTGCTGCAGAGGATGTGGAGAAATAGGAACACTTTTACACTGTTGGTGGGACTGTAAAGTAGTTCAACCATTGTGGAAGTCAGTGTGGTGATTCCTCAGGGATCTAGAACTAGAAACACCATTTGACCCAGGCATCCCATTACTGGGTATATACCCAAAGGATTATAAAATTATAAATCATGCTGCTCTAAAGACACATGCACATGTATGACTGAGGCTGGAAACCATCATTCTGAGCAAACTATCGCAAGGACAGAAAACCAAACACTGCGTGTTCTCACTCATAGGTGGGAATTGAACAATGAGAACACTTGGACACAGGGTAGGGAACACCACACAATGGAGCCTGTCATGGGGTGGGGGGAGGGGGAAGGGATAGCATTAGGAGATATACCTAATGTAAATGACGAGTTAATGGGTGCAGCACACCAACATGGCACATGTAAACATACGTAACAAACCTGCACATTGTGCACATGTACCCTAGAACTTAAAGTATAATAAAAAAAAGAAAAAAAAAGGAAAGAAGAAAAAAACTTACCAATGTACGAAAGTAACAGTGTTGATACAAGCCACAATTACACTTCTTGAAACTCTCTCTCTTTCTCTTGCAACATACTGAAAAACAATAAGAAAAAATGCTTATTTGCTCTTGGTCAGAGATTCTGAGGTACACCATGATCTCGGCATTGTAAAAGGCAGCTTTTCTGTAAATATAGTAGCAGAAGATTGCAAAATTGAATGGGGAGCCTACCTTCTTATTACTATAGGGAAGAGGGAAGACTTCATTTGTCTTAAGGTAGTCTTTCCAAGTAGTTAAAACATTTCTTTCTCTGTATATGCATATACACATACCAAGCATGCCTATATGCATTTCATATGTGTCTGTGTATACATACAGGCATGACATGAGAGAAGGCAACACACCAAATGAAAATTATAATCAAAGGTAAGGGAACATATGAGTGCTGGGCAGTATAGGGTAAGGTGAAAGAATGACAAGAGCCAGCTACAGTGAATGGAAAGTCATCTTACAGCAAATTTTGTATTCAGCTTTAGAGAAAACAACGAGTATGTTGAGAATAGTTAAGGGCTCTGAAAGCCAGAGTAAAATAAAAGATATATAAAATATACAAGAGAAAATCACTGAACGTATTTTGAATAAGAAGTCACACTATGAACCAGGGTTTACAGAAGAGTGTGACTAAAGGTTGAGTTTAGAAGGGCTAAAGAAAAGATCAGTGGCAGCAACTCATGAGATCATAAAGATGTCAGTGATGATAATGCTTCCTACTGAAAGAACTAAGCTTAGGAAGACGCTCCAAGAGCTGAATCAGTATGTTTTGATAAAAGTGTGGAAAAGACAGAACATGAGCAAATGTGCCTCCAGAGTTCCACAACCAGGAGTCTGAGAAGATTCTGCTGCCTTACTTAAATAAGAAAGCAGAGGTAACCCCTTTACAAACCCTAAGAAGAGTCATGAAGACAATTATGTGAAGGTATTCTGTAGGTAAATGGAGATGCAGCACTGAAGAGAGAGTGAGACATCAGAAACATGGATAGAGTTGGGACTCACTGGTTAGGAGCTACTGTCATGAGTGAAGGACTTCTTAAAGACATTATGGGCAGGTACACAGTGTGTGAAATGGCAATGTCATGCTTGATTGGGCACACATTTAGCAAAACAAAATACCTTATCTCATTATCCTCTTCATTAATTTGTATATTTTCAACTGCCCTTGTAAGACTTGGCTGTCTCTTCTGGAAAAAGAAGAAAGACATATACTGTAAAATAATCAATGAATGGTCTAATATTTAAGAGGTAAGTGGACTCCACTTTTATCTTTTATGGCAATAACTCCAATAACAGTTTTTTCAGCATGTAGCATGCAAAATATCTTTGTAATAAAAAATTATGAAAGCTGCATGGTACTATCAACTCAACATTTTTAGGATGTTGGGGGCTAAAGAGTAATAAAGAAGCTGACACTTAATCAAATTCAAAAGACATTTCAAGAAGCTGAGTCACAATGATTTTTGCACATTTTAAAATTTTAGACAGGCTTCAATAAGAAGAGAACAAAAGAGTAGAAATCCAAAATAGCAGATAATACAAATGACATTTCTATTTGTCTTTTAAGTATATCATATGATTTTCGTCAGATCTTCCTTTTCATATTTAGTTCAGGCTATTAACACCAGTTCCTAATTCTTAAGCGTGAATTATCAGCTAGAGGGATTGTCTCCAGACATAATGAGAAACAGGAAACTTTATAAAATTTAAATTTTGTTTAGATTATAAGCTAAGGTAGAATTCACTGTTTTCTTAAAGGATCATTTCTTGAGGAAAAAAAGATGATAATTTATGTAAACATAGCATATTTTTAAAAAAAGGAATGGTACCACTTACCTTCCAGTATAAGGCTCCAAAAGCAAAGCCAATTATAAGAGAAAACAATGCTGGCAATGCCATGGCTGCCCAGTGTAGGCTGGAGTCTCCAGGGGGATTTTTGGCCTTCCCTATAATTTAAAGAACACACTGATGAATACAGCATATCCATTCTAGAAGTTTTGCTCTTATGCTGTGGTTGTTTTTAACTGTTTCTGTAACACATTCTGGACCTATATCTGTTTAAAGTATTCAAAAGATTGATTTTTCTGCTGAATATTGCTTTTGCAAGGCAATATAAATCCATGTAGTCTCCAAAAGATGAATGCATTAAAAAAGAAAGAAATCACAGAGACAGAAAGAGATCTGGCTTGGGTAATTCTGACACATATGGAACACAGACTTAATATATTTCTGGGGGGAAAATGACTTATACTATCAAGCAAATCTATCTCCCATGCCTTTATCTTCTAAAATCTTTTTGCTTTCTCACTCTTGACAGCTTGCTCAGAAATTTTAAACATGACATTTTACAACCTGGATCAAGATCTGTATGCATTCAGCTATGTTTGGACTGTTGAAAATATTAAATAATTGTATGTGCACTGTGGTTATAGTATTTTTAGGTATCTCATGCTTAGAATCATGGCTGTTTCCACGTTCATATCTTCAACACACATTTGTCGGATGCCACTGTGCAACGGACTAAGAGTTTGGACTTTTAATGTTGGAAAGCTTAAGACTAACACTAAGGGGAATGGTTGAAGGCACTAGTGTTGTCCCATACTACGTCTAAATAAGAAACTCAATGAGAGAGAACATATATGGAATTGGTTTGGGACACCTTTCTTGATCCTGCCTGGCTCTTCCATGAGAAGCAAAATGATTCATGAATTTAGGTTGGATGTGGTGGCTCACCCCTGTAATCCCAGCACTTTGGGAGGCCGAGTCAAGCAGATCACCTGAGATCCAGAGTTCAAGACCAGCCCAGCCAACACGGTAAAACCCCGTCTCTACTAAAAATACAAAAATTAGCTGGGTGTGGTGGCGCATGCCTGTAATCCCGGCTACTACGGAGGCTGAGGCAGGAGAATCGCATGAACCCGGGAGGCGGAAGTCGTAATGAGCCGAGATCATGTCACTGCACTCCAGCCTGGGCAACAGAGCAAGACTCTGTCTTTAAAAAAAAAAAAGGAGCAGAATGATTCACGAATTAAATAAACAAAACACATCTCCCACAAGGGTCTCTTCCAACATGAAACTTATTTTGACAGATTTTTCTATATACCTATACCTATTTAACATACAAAGTACCTAGAGTACATAATATAAAATAATAGATCTACTATGTGTGTATCAACATCTTACAGGGAAAAATTAATTCATAGATTTAACTTGATAAGTCAGAAATAGATTTTATCTACTATGGTGAGGACAGGAACAGCCCATTCCTCTACCATATGTGAACTGAGAGCAGGAAATTCCCTCATCCTATAAATGGTATGTTTCCAAGGAGACTCTAATGATGGGATGTATGGATGTGTGCTCACGTGTGTGTGTGTGTGTGTGTGTGTGTGTTGGGGGAGGAGACAGTGAGGGATGAACAATAAGGTGCTGGTGATCCCCACGTAGGGAGTTGTCAGAAATAGGGTCTTCCATTCACATAACCATGAATATCCTCCTTAGGATTCCTCCTCCTGGCCCACCCCACATCCTATAGCCCCATGGGAGATATGTTTTACCATCTCAAGTTGGAGCCCAATGTGAATTTTCTCACCAAAATAAATCTGAGTAATAAAATGGGATTTGGTATAATTAAAGTACTATCATTACAATAACAGAGCTATTTTAAGGATTATGTAAGATTACGTGGACTCGTTTGGGATTTAACTACTATCTATAAAAGTGCTCTCTATATGAAATGGATTCAGGGTTACAAACAATTCGCACCATTTGAGGAATTTTAATAATACTGTTTGTAAATAAATCATTTGGCTGTTTTGGTTCTCCTTGAAGGCCAATCTGCTGTGGCCCCCATTATCTATTGGGATTGCTGGTATGTAATTACAATAGATTTACTAGGTAACCTCCTTAAGAGGCCATAATCAATGTACACAGAGAGAACAAATAAATTAATTAAGATTTTGTCCTTAAAATCCAATGGAAAACTCTAACAAGCTAGGAAGATGCTATGGAGAACTCCATTATCTACGTTGGGTCAGCCAGATGCCCTGTAATCAAGGTAGCCAAACACCATGTTCTTCTTGTTCTATACAAAGACCAAACCTAAGTCTTGAAATTCACCACTCAGACCAAAGGAAAGACCAGACTCAAAAGCAAAAAGCAGCTTACTAAAGAGTGAGATATTCTGGAATTTGCTACCTAAAACCTTTCTCAGGCAGAAGGATAGCATCTAAGGAAGGGGCTTCCAACAAAGCTGTGTGGGAGGCCTTACTAAAGAAAGCTCAGACTTGCTCTCTGAGAGTGCGGTGACTACCATGTTGACAGTTCCATCCCTAAGACTGTGAGCCAATACACAATCCTGGAGTCTGACTAAGACACAGCAGCAATCTTCCTGCAGGAGACAGGGAGGGAGAGAAACAGCAAAGACTGGATGGCGGGGCGGCAGTGGAGAGGAGGGTTGGGGGAAGCGCCCATAGGTTACTGAGCTTCACCTCCCATAGAGGTCAATGTTACCTCACTTTTTTTATTTCACTTGTTCATGCGTGGGGCTTAAGAACCAGGCCTTTGGTCCATCAGGGATACTACTGTCCCTCTTGCAGGCAGACAAAAAGAACTTTATCAGAAGAGATTTGCTTATACCTCCAGGGAATGACTTTCAATACTTTCCACTGCAGCTATCGAGTAGGAATCAATGAGATTTGAATTGCATGCCTCAAGGCCCAAATGAAGGGTATTTGGGGACAAAACTTAAGCTGACAACAAAGTTTTGATTTTATGCAAAGATAGCCTGCAGAGAATTTATGTGGAGAGGAAGCTCATCTGGGCCGGATTTGAGTAATCCCAAATTCCTGGGTTATTACCATATTAATTATATCTCCTTATTACCAAAACTATTCACTGTCCAGAAATCTTGGGAACTGACTTGTTTCATTTGACTAATAATAACCAACATCTGTAGAAATACAGAACACAAAGAATTGTGCTATAATTTTGCTGAACTTCTTTTTAGAGTGAGCATTTTTAGGAGCACCATGCCTGTGACATGGTTATCTTGGTGCTTATGAAACAAGCAAATGAGTATTCTTCCTTGATTCAGATCCAGAGCTCACTAAAGGTTCAACATAATTACTGATCCAAAGTCTTATTGCATCTCATTGTTCTAGTACTTAATGATGAACTCTTATAAGACATCAGTTATGTCTCCAAGCACATGTGTACTAACTCACTTAAAACTCACAGAAACTCTGTGAAGGAGGTATTATGATCTTCCATTTGACCGAAGAGTCAAAAGAGTTTAACTTGACTGGTATATGAGTCCAGGAAGGTTGGGTCAAGACTATTTCTAGAAAATGTATAAGATAATGTCAAAGTTAGGATTTCTTTCTCTATCATTTAGGTACTGTCTGCAAGAATCTCAAACATAAAACATCTTTTAAACATTCTCTTTGCTTATCATAAAGGATATTACTGTTATGCTATAAACATAATTCCCTTTGGATAACTAATAGGTTTGTATGTTATTCCATTCTCCCATGACTTTTCCTTACACACTCACATCTCTGTAATAAGTTTTCATATGCCCTGGTACTCTGACATGGCCAGCTTTTGAGTTATCCCTGAAAACTAGCATGCTTTCTTCAAATTTCCCTAACCCTTCTCCCAAAAAAGTCTTACCCCCTTTGTGCTACACCTAAAAACATTTGCATAATTCTATTATGATACATATTGTATACTGTACTATGAGTATTTTATTTACGTCTGTTTCTCTCTGAATGTTAGCACCACAAAATCTTGTCCTGTGCAGAGGTATCTAAGTGGCATATTCATGAGTGACATCACCTAGCTAAAAGTTGCTGACAATGCAAGACTCAAAATTTTTTAAAAAGGAAGAAAAAAGAAACAGTGAACAAAAAAGAAGGCTGTCCATTCATCTTGCAATTTAAAAAGTAATCTCAGATTCAGAGGCACGGGATTGAATAGGTATTTTATATTTAGTTTGTCTTTTAAAATTAGTAGGAAAGACTTTTGTTTCCAAATACGATGGTAGCAGACTAGCCTTTCCAACCTAAGTAATTATAATTCTAGACAAATTATGAGGCAACTCTTTTCAGAAATTAGTGAACAGCAGTACAAATGTGTAATTCACGAGACAGGGCATCCACACTAAGTGAGGCTCATGTTTGCCCTGGTTTTCTGGCTTTCAGCTCTCCTGTCTGGGGTGCACTTTCAGATTGAGGTGTGGAAGACAGAGTTCAAACAAGGACCAATGGCCTCACTAAGCTAGGGAGTCAGAGATTGAAGTTCAGGGCTGCCGATGCAGCTGGAGTTTCTAGATCTAGGTTATTTGGAAGAAGGGAGCTGTGCAAAGAAGGAGCATCAGAAATCCCTAGATGAATCTCCTTAAGTTACTGGTCCAATAATAAGCTGTATATGCACCAGTAGAGAAGTCACAAAACCTGACCAAAAAATAAAATTATAATAAAAAAAAATAACCAAACACCAAACTCATGGGAAGCTATAATCTTAGTAGAGGCCCTAGCAGACACAGAACAATGGGGACAAAATTATTAAGACAAGCAATATTGGAGAGATTTTCTGAGCACTTTACAGATATCTCAGATATTCCATGCCTTAGGAATAAGGCTACTTTCCCTTGTACCCAAGAAAGTTTAAAAACAAGGCTGGGAGAAAAGATAAACCTCATCTGCTACTATTCGAACCTCCTACCAAAACACAATTCAATAGCCTCTAAAGAAACGCTATAGAATCTGAAAGATATTCAACAGCATAGAATTCATAATATCCAGCATATATTAAACAATCACTAACCATTTAAAAGGAAATGTGACCCCTAATCAGAGAGGAAGAAGTCAATAGACATCAACTCTGAGATGACCTATGTGTTGAAATTTGGAGACAAGAACTTTAGAGCAGCTATTATATTTAAGTGACAAAAAAGAATTTTTTTTCATAATGAGTATGCAGATGGAAAATTCCAGCAGAGAAATATGAAATACATTAAACAATTAACTGGACATTCTAGAACAGAAAATATAAATTCATAAATAGAATAATTCACTGGATGAAAAATTCAGCAGATCAGAGATGGCAGAACAAAAGGTCAATGAACTTGAAAGCAGACAAGTAGAAATTACTCAGAAGAACACAGAGAAAAGAGGATAAATAAATGAACAAAACTTCTGCGACCTATGACACACTAGCAATCTGCTAACATATATGCAAGTAGTATCTCAGAATGAGAGGATAGATAAAATGGATTAAAAAATTTGAAAAATTTATGACTATTTTTTCCCCAAATTTGAGGGAAAACAAATATATAGATCCAAAAGCTTGACAAATCTCAAGAAAGATAAATACAAAGAAAACCACTCATAGGCATATTCTAGCTCAAATGTTAAAAAGGAGAACACTTTGAAAGAACGCAGAGGAAGAAATGACCCTGTACATACAGGGTAAAAATAAGACAAATGGTGGCTACCTTTTTTATTTTTTTCAGAAACAATAACTGCAGGAATACTATAGTGATATTTTTAAAAGACTAAAAGAAAAAAAATCCTGTGTACCCAGACTTCAATATCTAGTAAAAAGTACCTGCTACATGGAAGACAAAACAAAGATATTTTCCAATTAAAAAGAAAAAAGAATTTGTTGCCAGCAGATCTGTATTATAAGAGATGCTATAGAATGTTTTTCAGCCTGAAGGAAATTAATACCAAATGGAAACCTGGACTGACAAGAGGGAATGAAGGGTACAGGAAATAATAAATATGCAGGTTAATATAAAAGACAATATATTTCTTCTTCTCTTACTTTAAAATACGTATGACAGTTCAAAGAAATAATTGAACTGCATTGTGTATTGTAGACTGTATTGTGAAATTTATAACTGATGTAGATATGTTAATATATGTCAATGATGACACAAAAGATGGGTATGGGTAAATAAAACTACCCTGTTTCAAGGTTCTTGCATTTTTTTCTCAAGTGCTACAATAGTAACTCTAAGTAGAATATTACAAGTTAAAGTGTATACTTTAATTTCCAAAATAACCACAAAATAATGCAAAAGGGTGCTGTTGAAAATCCAACACTAATTAAACACTAGAAAAAAAATAATTAACCAAAAAAAAAGGGCTAGAAATAAGGAACAGAAGGTCAATACACAAATGGGACAGATAAAAAACAAGTAAGGAAATGGTGGATTAAAATCCAACTATACCAATGATTTATTACATAGAAATGGATGAAGCACTCTAATTAACAATCAGAGATACACTAAATAAAATAGTGAAGCCCAAGTGTATGTTGTCTACTAGAGATGTACTTTAAAAATACAGACAACAGACTGAAAATAAAGGAAAGCCAAACATATACCATGAAAACAGTAAGCATAAGAAAGATTTGCTCTAATATCAGACAAAATAAACTTCAAGACAAAAAGCACTATCAGAGATAATGAGGGATATTTCAGTAAGATTAAAAGGTCAATTAAACAGGGAAGATCTAACAATAATCAATGTATAAGCCCATAATAATAAAGCTTTAAAATATATGAAGCAAAAAACCCAAAACCAAATGGAAAATCAGACAAATCCACAATCAAAAGTTAATATTTTCAATTCCCTTTTCTCAATAATTAATAAAAATTAGACAAAAAGCTTAATAAGGAAGGGAAGATATAAACAACACTATCAACCATTTTGGCCAAATTTGAATGCTGCATTCAACAGTTAAATAACATACATAAAATAGTTTCAGTACATTTCAAAAAAATTATAGAGTATGTTTTCTGACAACAAAATTCATAGACTAGTAACAATAAGATATATAGGAAAATCTCAAACTTTTTGACATCAAACAACGCACTTTTATATTATCCATGAATCAAAGAAGAAATCACAGTTGACAAATATTTAGAAAAATAATAAAATCACAACACAAAAATGTGTGAGGTGCAGCTAAAGCAGTGTATTTAAGAAAATTTATACCTTTAAGTGCTTGTAATTAGCAAAAATAGTTTAAAATCAATGATCTAATTTTTCCACTTCGAAAAGCTAGAAAAAGTGGAGTAAATGAAACACAAAGCAAATGGAAGGAAATAATAAAGATTAGAAATCAATGAAATATAAGCAGAGAATTTAAGAAGACAAAAGTTGCTCCTTTGAAAATGTTAATAAAATCCATAGTTGGTAAGAAAACCCTTAATTGACTAACACACAAACAGGGCTCTAGTCCCTTTTTGACACATTTTAGAACTGATATGCTACGTAATTTAGAATTTTAGGTTTCAGAAGATTCTGTCCTGCACATAATGTATAACATATACTATCCCCAGTGAATCCTGGGTAGCATTCTGTAATCAAATACATTAATATTTCATTAGTAAAATATATATTCACTTTTAGAAAGATAAATAGACTATAAATAGCCTCAAATCACTTCAGGTCAGGTTTTGGTGGCAAAAAATTCCAAAATAAGTAAATTGTATTTTAGAGTTTTTTTAAATGTTCTGCATTGTAACAAGCTATTATGAATTAGTAATAAATTGATTACTTCTTTTCACAGATAGGTCTTCTAAGTCCCTGAACAAATGACAGTGCCCCATTTATAAGTCCTAAGGGATGACTTTTTTAGCCTAGATCACAAGATGGTTTTTATTCTTCCTGCACCTTCCATGAGGCTAGAGAGTATTTAGTAAATACAATAAACTTTATAATGACCTTTGTCTGGATTTTCAAAGAAAATTGGGTTCTTGGCAAAAGAGGACAGAAATTTCAGAAAAATAAGCCTATTCTCATCAAGCATATAATTCTGTGGTAAAATAACAAAATCATCAAATTTCCAAATGCGCAATAGTAAATACTGATATACACAAATCTGAAAATATCTTTGGAATTCTATACAACCAGCATTTATACAATTAAACTTCCGTTTTTGTCAGACACATTCCACACAGAATATATGTTAACAACCAGCATTTATACACTTAATTTTAAACTTCCGTTTTTGTCAGACACATTCCACACAGAATATATGTTAATGATTCAACAAAAGGCATAAATCATATTTCTAAAATTAATTTTATGTCTTATTTAAAATAACCTCAGCAGAAAATTTATTGGCCTAATTCTCTAAACATTATCTCCAGCTCTAGGGAAATTTAATTCTACAAACTTAAGTCTCAAGAAGACCATAAAAGGAATAACAGTAACAGAACAGTATCAATAATAATAAATGTAGAAGTTTCCTTGAAAGCCCATGCAATACTCCTATAGGTGCTAATTGGAGCCATGCATGCATTAAATCAGATATATGTACTTACTATTACTGCTACTGCTGTCATTCCTAAGGGAGCTGGCTGCAACAGGGGGTAACATAAATGGTTTTGTGACACTGACTCTGGAATCTAAATAGAAAGCAATAATGTGTCAGTGTTATATGGTGATTTGTATGAGTTATAGAGTCCCTGAAAGGTGAAGTGCAATACCAGATTACTTGCCAGGTCTGCTTCCCAAATCTAGAGTATTCAGATCCTATTTATTTCATACTGGGTCCTGCTATTCTATTTTACTAAGAAATCCACCATTATCACCTTGTAGAACAAATACTTATTGAATAAATATGTTAATAAATACAAATAATGACACATTGATGGTAATTTCTCATTAAAAAAAGAAAGCAATGAATCCAGGTTTGTATTATAGGGACCCAGTGAAGGGAAAAAAGAGTCTTAATACAGAGTAACTGGGGAGGATCAGAATTTGTGACTTAGAGTTAGATCCTTAAGAAAAAATTTGAGAAGGACCATTAAGTAGACTGGAGGTACAGAATAATATAATTGTAATTACTGGCAAATATTAGATGAGAAAAGGTATGAGTGGCCATCTCATATATTGTTTACTCACAAACAGCTCACTAATTTGAAACTGATGAATATTGCTTTGGGTTAGAAACCCACAAATCTACAATCATTAGTTTCTTCTGTGCTATTGATATCTGCTTTTTTATTAGACGTACATGCATGTATCTTGCTACAGCTTAACACAGAGGTAGATTCTTACTACATAGGGAAGATTTAAGTTTGTTGTTTACATTTGAACTGGAAATGCTTACATGTCTTACCTTTCTCAGGACTTAATGTTGAAGAAACCACACAATCACTAGTTTCAGATGCCACTACAAAGTCCTTGAAGGCATCAATGGATCTATTAAAAATTCTAAAGAATTCTTCAGGAGTAAAGAGCCTGGGTTCTGGGCTCTTGAATGATTTTTTTAGATCCTAGAAGAAAAAATAGGATTACATTTTTCAAATAGTCTTCAGACTTAACTGAGGTGAAGATAATGGACTATAAATATGTCTCTCAAAGATTCAAGTATTTAGACTCTTACAACTAGCACTTTTAGATGGCTGTTTTAACGTATGTAATTCAGATTGGTAATGCAGGGTAGTGATCCCAGTGGGATCACAAGTTGAATCTGGGGCAGTGAACACAATGTCATGGCAAAAAATAAAATAAAATAAATAACCTTAAAAACAAGCTGGGGATATTTTTCTTTAGAGATGCTCATTAAAAACATGAGGGTTTATTTTTAAAAGACCCCTCCATTACAAGAACTTCCAGTCTTTAGAAAAAAAAAAAAAAAACCACACCATAATGCATGCTCTAATATCCAAAAATTAGAAAGTCAGATGATACTAAATATTGGCAAGGGAACTCTTACATACTGCTGAGATAATGTAAGTTGGTACATTTGATATTATCCAGTAAAGTTAGACATGTGACCATCCTGTGACTCAGAAATTCCATTCTCAGGTAAATAACCTACTGAAACTATTGCACATATATACCATCAGACATATAAAAAAGTTTTTTTGCAGCAATATCTGTATCACTTATGTCAATCCAGACAGAGTGGCTTAATAACTAGTGATATATTGAATTAGTGGAGTTCAATTCAAGAGAAGGTTAACTACAGCTATATGCTTTAAAGTGGATACATCTTCTAAACCTAAAGCTGAGTGAAAGAGGCAAGTCCCAAAATAATAAAAATGGTATGATTAATTGATATAAAATTAATATAAAATTCCCCAAAGCAAATCAAAGCTATGTTGTAGGGATACATAATGGATTATAAAGAAAAGTAGGTAACCAAAATAAACAACTATCTGTTACTTACTATGGACTATTCTAAGTGCTTTATATACAGTAACTCAATCTCCAAAACAACTGAGAAATATAATTGGTAATCTCCTGGGTTCCCACCAAAGTGCCATGATTAGTAAATGCACATTCTTTGTTGTTTGCAGTGTTCTTCCCAACATCACCATTGACCTAACTCATTTACCTAACTCATCTTTAAGGCTCTAATGCACATGTTATTTCCTTTGTGACACCTTGTGTGATGCACTCTACTTTTTGTGATCTCTACTTCTTTTGAATGCCATTGGCACACTATATGCAGTAGTAATATGAAAGAGTGGTTAACACCACATTCTGACTTTGGAAATTAGAAAATAATACAAAGATTAAAGGTAGTGATTGGATTATTAGTATGGTAAGAATTATAAGATAGGATAGTACAAATGGGATTGAAGTTGGGTCTTACAGAATAGCTGGAATTTAGATGGGACACAGGAAAAAGCATTTAGGTATTAAGGTACAGAATCCTGCTTAAAACTTTGAATTTAAACTTACATAAGTCTCCTAAGCTAATCTTTGGCCATTTGAACTGTATACCAAATCAGGTCTCCTAAGCATGATTTTGCTATAGACACAGTGTGATGAAAAAACATCAAATTTTATTAATATTTATTTTGCTAGGTAGGGTGTTAAAGTACTCATGGCAAATAACCTAACGTCGACCCTGTTAGATGAATTCTGGCATTGCCCCCATTTTAAAGATAAAGAAAGTGAGGTACAAAGAAGTTACGCTCACAGAACTCATTAGCGACAGAGCCAGAATTTAAACTCCAATATCTCACTCTTATTTTCTGGAGTACATTGCCTATTCCATATGTCATGCCCATATCCTGAAGTTGGTGATGATCAGTTATCCAATGACTTTGAGGAGCCAAAATGTATTCCTTTGCTGTGACCTATGGGGTGATTACATTATGCATAAAAGGATATGTGTTTATTACAGACAATTTTCCATTTAAATGAACACTTGTAACTTAATAGAAAGGTTTCAAGGACTTCACTTATGAAGAATAAAGATAAAGGCAGGACTGATTTTGCATTGTAATGTAAATAAGTTTTATTTTTGTATTAGATGACAACATTTAAGTTTGAATGTGCACTTCAGTATTGCAGTATAACTGCAAATACTTGTTTTCTTTGCTCATCTGAACAAGATTTTTAAATTTGAAGTTTATACAATCAAAATATCATAAATAAAGGTGCCTCATTTTCCCCAACAGCACCAAGAAGCATGGGTTTTTAGAGAAGCGTAATGAAAAATAATCCCAATGAACACAAAGTTACCTTAGATGAGTTTTCTTTCACGCACTCCACAAGGTCATCCACTATATTCACAAGTTTGTCTATGATGGAATAATTACTCAAGCCTTCAGAAATATTTGAAAACTTGTCCAGAAGATCAGTCAAGCTGTCTGACAATTGTACTACCATCTCGCTTATCCAACAATGACTTGGCTGCAAGATATGAAAAAAGAGACAAAACAGCTATTTTAATAAGTAAGTGCCATAAAACTCGGAGTACTCTTCAAAGCTATCGTTTTAGTTACTCAAGTGATTCTCCTGCCTCAGCCTCTCGAGTAGCTCAGATTACAAGTGCCTGCCACCATGCCTGGCTACTTTTTTATTTTTAGTAGAGAGGAAGTTTCACCATGTTGGCCAGGCTGTCTCAAACTTCCTGACCTCAAATGATCCACCCGTCTCAGCTTCCCAATGTGCTGGGATTACAAGCATGAACCACCGTGCCTGGCCAGATTTTTAAAATTAATATTACATTACTTAAAATGTTGTAATAGGAGGACAGGGGTTATTGTAACAGGAAGAGAAGGGACTAGTGTGACAGGAGGAGGAGGGACTATTGTAATAGGAGGAGGGACTCTTGTAACAGGAGGAGGAGGTTGTAAGTTTGCATGCTTTATATGATTTTAATGTGTTATCTTTTCTCTTATAAAGATCTTTTAAGTGGAAACTCTGATGTATTTTGAACACTGCTGAAATGCTGCAGTGACAAAAATAACATTGTTATTAAGAATAACATTGAATTGGCTCATTAAAAGCACAAATAATTTAATACAACTTGTAACAAAAATATTGTACTCAGAGTAACTGATGTCATGGAAAATAAATCAAACTACTAAGCTTTATTTCTCTATTTACCAGCAGAATATCTCTGTGGGAAAAGTCAAGCCTTTTATTTATTTATTTATTTATTTATGCTTTAATTTTTTACAGAGACAGGCTCTCTCTCTGAGTCCTGGGCTGTAGTGCAGGGGTGCAATCATGGTTCACTGCAATGTTGAATTCCTGGGCCCAAGTGATCTTCCCACTTCAGCCTCCCAAGTAGCTGGCACTACAAGGCGCATGCTACCAAGTGTGGCTAATTTTTAATTTTTTTATATAAATGGGATCTTGCTTTGCTGCTCAGGCTGCTCTTGAACTCCTGGCCTCAAGCAATCCTCCCTCCTCAGCATTCTAAAATGCTGGGATTAGAGGCGTGAGTCACTGCATCTGGCTCAAGTCATTTATTTATTCTAAAGTATAGAAGGGACCACTTTATATTCATTTAACAGAACTGTTTTACTTAATATAATACAGCCAAAAAGGAAGCAGGTTTATCTGCAGATAGGTAAGCCCCAATTCCTGGAACCATTAAATGTCACTCAAAACTTTTAGGATTGTTGGCTCTGGCTTCAGATAAGAAGGATAAACAAATCTCAACATGGGAATTTAGTTCAAGTGGCCATTTCAACTCGTCATAACCAAGTTCTCAAAGAATATGTGTTTCCAAAGTATGTGCAGAACAGAGTCTTTGTTTTGTTAAATCAGTGCTTACTTCAAGCACATGCAAGTTCCTACTTGCATCATTATCAGGTCTCTTTCAAAGCTGTCAGTCTTTCCTTGGATGCTGAATTGCTCTGCAAGTTTCTTTCCTTTTAGGGAGTGATAATTCCTTATAGACCGTCAGCCCTATCAACAATGAACAGATTTCCTAGGATATGGAACACAGCATACACTGTAAATTGCTATTTGAATAGTATTTATGTGATAGAGTAGCTTTCACCAATTCATTCCGTTGAAATTGTGCAAATTTTTCTAACAATGAAATTCCAGGTATTAATCTCTTAGGACTCTATTTCCTCACTTTATGAGTATGCTTGCCTAGGATCTCTGGCAAGTAAGAACCAAAATCAAATTCCTTGTTTTGAATTAAGACATTCCTTTAGTTTCTGTGGTAGTTGTCTTATATGAATGGGTACTTTGTTCATTTTGCTTTTTTTTTGTGGTTAAAGTAGAAAATGTTTTGTTGATTTGTTTCTTATTTTTAAGCTGAGGAATTCTGGGGTACTTACTGCCACTTCTGTTGATCACTATTTTCAACCGAACTCTATGTTTACATTTTATATTCTAGTTCCTATTTAGCTATTACCCTACCTCCTCCCATTTTCACATAACTAAATCAACAGTCTAAACAATCAACTCTTTCCAGTAAAATTTCCAACCCCAATCCTGTGCTTTCTTAGAGTTAAACCATGGAAATTCCACAATCTAATCCTACTCTAATGTTTGCCCTTCTAAAGTCATGAACAATTTGTTGATAGTTGATATAAACTACGTGCCTACACAGCTGAAAAATCGTGTATTTCTAAAACACTTGTAATCATGTTTCACTCATTTTTTATTTTTGCTTGTGCTATTGTTTCTTTGGAAAAGGCTGAATCATAAATTCAAAGTTCTATTTTTCAGTAATTTGTTTAACCATGTATATATTGGCTTTTTAAGATTCTTGAGTTTATTAAAGATAAAATGAAGGTAAACAAATAATATTAAATGTCAGTCAGTTTTGATCTGCCTGCTTGTAAGAGAGGAAACTAGTTTTGACTGGAATGTCTAGCAGTTTTGTAATTTTTAATTAAATATCGTCAATGATTTGCAAGGAGAATAAAACACAATGAACTAAGTATTTCATTTGTGAGGTGATAGCAGGTCTTTCTGTTTTTCAATTCCTCCACGATTATGATTATGAAATAAATGATTAAAGATTGTCAAATTTACAAACGTACTTTTTGTTTGCCTTAATAAATGATATTATCACTGTTTCTTATTTTTCAGAGATATTTTAAACTTAAATAGTTTTATATAAATATTTACTCAATGATATTCATTAGAAGAAAGTAAGATATAATGTTCTCTCTTTCACTAGAAAATATAAAGGATTAAGAAAATTGACAGTCATACAGGATGTCAAAGGTGACACAAATGATTGCTTTTAAATTCCTGATGTGCATGTAATTTGATGCTTTATTCGCCTGTATGTATTGTTTCCAAAAGAAGAAACATATAGATTCTGCTTTGAGTGTAAAAACTTTTTTCTTGACTCCATGCTCTCAATTTCTTACCTTCTTTCTTGATAGCTTCTGTCTTATGTTTTCTTGGTTAATTATAGCAGCTCTAGCTAGGACTACTAAAAACATGTGCTTTCTATCCCTATGTACTTATAACATGTTATTATTCTAGAATCCAAACTGACTCAATGATATTGACTCAATGATATTGGACTGCTAGCATCTCACTACCACTGACAATTCAGTCAAAAACTGTGAACTTCCTTAGGAATTTTAAAGTACCATGAACACCAAATCATGATCTCGCTAAATGATTAAATAAAATATATAATTTAAAATGAATAAAATTAAAAGTATTCTAAACATAACTAGGAATATGACTGTTTCCAAAGACCAACAACAGAAATATATGCACATTCTAAGACTAAGCATAAATTTTTAAAAGGTAATATATTAATTCCACAGAATATGTGACACAGAATCTCTGTAGTTCCAGAACCAGTAAATTTGAGAAACCGGCTGAAATAAACCATGTGTTTTAAAATCATCCTGGAGACTTGCTAATTCTGGCATGCTTTCTCCTCTCTATCTCCTGCCTCATTCAAGAAACTGTGCTGGTTTATTAGGTGAAATAATTTGACACATTATTCCACATTGGTATTAGATGCACAGTCTTTTTTTTTTTTTTTTTTTTGAGACAGTCTTGCTCTTCTCGCCCACGCTGGAGTGCAATGGCGTGGTCTCAGCTCACTGCAACCTCTGCCTCCTGGGTTCAAGCGATTCTCCTGCTTCAGCCTCCTGAGTAGTTGGGATTACGGGCATCTGCCACCACGCCCAGCTAACTTTTGTTTTTTTAGTAGAGATGGGATTTCACCATGTTGGCTAGGCTAATCTTGAAGTCCTGACTCCAGGTGATCCACCCATCTCGGTTTCCCAAAGTGCTGGGATTACAGGAGTGAGCCACCGCGCCCACCCCACAGACAGTCTTTAAGAGCAGTCACGGTAAGATTTACGGATTAAGAAGCTGAAAGTAGACAAAATAATACTGTAACACTTCTTCACTGAAGCACTTTACATTACTTTCAATTTGGTAGCTATTCACAGAGAGATATCTATGTTCTTTCTTATAGGGCCTAAAGCTAGTATCTACCCAGTGAGAACGTTCTTTTCACAGGAGTTGGTGAAATACCAATTAGAGATTCTCAGAGTGAAAAGCCTGGCTCATAAACTATGAGGTTTCTAAGAATATTCATAAGGAGTATTCACCCAGCCTTCTAATCTGATTAATCTAAATACCAGCATTACCACCCAGTTTGTTTTTGTTTTACTTTCTTTAATTCGTGTCAAACTTCAGTCTTGCTGGAATTAGACGTATGCATGCCTAGGGCACGAAGTGTACCTTTCTGTTTGTGCTTTCAGCATCTACCTCTGGGATGTGCAATCAAAATCTAGAGCCATGTCATCAGAATCACCAGAATTCCAGACCTAGAAGGAATACTGAGGACCAGTCTCACCAATTGTATAAGCGGGAAAATCAAGGCTTAGAGTAGTGAAGTGTCTCGTTCCAGGTTACATAACAAATTTACACAGAAACGCGAGAAACCAGGACTCTCGATCACTCATTTTGTTCTAGTAGCCATGAGAATAGTGAAAGCACATAAAACTGAAGTGTTTTTTTCTGCTGAATTCACTATGACCCATGTGGTCTCACGTCTGGACCAGACACGATTCTTCGGCTCAATTAAGAAATCTCTTTGGAATAGAAATGGTTCTTTCTGTTTCATTTCAGTTAATCCAGAGTCATACCAATGAAGGTAAATTTCTCTGAGGAATTGTGACAATTGCCATTTGTGGACTTTATTTACTGTTCTTTTGGTTTTTTTCGTTGTGGCTAGAAAGCTGACATTCTACTCTCAAACATTCCATGGGCAGGCAAATTTAAAAGTTTCCTATAAAAGCACTTTGCAAAATATTGCATGTTCATGTTGCCAGTGTAGTCTCCGAAATCTTAACTTCTCTTTGGATTAGCTGGGTTTTGTAATGATTTATTTTAGTCCTCTCCCTAAACAATTAATTTGGGTCTTCAGTGTTCACTTTAGGCATCTAACTTTACATTTCTTGTTTGAATTAAAGTGCCGTAGAAATCTCAATCTGATTAAGATGGTAATCAACCAAAGCACTCTAAATATGTGTTATTTCCCAGGGCAGACCTATAAATGGCCCCTAGGCCCGCCCTAAAATAGAACAGTGAAGGAACAGCACAGGGGTTTGGGGAGTGAGGGCAGCAACGATGAACTAGAGGCCCAGTTTTTAGTCCCAACTCTGTCAATTCACTTTGTGATTTCAGGCAAGTCATTTAATCTATTCAGGGCTTCAGTTTCTCCATCTATAAAATAAATTCTAATCGATGCTGGCCAATATGGGAATCCCACTATCCATCTGCAGCTCCTCTCACTCAAAATGCATTGAATGTGACTGCAGAGCTAAAATTTTCATTTTACTTAATTATAATTTCTTTAAATTGAAAAGTCAATAATATCACCCTATTTAGAGGCTGGAACTTTTAAGTATGTTTGGAAAACACAGAAATGTGACTATCTTCTCAATGGTAAATTTTATTAAAAAATCTAAATATGGAATAACTATTTCTAATGAAAATTTAGTGTATGAACTGTAATATGTTGCAGATGTAAAACACACTGTGGATTTTGAATAATATGAAACATATAAAACATTCCATTAATAATTTTTATATTGATTTTAAGGTGAAATGACAATATTTTGGATACATGGGGCTAAATAAATTTCATTATACTTAATTTCAGCTGCTCGTTTTTATTTATTTTTTTTTTAGTGTTGCTACCAGACAATTAAGATTATGAACGTGGCTTCCATTGTATTTCTATCAGAGAATAATGGCCTAGATAATCTGAACAGCATCTTAATATAATCACTTATTAGGAAGACGGGCCCCTGTGCTGTAGTACAGTATACAAAAGAACTACTTAAAATAGCATTTAATGTCATATTTTATTCATTCAACTAACATTTTATGCTTATTCCTTTTAAATAAATACTTTCTTATTACATGGGAGATCGAGGCAGATAAATAGTTGACTACAAGTGTCTATTTGGCTGACGTCTATTTTTATAGAGAGAATGCCGCATCATAGGAGTGGAGCCTCAGAATCCATGCTTACAAACGGTGAACTTTCCCTGTAGCCATAGTTGGTTGGATGATGGTAGACACCTGACTTGGATAGGCCAACCAGAACGTTCCTCCCCAAAATTGGTATTGATCATTAGAAACTGATAATTAATCTCTGAATAGGGCTGAAATTGAAATATGTAAACCTGGCAGCTCTTGGGCAGTTACATTCTACCAAGTGACTGGAACAAAGGAGAAAATATCTGCACAAATAGAATGAGGCGGAGAAACAGAGATTCAGAGATGGAGAAGGAAAAACTGATAGTTTCCAATCCTGGTTCCAGTCTTTTCATGGGGCCTGTTGCACCCATGCCCTTAGGTGACATGCTATTCTTTAGTGTCCTTATAATAATGGGACTTTTACTATTAGTGAAAACCACAGGAATCTAAACTAATAAGATGGGCTCCTTCAAGATTTGGAAATCTAGCATTTTTGCCAAGAGTTAAATGTTTATTCATAACTATTTTTTGAGGAGCGACTATATGCATTGGATTGTCTAAAGAATGGTGAGGAGATACACAGGAGTAAAAGATTTCAACCTTGCTCTGTAGATAGTCAAAATATAGTAAAAAGAGAACACAACAACAAAATAATAATGATGGTATCTGATGTTATTATATGCACACCACAACTCATATTTTTTGTATTTTAATTATTTCTCACGATAATACTTTGAGACAAATATATAACACTTAAAATATTAAGCTCTATGTAAGCAATATATGATCATGTACCCAAGATGAATAGCTTCTGGACAAATTCCATAGAAGTCACAAGATAATAAACTAAAAGATAGGGTCCACATAGCAGGTGCAATGATAGTATTGCTGACCACCAAGCTCCAGCATCAAGCAAAACACTCAGCACAGAGTAGCACCTGATCAAATGATACATGGGAGAGAAAATGTGGGCTGAAAGAGCAGAAAATGTCCTTGTGTGAAAGAGAAATCTTAAACTGACCTTGGAGGAGATGACCACTAAGATGGGTTAAGCCCCAAGATATTGCATGATTCTATGGGTAGAATTTGGATAAGTGGATGGGAGAAGAAAGGGCATCCTTTGAGAACAGGCGCATTATTTTAGGAGGCAGTGATGCATGTGGCTGAGGTGGCAAGTTTGTGTTGGGGAATAATGGGTATTCAGATGAGTTGGTTAGGGTAGGGAAGGATTACAGAGAGTCATGAACATTAGGTTCAGGAATCTGGCTCTCAGCCTTTAGTAAATGGGAACAATAAGCAGGTTCTTGAATGCAAAAATAACTCAATTAAAGCAGTAGAACCAAAGGCTTAAAGAAGCTGTGATTCCCCAAAATTGCATAATACAATTCTTACACCTAAAATATTTCAAAAAATTCACACGTATCTAAAAGAAGATAATAACGTTGCAGTGCAGATACTGTGTGACGAGTTATAGGCACTCACCTCATCATTATAACCTTGTGAACTAAGTTCAAATCTGTGCCTCAAGGAAATTACAAATGATTATATGGTAGGGAAATTTTCTTCCTCCTTCCTTTCTTCACTTTCTTTCAGCAAATATTCATTAAATGCATATGAGCATCCATGAGGCACTGAGAATCTAATGCAGAGCAAAAAGAATATAGTTCCTACCTTTGTGAAGTTTACAGGTTGGTGGAAGATTATCTATTAAATCATCCCACAAATACATCCAAAACTGCTACTCTGAGGAGTGCGATGAGAAGAGTTTCCAGTAGAACAATTTGGTTTCATCAAAAATCAAAACCAAAATCTAAAAGAATCAGGTGTTAGCTAGACAAAAGAACCAATCAGGATTCCAGGAATAGAGAAAGCCAGGCAAGAAGCTATGTGGCAGCAAGGAACTGGTAACGATAACGATAAAGGACTGAAAAAGGATGTGGAAAGGTGCCAGATCAGTATAGTCTTTTTTTTTTTTTTTTTTTTTTTGAGACGGAGTCTCGCTCTGTCACCCAGCCTGGAGTGCAGTGGTGCAATCTTGGCTCACTGAAAACTCCACCTCCCAGGTTCACGCCATTCTCCTGTCTCAGCCTCCTGAGTAGCTGGGACTACAGGCGCCCGCCACCACGCCCAGCTAATTTTCTGTATTTTTAGTATAGACGGGGTTTCACTGTGTTAACCAGGATGGTCTCGATCTCCTGACCTCATGATCCACCTGTCTCAGCCTCCCAAAATGCTGAGATTACAGGCGTGAGCCACTGTGCCCAGCTAGATCACTACAGTCTTGGAGGCCTTGTTGAAGCAGCTCCTTTTCCTGTTTCCTAAGAGCAGCAAAAAGCCATTCAATGAATATAAAGAAACAGGAATGAAATGATTGGATGTATTTCTTTTTAAATCACTCTGTCTATTCAGGAAGAATCAAAACATCAAATAATAAATCCTCAGGTATCAAAGAAAATGGAAAGAGCCCAGAGGTAAGTAACAGGGCCAGGCAAAAAAAGATGAGAATAGCCAAGAAGTGAAATTGTGCATACCTGAGGAAGGGTACTGAAGAGGGAAGAAGTTTGGAAGGCTTATTGTTAGAGTGGCATCACATGCTGCCAATCACTTCCATATTTAGCTGTGCCTTTAAAAAGTCTGAACGAAAAACTGACAATGATAGCAAAGATTGGTTCAGGTAAGTATCATCAATAGATGCTAAATCTGTGGGAGAAACTTTGAGAAGGAGAAGGATTGCTTATATGGCCTTAAAGTGTCTCTCCCCAAATTGTGAATGAGTAAATATACATAAACAGTTGAACATCTTAACCAGATGATCAAAACAAACAGCACCATGAGGAGAGGATGGACTCTGTGTGCCTCTGGATGTGGTTACCTGAGCACAAATCATCACTTTCGTAGCATTGTCACTTGAATTGCATAAGCTCCACAGAAGCATTAAGAAACATCAATCAAATGTTGCAAAGAGAAACACTTTTCTTAAAGGGGAGGACTGTCTCATTCAAAAATGTCAGTGCCATAAAGACAAAGAAAGCCTGAGGAAATCTTAAAGGAGACTAGAGAGACAGGATGTAGTAGCTTATTATTGCTGCTATAACAAAGTACTACAAACTTGGTGGCTTAAAGCAGCACAAATTTGTTATTTTACAGTTCTGGAGGTCAGAAGTTTAAAATAGGTCTGAATAGGCTAATACCAAGGTATTCATTAGGGCTGTGTTTCTTTTGGATGCTGTAAAGGAAAAATCATTTTCTTTGCCTTTTCCAGCTTTCAGAGGCCATGTGCGTTCCTTGGCTTGTGAATCCCTCTTCCATCTTTGAAGCCAGCAGTGTAATATTTTCAAATCTCCCTCTCTGGCTCTGACACTCCTGCCTCCCTTTTATAAGAACTCATGTAAATCAGAGTGGGACCACCTGGATAATCCAAAATAACTTTTCCATCTATAAATCCTTAATTTAATTACATCTGCAAAGTCCTTTTTGCCATGTCAGGTAATATATTCCCAAAACAAGGCATCTTTGGGAGTCATTATTTACATGGTATCAAAATGAAAATTCCAATCCTAGATAGGATCTTATACTGAAGGAAAAGAAATGCAAAAAACAAAAAACAAAAACAAAAACAAAAAAGCTAAATTGAAATGCAGACCTAGATTAAAGTACTATAATTATTGTAAAATGTGTTGAAGTTGCAAATGTACTGTGTTTAGGTAAGAAAATATCCTTCACATAGGAAATACACACTGAAGTATTTAAGAGTAAATGGCCATGTATGCATCAGTATACAACTTATTCAAGAAGTTCAGAAACATAATAAAACACACATGCATACATAGAAAGAAAGCAACTGATAAAGCAAATGAGGCAGAATGTTAAAAATACTTGAAATAGGTGAATCTGGATTAAACGGCACATGGGTGTTCTTTAAATATTCTTGCAACGTTTTTGTAAATTTAAAATTATTTGCAAATAAAAAACTAAAAGAAAACTGATGAATATATACTTTAAGTAAAAATTGAAAAACGAATAAGATCCAGTGTTCAGTAGCAAAATAGGTGGCACAGTTAATAAAAATGTCTGTTTCAAAATAACTAAAAGAGTGGAATTGGAATGTTCCTAACACAAAGAAATTGTAAAGTTGAGCTGATGAATATTCCAGTTACTCTGATTTGATCATTACACACTGTATGGTTGCATCAAAATATCACGTGTACCCCATAAATATACACAACTCTTATGTATCCATAATAGCTAAAAATAAAAAAATTTTTTTAAAAATGAAGATTTTTAAACTCAAATATTACAAGCAACCCACAGTTTATGTAAATGCTATGGAAGTTCAAGTGAATGAAGGTGTGTGGCAACAATTCAGCAATGCCATTTTTATTCTTTCTACAATAACATTACCAGTAAATGTAAAAGACCAGAAATATCCAGGTATTCTTTAAGGTTAGGAAGTTAAAGGAAATTTCAACAGTCCGGCAATATAATAGTTTCAAAGAGTTTAAAATAGCATTGGTGATTATCGTTAGATTTAAATACTAAGTGGTTGATCACACCCTGCTATTTGTGAGACAGAATCTGCTAGGTAATTTTCTAAGAAGGACCTTGGAAAAGTGAACTCCCTTTTCTAGGAGAATTTAGCTGTTTTTTAAAATGAAGGCAAAATAAAAATAAAAATAAAAGTGTATTCTATTCTAGAGCTTTCTTCTGCCCAGTGCCCATGGGCAGAATTTTATTGCTTTGGCACCAGAGAATCTTTTTGGCACCCATTCCCACTCCACCCTCTATTGTTTAAAGACAAAAGATAAGGCAGCTGGGACTCTGACCACTCGCAAATAATCAGAGGCCTCCCCACTGGGAAACTCCTCTGGTCTTCGCAGAAACGAACATGTCAAAATGAAGGTAAAACAAAGGGTGAGACCCCTGGTTCTGTCCAATGCTCTAAACGTGGCCTTGTTTTTCTTGCCCATGGTGGTGGCCAAGAAGAACAGTGTTTCTCCAGTTGTGCCAGTATAGCATGCCAGAATCAATAGTAGATTTTTCTCAATTACAGAAACAAGCACAAAATATGTGGCAGTGAATCAGCTTTATTTTCACAAGCTTGGCTCTTGCTATCACAAGCCGACATTGAAATCTATGATTTAGCATATTCTATGATTATACCAGCACAAAAAATTCTATTTAGTTGTTTTCAGTTTAGCATTTGTTTTTCAAAGAGCAGCAGGTTATCTTTGGGTGCTTGGCAATCACAATCCTAAATGCTGCTGCAGTCAGGAAGGATCTGGGGTGGGTCTTTATTACCTAGAGGCTTCCCTTCAAACACTTTCCCTAAGTGTTGTAATTATATAGATCCTCACTTTCCGTAACCCAGGGTTAAGAGTCTGATGACCTACGGGTTTCTTTTTAAGACTCTGTCACGTTCTAATTGTATAGCCTTGGGCAAAATACTTTTGCGCTGTAAAGCTCAATATATCATTTGTAAAATAGGAATCATAATAGCTATTTTACCTTCCTCAGAGTTTTTCTAATCAGCCAAGAAAATTAATATGTGAAATCATTTTGCAAATGGAAAAGTGTTATAAAAAGGCCACATAATCCCCCCTGCCTGCCTTCCCAATTACTAAACTTTTTGAACTAAAGATCATTGCCTAATTGGTGTGTGTTTGTTTCTTCAAGTGTCTGCCAAAGTGCTGGCTCCTGGTTAGTTTTTCCTAACTAAATACTTGCTTAGTAACCAAATAATAAAATTAATTAACTTTCAGGCTGCTAATAATTTTCCATTTCTATTTCCAGAGAACTCCCCCTAACTCAATAGGATAGACATTGACATAGGCTTGAGGATAAATGGTTCAACATGAAGATACATGTTCTAAGGAATTCTAAAAAAAACTTTAGGTAGTTCATGCTAAAATGCTTACTAATAAAAAGAAATGTAGCTTTGACATTCTCTTGAAATGACAGCCTTGTAGTCTTTGAAATGCATTTTAAGCACAAGCACATAATGATGTGTTTAAATTGGTAACAACTTTGATGGACTGATCCACAAAAATTGGTCAAAACCTACACAAAGTAGATGTTTAATAAGTTTTGGTAGATTATGGAAAGATGAGAGTTGTAGAGAAGAGAGTAACTCAAATGGTTTTAAATTTACTCAAGAAACACAGTACAGTAGTTGAAATGAGTCAACATAAAACAACTTGTCAAAGCATGTTGAAAGATATAAGCGAACTTCAAAGTATAGAAGCTTAACATAAAATTATTAAATATTCAAAAAGTTCCATGTCTTATGTATGGGTGCATACACTGCAGTAAACATATAAGAGAATGCTCCTCCTGCTCTACATAACACTAGTGAATGCTGTCCACATTACAAGCCCTGAAAGCACACATTGGAATGAAAAAGTCCAGCTCAGAATAAGTGTTACCACTAAGAGACAAACTGGGGATTAATGAAGACAGAGAAGGAGCATACATAGGGCATTAGTTACATTTGTAATGTTTCATTATTAAAAATATATTTGAAGCAAATATTGCACAATGGTAAGGTTTGATAAGCTCTGTGATAGGTATACAGATATTACATTATTCTCTATGCTTGAAATATTTCTTAATGTATGAATTCTGATACTGTGTAATGAGAAAAATAATTAAAATTTCTTGGTTTCAGCAACAGAGTAGTACTTATAATAGTAAACACATACACTTGTTGTAAGGTTCTAAGAATCTATTGCACTGCTAGTAAATCAAATTGTGCTTTCAAATTAAACAAGTGAGGTAGGTCAGCTATGAAAAAGAATTTACATAAACTTACACTGAAGTCCTTTTTTAGGGGGATGCTTAAGGAAAATGAGAAAATCTGTGGCTAGGTCTAAAGAAGATAATCGTATTTACTTTGGAAGTACAGATGGCCCTCTGTATCCACGGATTCAACCAACCAAAGATGGAAAATATTCAAACAATAAGAAAACATAAAGCAAATTTTAAAAGCAGAGCATAACAATGATTTATGTAATATAGGCATTATATTCAGTATTAGAATTAATTTAGAATTAATTTAGAAATAATTTAATTTAGTTCCAAATTCCTGGAACTAAACTCCTGGAACACACAGGAGTTCCAGTGTGCCTTCCATGGTGAAAAATAAAAATTTAAAAATAAAGTATACAGAAGAATGTGCATAGGTTATATGCAAATACTATGCCATTCATAGAAATGACTTGAGCATCCTAGGATTTGGGTATCCTGATGGTGGAGTGAGTGGGGAGGATGGAGGGTCGGAAGGTGTCCTGGAACCAATTTCCTAAGGATAGTGAAGAACAACTATACAGGTCTAGGATATATGTGCTGAAATGATCACTGATAAAGTTTAACAGTTGCTTAAGAGGGGGAAAAAAAAGCCTGCAAGTCAAATTCCAAAGATAAATTCTTCAAATCCTGACAATAAGCAAGCTCCTAAATAGCAGCTAGTGTACTATCTCAATATGAATGATCCCATTTCTTCTATGAGCTACTAAAATGAAACTCAGAAATGTAGTTTACATACCAAAACATCCATCCCGGGGACATATTTGAGGGTTATCATGTAGTCTTTTGGAAGATTTGCCACCTACAGAGACAAAAAAAAAAATTCCATAAGAAAATTCTTATACATCAATTAATCATATTTGTAGTGCTTTGGAGAAAAGCACACAAAACTGTTGTGCTTTTTAAAGTTACCAATGAATTTCAATATTTACATGTATATTGATTTTTAATCCTTGATTTCCCTCTGTAATCAAAAGGCATCCTTCAAAATAAAAAAGTGATAATACAGATCTTTTAGACTCCAAATTCAGTTATGCCTGGCTAGGTATAACCTACTGAGTTTTGGAAACATGATCTGAATTTCAGCTTCCACCTGTGATCTTGGAATTCCCCTCAAGGACTATTTTCCTACTTGTTCCTCCATAGGATTAATCATAAAATACATGCTTTTTATGTCAGTGGTTCTCAAAATGTGGACCTCAAAGTGATGTGCCAGCAATAGGGAATCTGTCAGAAATGCATATTCTCAGGCCATACCAGAGCTACTGAATCTTACTTAACAAGTCCTCCAGGTGATTCCGATGTGCACCCAAATTTGAGAACTATTTTATGTTGAACCTAAAAAATGATCAGTGAAACTTCAAAAAAACAATGCTACTTATGAGATGCAAATGCTTTATAAGAAATAATTTAGAAAGATTCATTTTGTGATGTAACTTAATTCTCTTACCTTCGGCTGAACATTTGAGAAGTCTCAAATATTTGCCTAGGTTCTTTTGAAGGCTTTAAATAACGTCTGACTTACTTACATCAGTCATTCTGGCATAAGTGAATAAGCAATAGGTTTAGGACAAAGGAATCTGGGACAAATCTAAACTCTGTATGTTGGTTCCTCTCATTTATACAATGAAGATCAAGATACCTATGTCAAATGGTCATTTAGAATTAAGACAGATGAATGTGCCAAACACATTATAAACACTCAATCCATGTTCTTTACTGAGAGCTATACCGGCAACTGACTTTGGAGGCATATAACCCTAGTAAGTTACAGAGTTCTAGGTTCTCTTCCTTCCTACACACTGTACCAACTTTGCTGTCCGCAACCTTCTCTTATGTCACCATTAAAATTCCCAGATGAATAATTTAGCCAACAACTGACTTAGACCATTGGGTATTAAGATAACATATATTAAAAAGTAGTTTTGCACCATTACATCTTCAAGGGTCTATCTTGCTTTGTAGACTTATTTTTTCCTTCACCTTGTCTCTAAAAACTTTATCTTCCTTATAGAAAGCTAAGATCATGTGCATGTTTGCTAGACTAGGTCATCTCGCACAAGTTTACCATAACATTTTCTGTATGATTCTGCTTGGTCTTGTCAATAGCTTCTAGAATCTGAGAACAATTTATTGATAAATGAATTTAGGCATGGGCATAAGTAGTCACATGGGAGCTAAGATAGTAACTGATCTCATGGTGCTTACTACCATCCTACTTCCAGTAATGCCACCTGACACTCATTTCAGCTCTGAACTGAGGCACTTAGTATGGTTCCTCTTCCCTAAGTTCACATAATCATAAAATAGTAACAGTGTCTAACACGTATCAAATATTTACTATGTGCTAGGCACTGTGCTCACTATGGGCTTGGGCTGCATTATTACAATTTATCCTCAGATCCCGCTGACATATTACCTCTATTTAACAGATGAAGAAACTGAGGCTAGAAGGGGTCAAGTGCCTTGACTAAGGTCACACAGCCATCACATGTTAAGTCTAGACTAGAACTCAGGTCCCTGGAGAGAAGAGCCTCCCTTGTCTCTTAGCTCCACTACATATTTTCACACTCTACACCCTCTGGGCACTTGTTCTGGGTATTTTCCACTTGTGAATCTTCACCATCAACCTTCTTCATACCACCCTAAATAAAATATTAGAATCATTGCTGCTTTTTTTTTCTTTTTTTGGTACAGAGTCTCACTCTGTCACCCAGGCTGGAGTGCAGTAGCACAATCCTGGCTCACTCCAACCTCCACCTCCTGGGCTTAAGGAATCCTCGCATGTGTCAGCCTCTGGGATTACAGGCACGCACCACTACACCTGGCTAATTTTTGTATTTTTAGCAGAGACGGGGTTTTGCTATGTTGGCCAGTCTGGTCTCAAACTCCTGGCCTCAAGTGATCTGCCTGCCTTGGCCTCCCAAAATGCTGGGATTACAGTCATGAGCCACCGTGTCCATTCCATTGCTGCTTATTGAAAACACACCTGAGCTGCCAGACATGACGGCATTTTTGTTCATTTATTTTTGGCGTTAACTCCCTTATTCTTTACACTTAACTTTCTTCCTCTCAAACTTTCCACCAAGCTTCCATAATTTCTTTTCTCTTCTTAATCTTCATCCTCATCTTTGAAAGGAAAAAGCGTCTAGTCATTTTATGTAAACCCTAGTGACAAAGACAGAGCAGACCTGTTGCAGATGTGAAAGCGATAAGTAAGCAGCAATATTCTATCTCATTTTGAATAAACCAGGTAAATTAAAGGCATTCCAGATAGAAAAACGCAGCAAGAAGTGGCAGGTATTCTGAACACAAGCTGCTTAACAATCCAGCCCTTTCTTAAGCATAATTTATATTATTTTAAAAATACAAAAATACAATCAACTAGATTAGTATTTAGAAAGTGTGGGATCTGAGTATATGTCTAAAAAGCAAAGAAAATGTAAAGAGTATGGTGACCAATTCCATTTCATGAATAATTTATATACAAATATTGGTTCAAAGAAGGCTTATAGGAAGTTCCCTGATAAAAACACTGAAATCTACATTCTACCACTGGTGGTAGGGCAGTGTATAATAATAAAGTAATTTATTCGTTAAGCTGATTTACTGATATTCAATTTCTGGTGAGACTGAAAAATAATACTGTTTTTGAAACGTGCTTTATAATTTAAAACAAGTTTTCATATACAGTCTCTACCACAACCCCATGAGAGATTATATTAAGCTTATTTTACAAATGAGGTCATGGAAACTCAGAGAGGTTAACCGGTATCCCCAAGGTACACGCATTAGGAGTAACTGGTGCAGGTAGGATGCAAACCCTGGCTTTGTGTGCTGGGGCTCAGCACATCTACCTATAGCGCAGTATCCCATTATTACGTCCTTGGTTTTCATTGGTTTCCTTCTAATTACATTTGGAAGAGAACTTAGAAAGTCAAGTTGTAGATATTTGTGGTCGCTTAATAAATTATTGTGTTAATATTACTTTCTAAGCATTTATACAGATTGAACATCTCTAATCTGAAATCTAAAATAAAGCTACATGCATACAAGCCATGTCATCTTTGACAGAGTCAACAAACATACACAATAGGGAAAGGACTCCCTATTCAATAAATGGTGCTGGGATAACTGGCTAGCTATATGCAGAAGAATGGAACTAGACCCCTACTATTCAACACATACAAAAATTAACTCAAAAGGAATTAAAGATTAAAATGTAAGGCCCCACACTGTAAAAATGCTGGAAGAAAACTTAGTAAACACCATTCTGGACATTGGCCTTGGGGAATAATTTATGACTAAGTCCTCAAAAGCAATTCCAACAGAAACAAAAAATGACAATTGGGAGCTAATTAAACTAAAGAGCTACTACACAGCAAAAGAAACTACTAACAGAGTAAATAGACAACCTACAGAATGGGGGAAAATATTTGTAAACTATGCATCCAACAAAGATCTAATATCCAGAATCTATAAGGAACTTAAACAATTCAACAAGCAAAAAATAACCCCATAAACAACAAGTAAGCAAAAGACACAGACATTTCTCAAAAGAAGATATGCAAGGGGCCAAGAAACATATGAAAAATTGCTTAACCTCACTAATCAACAGAGAAATGCAAATCAAAACCACAATAAGACACCATCTCATAGGGGTTAGAATGGCTGTCATGTTGGTGGGAGTGTAAATTAGTTCAACCATTGTGGAAGATAGTGTAGCGATTCCTCAAGGATCTAGAACCAGAAATACCATTTGACCCAGCGATCCCATTACTGGGTATATACACAAAGGATTATAAATCATTCTACTATAAAGACACATTCACACGTATGTTTATTGCGGCACTATTCACAATAGCAAAGACTTGGAACCAACCCAAATGTCCATCAGTGATAGACTGGATAAAGAAAATGTGGCACATATACAGCATGGAATAATATGCAGCCATAAAAAGGATGAGTTCATGTCCTTTGCAGAGACATGGATGAAGCTGGAAACAATCATTCTCAGTAAACTAACACAACAACAGAAAACCAAACACCACATGTTCTCACTCATAAGTGGGAGTTGAACAATGAGAACACATGGACACAGGGAGGGAAACATCACACACCAGGGCCTGTTGGGTATTGGGGGGCTAGGCGAAGGATAGCACTAGGAGAAATACCTAATGTAGGTGAGGGGTTGATGGCTGCAGCAAACCACCATGGCACGTGTATACCTATGTAACAAACTGCACGTTCTGCACTTGTACCCCAGAACTTAAAGTATAATTTAAAAAAATGTCAAAAAACAACAGATGCTGGTGTGGCTGCAGAGAAAAGGGAATGCATATACACTGTTCAGCCACTGTGGAAAGAAATTTGGGGATTTCTCAAAGAATTCAGAACTACCATTCAACCCAGCAATCCCATTGCTGGGTGTATATCCAAAATAAGTCCTTCTACCAAATAAACCCATGCATTTGTACGTTCATCACAGTACTATTCGCAATAGAAAGACATGGAATCGACCTATGTGCCTATCAACAATGGACTGAATAAAGACAATGTGATACATATACACCATGGAATACTATGCAGCCACAAAAAAAAACAATAAAATCATGTCTTTCGCAGGAATATGGATGCAGCTGGAGGCCATCATTGTCAGTGAATTAACACAGGAACAGAAAACCAAATATTGCATGTTCTCACTTACAAGTGGGGACTAAACACTGCATACTCATGGAAATAAAGATGGCAACAATAGATACCAGGGACAACTAGATAGGAAGCAGGAAGACAGGGTTAAAAAAACTACCTATTGGGTACCATGTTCACTACCTGGGTGATGGGATCAATCATACCCCAAACCTCAGCATCATACAATATACCCAAGTAATAAACCTTCAAATGTAGCTGCTGAATCAAAAATAATAGTTGAAAGTATATTAAAAAGAAAAAACCACAAATATTCTAAAATCTGAAAAAAAAAAATGAAATCTGAAACACTTTTGGTCCCAAGCATTTTGGGTAGGAAATATTCAACCCCGTAGTATATTGACTCACCTTCCAGAAAGCACAGATAACCATGAAATAAATTCTGCTTCTCTGATATATATCACTGTGGAAAGTTTCACAGAGTAGAGGGAGCCTATGGCCTGCAACTTGGAAAATACTCCTTAGAGGCAGTGAATTTAATGTATGGATTAATAGCACAGGTTCTGGAGACAGACCACTCAGGTTGGATCCTGGCCCTGAAACCTACTAACTCAGAAGTCTTGGGCAAGTCACTTCATCTACTTCAGCCTAAATTTTTACATGTGTCACATGGGAATCATATAGAATCTAGCTGATGGATTTATAAGGATAAAATAACTCATATAAAATACTAAGTGCTTAGTTAGGCATGGTATGTGAATGAGTATGAATTTCTATTAATACTAAATGCGAGGGAGTGGGACAGTCTAGATAGAGGAAGGGTCTTATGCAAAGGCAAAGAAATGGGAAAGCTCATAATGTGTTAGGGAGACCAGTTAAGAGATAAGAAATATTCCAGGAAAACTGCCTTTGAGAGAGACCCTCCAAATGTTGAGCTAGGGAGGTCAAATGGTAGGTAGTAAGGTACAGTAGGAACAGTTCTACCATCAGAACTCCACAGCAAGTTGCTTCTGCTTAGACACATAGCATCATCTCTGTGGAAGTTCTACTCCTTGTCTGTAAGATAAAGAGGGCAAACTAGATAATTTCTATAAATTCAGTCTGGTTTGACTTACTTACGTAAGTGGTGATGCAACACTGAATGTGTTTCAGCAGAGAAGGAACCTGGTAGTAAAATACCAAGATTAGTATGGGAAGACAGTTTGGAGCAAAGAGAAAACAGAGACAGACAAAAGATTAGAAGACCACTAGGAATTTGAATATACATTAAATGTTTACATGCAAACTGGAAACTAGAAAAGCAGGAACCAGGTCTAGAGTCCAGGGAGTATTCCCTATTGGTAGGGTTAAGTGGATAAGTAACCAAGGCTACGTATTTTAAAAAACAAATCTGTTCTACTAAAGAAATTCATGGCAAAAAAAAATTAATTGACGGAAAATTTTACCAAAGGCCAACTCATTCTAATGAGCTCTGGTTTGGAGTGCAAGGATGTCAATACTATGCCAGATTGTAAAATAAAAAACTGCAAAAACAAGTTACTGGATGATGAGCTAACTGTGCTAGGTGGGAACCATTTACTGTCTTCTTTGGATGTCTTAATGATTGACCATGTCCAGTGACACTGGAAAAACATCCATGGGAGAACAGCATTTGGAAATGCTGGAGACTTGGCCAACAAGAAGTCTTTGCAAGCCAAACTGGCACTGGCTGCATACCACACCCTGCAGGTATTTGGACTCAGAAGAAAAATAACTCAAAGTCAGAACACTTAACTTCCTCTCTAGATCACTGATCTAAAAACCTTTGGATCTCATGGTTCAAGGGTCACTGAGGTCCCTAAATCTCATGAGATCAGTGGCCACCTTGGACATCTTTGCAAGACCCTTACTTGTTATGCTGTCTCTCCCAAGTCCAAGGCAGGAATCAAAATTCATTAGTTATCTATGACTCCCTTGACACTTTTACAAAATGCTGTGCCTATGTCAACTTTTCTGGGGAAAGAGTCTATGATTTTCAGACCTAGCAAAGTTTAATAATCATGGCTGTAGAGGAAAAAAGCTCTACACTTCTATCATCGTTCACTCAGGTACAGTAGCTTACTATGTTAGTTGTTCAACCTTCAGAAATAACACCCCCCAAAAAAGCTTTTTGCTTCTTTGTTTCTCCTAAAAAATTATCTACCACTAATATTGACTAAAAATCTAACCAACCAGGTGTATTACCTATAGTTTTCAAATGTAACTGGACTTTTTTAAAATGGTAACTCAATTAGTGATTAAAAATAAATTGGCAGGGCACAGTGGTTCATACCTGTAATCCTACTGCTTTAAGAAGCCAAGGTGAGAGGATTGCTTAAAGCCAGGAGTTTGAGACCAGACTTGGCAACAAAGTGAGAGTCCATCTCAAGAAAAAAATTTAAAAAATTAGTCAGGTATGGTGGCAACTACTCTGGAGTCCCAGCTACTAGAGAGGCTGAGGCAGGAGGATCACTTGAGCCCAGGAGTTTGAGGCTCCAGTGAGCCATGATTGCACCACTGTACCCCAGACTGGGTGATAGACACCCTGTCTCAAAAAAAAATTAAGATGACAACTTCAGGAGGCTTTTCAAGGTCATCGTTCCTCAGTAAAGAATATCTAAATAAAGATAGATAACAATTTTTTCTTTCAAATAGAAGAGATTATAAACTACAATATTTAGGGAGTGTATAATACCTCATGATGATGACATACCTTATGATGATGACACACCTTATGATGATGATTCCAATTAAGTAACTAACTGAGCTTCTACAATATGATAGCTTCCTAATCACAGTAAGATAAGGTGACTACTATTCAGGAAATAAAATTCAGTAGGTTACAATGATAATTCATTAATTGTAGTTGAAACTTACATCTTAAACTACTGGGAAGGCATTATAAATTATGAACTGCATTACTGTGCCTCAATGATAGGTAGTTAAGGGGTCAAACCTCTACTCAACTATTTCCCAAGTGATGATAATCAGATTACTAAATACCACTAGATCTCAGCTTTCTAACCAATATACTGGGCTAAAAATAGTTATCTTGTAAGGTTATGAAAAGTAAAGGAGACAATCCATGCAAAGTGTTTCTGCATGGTGTCTGTGTACTCATAACTATTGTTCTAAAAAACCAAGGAGCAGGCTGCACATGGTGGCTTACACCTGTAATCCCAGAATTTTGAGAGGCAGAGGTGGGAGGATCTCTTGGGGCCAGGAGTTTGAGACCAGCCTGGGCAACATAATGGGACCCACATCTCTACAAAAGATAAAAATAAAAATTCAATGAGCAGAAGACATATTATCCAAGTAGTTTATTCTATAAAGGAAGAACAATGTTTTCCTAACAATAAGACTCATATGCTTGATAATATAGCAATCTATCTAGAGTTTTAATAAATATTATTTCTAATAGTCCTTTTTTTAAAATACAAAATGTCCTAAATTTAGCTTTAAATAGAGAAAGAATTTTCTGCTGACCACAGGAGCAGAAATTAAAATGCTAAATATTGCAACCTAATAAAATAAAATTTGAAAACTATCTTTCAAACTATTATTTTTCGAAGGTCAAACAAAATTATGTGAAATCTTCACTATTAATGATATACCTAGGTCATCTGAAGAAAAGCTTAGAATTCATCCAGAAATGGGGACATTCAGAGACTCCAATTCTTCACTTTAATGCAGTGGTAATTCTACTTGAGAACAATAATATTTGAAGAAGAAAAATAATCAGAATTAATCAAAACTGTCTATTCAAAGTGTGAAAATGTGTTATCTGAGGATATTTTTATAATCTCTCATTACGATAATCTCCATGAATCATGTATAAATATAGCCAACTTGAAATAAGTGCCTATCACAAGACCAGGAAGACAATAGATTCCTTTGTTCTAATGCTATCTTACTAATTTGTAGACTGACCTTGAAAAGACAGAGTAATTTCACCTTTACGAGATGGAGATGGGACCTTAAGAAACATTTTGAGGAAGACAAGTCATTACCCAATAGAAAGTTAAAGACAAAACATTTTTTCTTTTTAGCAACAAAATCATATTGAGTTAAATTGCCTCAAATGAAGAAACAAAGTCGTCACAAACAAAGAGAAGAGTAGGGAGAATACACAGAGAAAACTAGTTTGAACTTTTTCAATATCTGGATTTCCTTCCTATATGAACAATTACAACTACTAAAATCTGCAACCTAACTATCCCATAGATACAAGTTATAAAAGCTTGATTCATCCTCTTCCCAGATACTTGACCCTTTCTTTAGGTAAGTCTGAGTTTGCCATTTAAAACAAATGTTGCAACATTTTTTTAGAAACAAAGCAAAATGTTCTGTAAATAGATGAACTATTATGCTTAGTAAACAGGCCAGAAGCATTTCGAATAAAAACCACGGGGACCGTGGGGGCAGTACAAAGTGTTCAAGAAGAAATTAAAAAAAAAATTTGACATTAAAGTCATAAATCATGGGCTTCTGTGACATGAGAATCACTTCAAGCAAAAAAACTTCAAGTGTGTGGGCACAGTGCAGGTTGCCACCTAATGCAAAGATGAAACTGGTAGGGGCTGCAAAGGAATGATTTCCATTGAAGGAATAACTGTGAGCACAGGCAAAAATGGACTGTCAGGCCACTTTCTTTCCCTCACATAAAATGTAGCAAGGTTATGTCTGCAAAGCAAATTCCTCTCATCCTATATAACCTCCTTCAGTCGAGTTATTATTGAATTATTCCAAGAGGTGCAACCTGAAAAAAACATCATTATGGAATAAAATAATTTCAAAGCTGAAAAAGGCCTCCAAGTTTCTCTAATTTAGTAGTTCTTATCTTCTTTGGGGTCTTAGATTTCTCTGAGAAATGATAAAAGCTACACACTCTCCTCAGAAATGAACATAAGGCATATGAAGGCAGCACAATTCTGAGCTTCATGTGTAAGCATTTGAAGTTTGTCAGCCCTAGATTAATAACTATTGATCATGTCCATGTTCCTCATTTGAAAAATTAGGAAATTGAATGCCAGAAAGATTCAGTGATTTGTCCAAGGCCACACAGCCAGGTAATAGTGGAGCTGGTATTAAAAAAACCTAGTATTCCCGACTTCCTTCAAGATGCTCTGCCCCACCATGTATAGAGAAAGGCTGTGATTATCTACATCCATAAATCTCAACAGTCACTCATGTTGCTGTTTGAATAAATGAAATTAGTAAGTTAGGATAGGAACACTCCACTTCTTTTCAAACATTAAAATACACACACACACATGCACACACACACACACACTCTATAAACATTATGGCCTAAGCAGTCCTGATACTTCTACATAAATAACTTTTATGTAGATGCTAGTTGGAAACATTAGGGTTCTCACACCCCATCTCCACAAGTTGAGATTCGGTATAGTGATGCCCTTAGAGCTGTACCTTAAATAAGTCCCTGAGAGACTGTGATCTGCTGGTTCTAAAGTAGTGACCTACTTTAAACATATTTTGGAGATTTGTATTAATCTGGCATCCTTATAAGTCTATACAACACAGATGATAACTAGTCATAATAGGAATTGAGATTAAATAAGAGTCAAGACATTTTGGTTTCTAAACAATGACAGAAGAGACCATCTAGAGCAATTGCTCTTAAGCCTCCTTTCAGAATTTTGTTAAAAATATAGATGTTTGGATCCCTTTTTCAGACTTACCAAAGTAGTTTCTTGGTGTAGTCCCAGGCACCTGTAATTTTTATTATTATTATTATACTTTAAGTTCTAGGGTACATGTGCACAACGTGCAGGTTTGTTACATAGGTATACATGTATCATGTTGCTTTGCTGCACCCATCAGCTCGTCATTTACATTAGGTATTTCTCCAAACGCTATCCCTCTTCCAGGCCCCCACCCCCCAACAGGCCCCAGTGTGTAATGTTCCCCTCCCTGTGTCCTTGTGTTCTCATTGTTCAACTCCCACTTATGAGTGAGAACATGCGGTGTTTGGTTTTCTGTTCTTGTGATATTTTGCTGAGAATAATTGTTTCCAGCTTCATCCATGTCCCTTCAAAGGACATGAACTCATCTTTTTTTATGGCTGCATAGTATTCCATGGTGTATATTTGTGAAATTTTCTTTATCCAGTCTTCTATTATTGATGGACATTTGGGTTGGTTCCAAGTCTTTGCTATTGTGAATAGAGGTACCCATAATTTTCATCAGCATGACAGGTGATTGTGATGCTCACTAAAGTAAAGCACATCATTTCCTCTTCTTCACTCACCCAGCAAACATTTAATGAACATCATCTACTTTGCTTTCCCCGCCCTTCTCATATCACCATTAAAATTCCCAGATGAAAAATTTAGCCAACAACTGACTTAGACCATTGGGTATTAAGATAACATACATTAAAAAGTAGTTTTGCACCATTACATCTTCAAGGGTCTATCTTGCTTTGTAGACTTATTTTTTTCCTTCATCTTGTCTCTAAAAACTTTATCTTCCTTATAGAAAGCTAAGATCATGTGCATGTTTGCTAGACTAGGTCATCTCGCACAAGTTTACTATAACATTTTCTGTATGATCCTGCTTGGTCTTGTCAATAGCTTCTAGAATCTGAGAACAATTTATTGATAAATGAATTTAGGCATGGGCGTAAGTAGTCAGATGGGAGCTAAGATAGTGACTGATCTCATGGTGCTTACTACCATCCTACTTCCAGTAATGCCACCTGACACTCATTTCAGCTCTGAACTGAGGCACTTAGTATGGTTCCTCTTCCCTAAGTTCACATAATCATAAAATAGTAACAGTGTCTAACACTGTTTACTATGTGCTGTGTGTCAAATATTTACTATGTGCTAGGCACTGTGCTCACTATGGGCTTAGGCTGCATTATTACAATTTATCCTCAGATCCCGCTGACATATTATCTCTATTTAACAGATGAAGAAACTGAGGCTAGAAGGGGTCAAGTGCCTTGACTAAGGTCACACAGCCATCACATGTTAAGTCTAGACTAGAATCCAGGTCATTCACAAAAGTTAGATTTTAAACACATACTGTCCTTTTAGTATTGTTTCTTGGGTCACAAACTAACAAGCAACTCAAGGAAAAAAAACATGATCTATTTTTAAACAGTATGTTTTTAAAAAAAAAAAAGTACTCCCCCCTCACCCCCATCCCTATACACAATAGCTAACTGGGTATATAGCAGACAACTCTTGCATGGCTTTGCTCACAGTTCCCTCAAGTAAGACATACTGATACATCTGCTGCTGCTGCATGGAAGAATGCTTTTAAACCTGAACTCTCTGGGTCCTAAGGAATTTGTATAAATTGTGTCTGTGTGTTTCTAATTCTATATTGAGGCTAAGCTAGCAAGACTTCAACAGTGGCCTTAAACTTCTGTTTTGAAGTTCTATTATAAACCCAAAATAAGACATATACACCAGAAAATATATATCAAGAGGAGGGAAGATAAATAGAGCCCCTTCTACTCCTTATCCCAGTACCTCAAAAAATAAACTTTTCATCCTTTTCTCCATATCACAACCCTCATTTCTTACCTATTCTCGCATCACCTCCGTTCTCTAGTCAGTATTTAAATAACTAGGAATTTAAAAATTGCTTCTCAAGCTTTGTTCATCCCGAAATCATACATGGTTCAAAAAAGCATGTAAGATCTCCCCTAGATCGTGACGGTTGGGAAGGATGCATTCCAGATGTGTTATGCCCACTCTGTGGCTTGATCTTGAGAGAAAGCATCTGGAGAAGCATAGCATGGAGCTGGCAGTGACTTGGGGAAGCAATGCAAATGCTTTCGCTGAGGGAAGAGTTCAATGTGACAAACCAGGGAGATGAGTCCCTTCAACATGTGGGCAATGAATCACCTCTCTATGTTCCCTGAAGGAGCAAACACCCACTGACATGTGACAGGGTCTTCCTGCTGATTGAATTGGGAGAATAGCCATTTCAGATTTCCTTTCGTTAGACTTTTTAAAGAAGAGTAGGAAGACATGTGAAGGGGAATAGAACATGCTGGGAAACCCACTGGAGAGATTATGGGGAACAAGCTGGGGCAAGCCCATCAGCACACAGCGAACTCTCCAAGGTCCTTCACTGCCTATGAAGGATGGGGAGAAGACCAGCAAAGAAGCAGTCACAGCAGTGGTGTGCAACTAGCCAGTTTTACCAACAAATTATCCATGACCCTAAATATCTCACTACCTGCTTTCTATAAACCCTTTATTGTAACCCAGTGATTACTTTCCCCACTTTAGGAAAACATTACTTTGGGGCAAGAAAAATCTAAATCTTTTATCAACAAGCACAGGAAAAAGAGCCACAGCTCTTTTTTACACAGCACGGTAAAGCATTCCTTACTTACCAATTTAGTGACGTCTTTTACATTATTAGTCACACGATTCCTGCAGATCCCTTCAGTTTTGACGAGAGGATTAAATAGGAGCAGCTGAAGATAAATGCAAGTGAGAATCCAAGTCTAAATGAAAACAGAAAAATTGCTTGGTGATCATCAGTTAAGATCTGTAATCATTCAAACTTTTAACATCTAATGCCTTGATGCACAAAAAGACCAGTCTAATATATGTTATTGGCTTAAATGCAATTAAATATTACGCATTCAAGCTATGCTCACCAAAGTTTTTAAAAGCTTTTAGTTAAAATCCATTTTGAATTATTCTCTCAATGACAATATTGTTAACTTTTGTTAAAAACTTTCTTCAGCCAATTTCCCAATGGCAATTAGGAATAAACTTGTAGCAGCATGTTAAAGACTTAGCCCTTAGGGTATCTTCTAAAAACTAGAGAATGCATAAAATGTATACCTTATGGCACCAAAAGAAACATCTTATTTCTACTTTAAATGTAGACTGCTTGGCAAGAAGCAGCATAATCCCTGAGCAGTGCTTTAATCCAATAATCTACAATAGCACACCAAGTTAAAGTGAGAGAGATGTATATTTTTAGACCTAAGAGAATTCCACTGAATTTGTGAGACATCAAAAGAATATTTTGAAACACAGCTTTTTAGCCACTTAAGGAAAATATTTCCTTAGCCAACAGGAAGGCATTCTTGAACCCTAGCAGAAAGTAATCTGTCTTCTCTCTCTCTCTCTCGAACACACATAACCTACACATCGGCTTGAAAATAACATTTTCTATTATGTATTATAGTTGCTTTTATGCATGACTTATTTTTCCTTATTACACTGTAGAGTTTCAAGAACTTGTGCAACTGATTTATCTTTGTAGTATCTTCACAACACATAACACAGTGTCTTGCATATAAAAAGTCCTGAATAAATATTTGCTGGGTCAATCAGTGGTCAAGGTAAAAATATATCCTGATGCTCAAATTCAATAACCATTTATTGAATATATATTATGCAACAGGAACAACGCCAGTCACTAGGGTAACAAAGATGTTGAAGATGCCCTTGAAACTCAGAGGCAGGTAAATAAATAACACTCACATCTTGTGATAAACACTTTCGGAACACAGAAGAGGAAGCAATTAATCAATTAACCTTAAGGGGGAGAACCAGTTGCAGGAAGACAGTGCCAAGAAAAGCCAGAAAGAAAATGTGACTGTGGCTGGATTTAGGAGGACAAGGAGGACTTGCAAGGGCTGACAAAGAAAAGATGAACGTTCCAGGAAAAATAAACAGCATGACAAAACCATGCAGATGTGAAGACATCTTAAAATATGTGCACATTCTTTTATGAGATACCATTCTTCTGTAAAATCTTAAAATTACACAAGAGTCCAGATGCACATGGCTAGAAATCTTCTCTATTTACATAGCTAGCCATATTAAAAAGGAACTGGATTATTATTTTCAATTAATATCTGCATGCTAACTAGATATTATACTAGAACAAATAATGATTATTATTTGCTAAAATTTCTAAAACTACAATGCTAATTACATGGATATAGTGGTTTGTATTCAAGATTGAAATCCTTTTATTCCCTTACCACCATGGTCTATTTTAGCAGTAATCCTGCATAATTTTATTTAAGGCTACTTCTAGCATTGTGGGGTCACACTCTTCATAGTATCATCTTTCTTGGACCACAGTGAAGACTAAGTTGTATAAATTATTTCTGTTTGAGGATTCTTCTTTTTGGACAGACAACCCCTACATACAAACTGTCCCTTAATAACAGTCTTCCTTCACATGTGTAAATATAATTTATTAAAGTCAGCTTTCTTTTATATTGTCATTGCTAAGACGTAACCTCCCTGGAAATATATTTCTCTAAACCCCTCTTTCTGATGTGATTTGGGAACTTTCTCTAAGGATCTCTGTAATGGACCAATCTCAGAAATGACCATAATCATATCCTTTGCTCAAAGAAATGTAATGGCAGAAATTCTGTTACTGGTCTTCGCAATCCTTTACGCCTGGCATTGAATAAATACTAAAGAAACGTTTGTTTTCTCATTCATCTAACAAGTATTTATTGAGTATCTGGTGTATACCAGGCATTGTCCTAGGTGCTAGGCCTATATAATGAACAAAATTCCTGCCCTCATAAGGCTTAATCAACAAACATAAGTAACTAGGTTATACAGTATGTCAAAAGGTGTCAAAAGCTATGGGAAAAATAAGATTAGAGCAAGGTAAAGGGGATTGGGATCATAATGTCTACTCTGCCTTACTGGTGATCTTGGGTTCAGAGTGACAATCACAGTCATGAGTCACCATGTGTACTGCTTTGCCCAGCACCAAGGCTTTGCCCAGCACCAAGTGTACTGCTGAGTTTTAAGAAAGGTTAGGTTGGCCGGGCGTGGTGGCTCATGCCTGTAATCCCAGCACTTTAGGAGGCCGAGGTGGGCGGATCACGAGGTCAGGAGATCGAGACCAGCCTGGCCAACATGGTGAATCCCCATCTCTACTAAAAATACAAAAATTAGCTGGGTGTGGCAGTGCATGCCTGTAATCCCAGGTACTCGGGAGGCTGAGGCAGGAGAATCGTTTGAACCCGTGAGGCGGAGGTTGCAGTGAGCCAAGATTGCGCCACTGCACTCTAGCCTGGCGACAAAAGCTAGACTACATCACCAAAAAAAAAAAAAGTTAGATAACAAAAGAGTACATACAGCACAAGCAGAGCAGACTCCCAGGCCATCTCTAATATCAGAAAGTCACTGAACACTCAAGATACGTGTGGCAATGATAGGTGATGTTGGGTAGGTAGAATCATTCCTTCTGCTTATACCTTGCTAGCTGAGCAGCTTTTTAGGGATATGGCATGAACTTCTATTCATTTTCTAGAGCAGCTACCCCCACCAGTACCAGTCTCAACAATAAAATATTAATACATATCAGTGCATGACATATGCTTGTAATAAAGCACACATCAGTGCCTGCTACCTAGTAACTTCAGCTGAATTCCCTTGGAGGAAGTATAGATGTACACCTAAAAGTTTCTTGAGTCCTTGTTGAAAGAAGACTTATAGGGAGGGTCAAATCACCAGGCATCTCTGAGTCTCGAGAAGAGCCATAGAACTAACTGTACTCTTTTCTTTCCAGAGATTGCAGTATGGGTGGAAACAGCTTGAAATTTTTAACAGGGTAATATTGATAAGTGTCTCATTAAGAAGACAAAATTTCACCAAAGATTGGACAAAGCTAAGGCAGTGATCCACGCAGACATCTGTGGGAAGAGTACTGCATACAGAGAGAAAAGCTGGTGCCAAGGTCCTAAGGTCTATTTAAGGCATCTGTTATTTAAGACATAGCAAGAGTAAATTAGGGAGCAGTAGAAGATGATGATGTCAGAGAGACAATGGAGAGGACAGCTCATGTAGGGCGTTGAAGCCTATTGCCCAGACATTGACTCTTACTTGAATAAAATAGGATTCATTGCAAGATTTTGAGCAGAGGAGGGATATATACTTCAGAATAAAAATAAATTAATTAAATAAGATCAGTCTGATTGCTATAATAAAAATAGACTTTAGGGTGACAACAGGTAGAAAATGAAACCGACAAGTTGGGAGGTTGCTGCTGTAATCCAATCAAGAAAGGGTTATAGTAATACATTGACTGAAAGTGGTTAGATTCTGGACATCTTCTGAAGGCTGAACCATGAGAATTTCCTGACAGAGTACGATTTGAGAGAAAGAGTCAAAGATGACTATAAGAACTTTGGTATGGAAAGATGGTGTTGCCATCAACTGATATGGGGAAGACTGGGGGTAGAGAAGGTTTGGGAGGCAGATCAGGAGTTAAATTTTGAGTATGTTAAGTTTAAGATGTCTTTGAGATATTCTAGTGATAATGCCAGGTCAAGATATTTAAATCTGGACTTAGGAGGGAAACTTGGGGTGCAGATATAAATATGATAACCTTCCATATATAAGCAAATGAGTGGATGAGATCACCAAGGGAGTGAGTAAAAGTATAAAAAAGAACAAAGAACTGCGCATGCTATGGTGTTCTAACCTTAAGGGATCTGACAGAAGAGTGAGAACCCACAAAAGAGTCCAAGAGAGCAAAGCAAAAAGATCATGGAAGGAAGCCAAGACTTTAAAAAAGTACTTTAAGGAAAATAGGGTCAAACTATGTCAAATGCCAGTTATAGGCCGAGTAAGATAAGGACTGATAACTGACCACTGGTTTGGCAACATTAAGGTCACTGGTAATATTAACAAGAGCAGTTTTATTGAAGTGGTATGGGAAAAAGCCAGTCTACAGTGGGTTTTAGAAAGCAGGAGATGAGATTAACCAGAAACAGTGAGTATGAACAGCTGTTTTGAAGAGTTTTCCTTCAAAGGAGAGCAACTGGATAAACAAACACATAAATAAATAAAACCAAGATGGGGAAGTAGCTGGCAAGAAATTGGGGGTGAAGAGAGTTTTATTTGTAAGAAGGTTGAAATACCAGAATGAGTGTATGCCTATGGGAATGATCCAGTAGGAGGAAGCAATTGGCAATATAGGTCAGAAGAGAGGGGACTGCTTGGGCAACAGCCTTGAGCAGGAAAGAAGGGGTGAGATTCAGTTCTCAAGTAGGAAGTGTGGCTTTAAATAGGAGTATAGGTAGTTCAATGCTATCAGGCAGAGCGCTGGAATGTGAATGCAGATGCTGGTTGTGTTTTGGGAACAATTCCATGAATAGAGCTAAAAGTTACTGAACATTTACTATACACCAAGCATCTTGGATATCTAATAAGGAAAAAAATAACTTTCATATATCCTAATTTTAAAGATGAAGGAGTTGAGGTACAGGGAGGTTTGGTGACTTCTGAGTGGTGAAATCAGTAAGCCCAGGTCTGTCCAATTCTAACTCCTGTCCTTTTAGCCCCTCTACACTGTCCCAGAACTCCTGCAAATCTGTTAGATGGTTTGTGAGAACTGTGATGCGATAGCAGATCTCTAAAACTTTAATACTTTTGCAAATATCAAGCATATGGAGACAAGTCTGTTCCATATTCCATGCCACAGCTGAATAGTCTATATTATTCAAGTCATCATAATTTTTAATATATGTCCTTTGATAGTTCCTTAAAATATATCAACACAGACTGCTATAATAATTGAAGAATGATTTGATCAGGGCAACATAAATTTTTTTTGCATCAGTTAAATTCAAATATCTTACAAAGACACAGTTTTGTTCATTTTGTAAAAATCCACTGGGTCAATGCTAAAATTAAATCTATGTTAGCTTATGAACATTCAAATATCTCTGAAAAACCTATATTTCTTAAAGCCCTTTATTTTAAAGCCATTATAAATAAATTCATATTGTAATTTAATTTTGCATATACTTTGCTACCATTAAAAATATCCACCTTTCATAAAATTAAAGAATTCATTCTGGCATAGCTAAACATTAGGACAGGGAGATAATCAAGTTAGAAATATTGAGATTTTTGCCAAGCAGTAATGACACCTCCTTCATCAGTATACTCAGGAGAGAGCTGAAATGCAGAGCTTACTTCTTTATATAAAAAAGAAACTTTTCAGTATTAACTTTTCTACACAGAAGTCTTTCTAATATTGTACACACACTTTGATTTCTTAAACAGTGAATTGAAATATTAAACTTTGCTTTTCTGTGACGGTTCAGGTTCATCAAATAAAAGGAAGACTTTCAAAGTATCTCAGTTATGTAGTTGTAGCTTCCCTTCTCCAAGTGGTTCCAAATTACTGTACTTGTTTGTATAACTTTTAAAAATTTATTTTAGGTTTCATTTGTTTGTTCCTTAGTTTTCCTGTTTCCCCCAGATTGTCAGGTCATTACTTGCAACATATTGTTACTGCTAACATGCCTATTTCTAGTCTCCTGCACTCTTGATGATGAACACAACATGTGTCCCATATGGGAGCTTACAGCAGGAAGTATAATGGCCCCAAAGATGTCCATGTCCTAATTCTTGGAACTTGTGAATACATCACCACACATGGCAAAATGGACTTTCCAGACATGATTACGTTAAGAACTAGAGATGAAGAGACTATCCTAGATTCCCTGGGTCCAATCTAATCCCCATGGTCCTTAAAAATGGAGACTATTTTCCAGCTCTGTTCAGAGAGAGGTGCGATGATGGAAGAAGGGTCGGGGAAATGTGACCTGAAAAGGACTCAACATGTCCTTGCTGGCATTGAAAATAGAGAGAAGGGACCAAGAGTCAAGAAATGTAGGCAGCTTCTAGAAGCTGCAAAAGAGAAAGAAATAGATTCTCCCCTAGAGCCTTTGGAAAGCAACATAGTCCAACTGATACTTTGATGTAAGTGAGCCTTATTTTGAACATTTGATCTTCAAAATTATGATAATTTTTTTTTTTTTTTTTTGACAGAGTCTCTCTCTGTTGCTCAGGCTGGGATGCAGTGGTGCAATCTCGGCTCACTGCAACCTCCGCCTCCCAGATTCAAGTGATTCTCCTGCCTCAGCCTCCCAAGTAGCTGGGATTATAGGTGCCTGCCACCATGGCTGGCCTTTTTCTTTTCTTTTTTTTTTTGTATTTTTGGTAGAGACAGAGTTTCACCATGTTGGCCAGGCTGGTCTTGAACTCCTGAGCTCAGGTAATCCACCCACTTCAGCCTCCCAAAATGCTGAGATTACAGGTATGAGCCACTGCACCCGGCCAGTCACTAAATTTTTGGTAATTTATTACAGCAGCAATAGAAAAATAAAACACAGCTCAATTGAAATACTTTTGGAATGAATGAATGAATGAAAGGTGTAGTGTAGTGATGGTCAAGCTATTCCAAATGAGGAAAGTGAATTGCCTCTGCCAGAATTATTGGCCCGCACCCTTTATTTTAAGCAGAGCAGCTCAGCTTTTTTTGTTGTTTTATTTGTTCATGCCTCTGAGTAAGATTCTGTTTAAACAAAGGTTTCCAAGGGCAAGAAGAAATTAAAAAAAAAAAACGCTTTTGGAAACCATGGGCAGAACATGGATCCAGAAAACCTCTCAGTCCCTTCCCATGTGACTTCAAACAAGTCAGCTAATCTCCCTGAGTATCCATTTATCAGCCTATAAAATGATAGTAAAAATAATTTTTGCCTTACCCATCTCATGAACTAGTAGTAAGAATCAAATGAGAAACTATTCAAACTATGGGTGTTATGCAATTATTTGTTGTGTGGTTTATGGGCTTTGCATCGGCTAGGAAACCAGAAGACAAGTACTTCAAAAATGTTTGAGTAAAACTTTCTGAGAAAAGACTTTATAGAGTAGATCTCCCATATACAAAGAGTATGACCTTTAGCACATGAATATTTTGACACTGACTTTGAGTTCACACACCTTTTTCATTTATTTCTTAGTTCTGAACTGTGTTTAGAGTAGCTTCAGTTAACAGACAACTGACTTCCAATTAAATGACATGTTCCAATATATCAACAAAATATTTATCTTTGTTTTCTCTTCCTCTTCTTCCAATTTCTGGAAACTCTGAGGGAATAGGGTGCCTAAATATGTGGGTGTGCACACACGCTCACACACACCCTAATGGAGATACACTGAAGCAAAATGTCCCTGTGTTTGTGACTTCTGCTCTAAAATGTATCTTTTCAGTTTGGGTAATCATCTATTTTTTTTTTCTGTTAACATTCTCTGCAGCTGTATATGACATTTTTCTTTGGCTACTTTGTTTTATCATTGTACAACTTTTCTCTCTAGGTCAAGCTCATTGTGTGATAACCCCTCATTTCTGGATAGTCTTTCATTGTATAGACACATATCGTCCTGGGTAGTTCTCGATTTTTGTTTTCAGAAACATGCATCAAAAGTGTCCCCCGTTTATTCCCCCACAACACACAAAATTCCAATAATCCTTTCATTGCTAAATGTTGCCTTCAAATCATTTACATGATTAGGAAAAAAAATAATGAGAAATCTGTGTGCACTGTTACAACCAAGGCATGCAGTAGAAACAGTTCTGGTAGAGGGAAGTAATACTGACTAAAATTTATGTTAACATCAGTGACAGATGTGGCTGGTCCTTTTCTGGGAGCAGACAGTAGCAGACAGTACTAGAAAAGTACTTTAAAGAAGTCTGGGGTGGGAGGGATTTACAAGAAGATGAGGTTGAAGACCTCAAAGGCAAAGGTCTTGCTTAATTTTCATTTTTGTTGAGAACAAACATCAGCAGACTCCAGTGGACTATTCACTCAATAACCAATCCCTCCTGAACACAGAGCTTTCCTTACAGTAAAAGGCCACATGCCAGGAAAAGGAGCTACAAACACCCAAAACAAACCATGGACTTAATCTGAACGTGTGTTGCAACACATAAGTCACACTGCAGATTCCTTTCCTTCAGTAGAAATTAAAATGCATGCAGCCTAAGAATATCAGGGGGACATATGCTGTTCAAGAAACCAGAAGATACCAATCCTCTAAACTTGGAAAAACAAAAAAATAAAATACAGAAAAAAAGCCTTTTTTTCTCTATGAATATGAGAAGTGATTTTAAAATATGCATTGTCAGGGTCCATATTACAGACGTCACAAAGTCAAAAAGAGAGTTAAGTGTTTGTGTAGCTCATTTTCTTTATGCACAGACCTACGAAATGGTATTAGAGCTGCCCTGAACAAAACAGCAGCTGCTGCCAAAAACAACATTCATCTTCTCTTTAATCCTGCATACCAGCTATTGAAGCAGGCAGTTCCCTTGTAGCCCAAATGTATTTTGGAAGAGAGCCAACTGGCTCAACTACCCAAAGACAGGAAAGCAAGTTACCAAGATACAGGTATGGTAATTGGTCCTGAGTTCAGGTCTTCTTAACTCATATGAACCATATCTTCCAAAAATAATCTATGTAAACCAACAACAGGATCCTCATTTGGTGAATAACCATTCAGTTCTATATGACTTCTTTTTTCAGATCTTTTTAATTGCTTAAAAATTTACCATTAAACATTATAAGGAAAATACCTAATCATCTTACACAGACTAAAATTCTTCTCTAAGCACTGTTAAGTAATCTTAAAGGGACAACTGAAACATTTAGTAGATTTGTTAGTTTTTGAAACTTAACTACTATCAATAAAACAGATGTTACCAGAGTAACTAATTGAAACTCAGACCAACTTGGAGTCCAAATTGGTGGGTGCCAAAATCTTGTAAAGATACTCTTCTAACTTCCCTTTTGTGAAGAAGTAAGCTAAAAATGTTTTAAAATATGGGTGATCATTAAAATATGTAATGAATATGCTCTTATAACAAAAAAAAACTAGAAAGAAGTTGCTTAATATGAAAAGGCAGACAATGTAATATAATAAGGGAATTTAATGTAACGGGAATTTAAAGATTTCAAGGTATTCAATGCATGAGAAAAATTTGGGGAAATTCACCCTTTAATAATCAGTCCTCGTTCTACATGTAAATACTACTTAAAGTGGAAATAACTCAAAATATATTGACTTCTAAGGGGCTGTGCATAGGACAAGCAGTTTGCAGATATTATTTCCTGTAATCCTCCCATCAACCAGGTAGATATTATTACCCTACTCTGCAGGTGAGCAAAACACAATTCGGGAGAGATTAGGTAACTTCCTTATGGCCACTTTGCTAGGAAATTGCTGGATTGGATATAAACCAAAACCTACACTATCTATGCTGGAAAGAAAAATACTAGGCCAGTTAGATAATAAAACTGACTTCATTTATATTTAATGAACTACTAAATTTTATTTTAAAGGGTCATGTTACAGAAGGCATATAGGTCTCTTTAACTCAATCAGTTTCAAATTGAAATTACATGTCAAGTTATTACCAGGTTGAATAAATGAGTCGAGCAGGTAAATCAAGTTACACTTAGCTATAGCTTAAACAAAAATTTACATAGCTAGAGGGAGGGGAGAAACCCAAAAAATAAAGCGATAAGTTGTTTCTTCTTATAAAAACAAAATTGGGTGCTTTCAGACTTCTAGTAACATTATCCCAGGGGCCACTTCTTCATTTAACAGACATGTATGGAGTATCTAATAAATACATAAGATAAAGACAGAAAGACTATGATCACTGGCCTCAGGAAGCTCAAGCTACTAGAGAACACAGCACAGTGGTGGGAGTCAGAGAGAAAAGGCCCAGCCCCTCCCTCAACTGCCCCCTGCCCCAAGTACAGCTAAACCTGACTTGGGGAGGGGGGCATTTGGGGGACAGGGGCATTTGAGGGAGGGGCTGATAGTTTCTGGGGGGAGAAGCTTCTCCAAAGGTGATCGGGGGCAGCCAACTCAAAGTTAGTGAGGGAGAAGACCCCTGAGAGAGGAAGTAGCAGGTGCCCACAGAAGTGTGGAAACAAGGCATGTTCTTAGAATTCTGTGATTTTTTTACTCCATTGGAAAATAAGTTTCAAAGAATAAGCAAAAAAAAAAAAAAAGGCAAGGCTAGAGAGATATGCAGAGGCCCTCCTTGCTAATTGATTTAGATTTCATTTTAAAAGCACTGGGGAGACCTGGAATGATTTTAAGCAAGGGAGTGTCAAGATCTGATTTATTGTTAAAAGGTTTATCAGGCATCAGAATGAAGGATGGACTGGGGGAGAGAGGGCAACAAACCTGGGGGCATGAGGCCCATTAGGAGGTCACTGAAGTAATCCAAAGCTGAGATGATAAGGGCCTTAACTAGGGCAGTGGCAGTGAGAATGGAGAGAAATGAACACGTTCAACAGGATATGGAAGTAGAACGGAAGATCTTGGTGACTAATGAAAAGAGGGTAGGGTCAAAAGGGGAAGAGGCACAAATGACTTCCAGGTTCCAGTTTGGGTGACTGTGTAAAAAGTGGTGCTATCTGCTGATCCAGATATGTAGGAAGAGAAGAGGCAGCAGGAGTCTGGGAGTTTATCACCAAAAACCTTAGTGAATACTACCATACCATAGATAGATACCATTCTATCATGAACTATCTGTGTAGGAGATGAGAGAATGTGAAGCCAAATACATGAGAGGGAAATCAGTTGATTGTGGGGTACAGCAGCCAATGGAAAAAAAATACCAAAGGGAGAGGGCAATGAATAAAACAAGCACTAAAAGATGTCAATATGATGTTTACTAAAGAGTACTTAATGGAGCTGACCTTAATGAGGGCAGTTGCCATTGAGTTGATGGAACTAAAAGTCAATCACAGTGGATGGACTACAGGAGTGAATGAGTATGAGGGAATTTCAAGGGTATATTACTACAGTTTGCCAAAAAAGAAAGAAGAGAGTGAGTGATCATGGAAAGGGCTAGAAAAGTTCACTTCGGTCTTGGTAGAAGGGAACACACAGCCCTGAAAGAGTGGGACTAAAATAATAAACTCAGCATTTCTCTTTTTTAAATGGCCTAGGAATAGGGAACAACTCACCTGGGGTTAACAGAGCCAGGTGAGCTCAGAAGTTTTGACCCTGTGTAAAAATCCCTGATAAAAGACTGGTACCTCAGGCAAGAATATAGGGCCTGAGTGTTCAGGTTTTTACTGTTACTAATTTTAATAAAGATGTACATAATAGAGTAAGCATTTGTGACAGCAGTATAGACTATCTAATTAGTAACAATGGTTTAAAAAGTAGATCATTAGCTATTCATAAAGCTCTTTAGCAGTTATACAAAGCAGAGGGGAAAAAAATCCCCTACACAGTATAATCCACTTAATTTTAAGGAGATGCGAGCTAATGACTAATTCTAATTTCTGTGAGGATAATGATGTGTAACAGACTGAGCTAGTCTAGAAAACTGATGGGTACTAGTTTAATTCTCAACTATCACGTCTGGAAAACTAAAAACGCCATTTCTCAGATGCCCTTTAAGTTAGCTAGGTTTATATATCTACCGCCAACTCTCTGCAATAAGTGTGTATTTTCAAAGAAATAAGACGAGCAGACCTCCCCCAACACCGGCCAAAGTATGGAAACATAATTTTAAAAATTCATGAAAGTTCTGAAATCTGCATCTTCAGCACTCCATGGACACGGGCACCGTTTACTCTTATGCCAACTAGCTGCTCTTAAAATTGAACTACCCTGATGTACAAGAATCTGAGGGTTGTACATCACCCTGATGTACAAGAATCTGAGGGCTGTAGCTCTCTAAAAACAGCTACAGAAACATAAATCATAATTTATACTCTTTCAAATACGTGACTTGCTTCTGAAAGTGAGATCTCATGTAAATCAAAAATTATGTAATTATTTAAAATCTCTAAAATATTTTGAACTCCAAACCATTTGGTGATGTGAAATGAGCATAGGCTTCAGTTGCCATCTGATCCCAAGTGCCCAATCTGAGACTGAATGCCTGAATTTCCTAGAACCTTTTTGTGTTTTTTTCCCACTATGGATGTAATTAATGTGCTCATATGTATTTTCACATCTGCTACTGAAAATCTGACAAGTTTAGTCTCACAAGACCTTTTAAATAAATAAATAAATAAATAAAAATCTGAGGAAGCAGCTCAGAAAATTTTCAACAAAGTTCCCCCCACCCCTCACGACCCGCCACCCACCAACCTGGATCTTTTACTACATGAGAATAAACTAAATCTTTATACTCTACTTTAACTGCTTCCAAATATCATCAAAATGAGTGGAGCTAGAGACATGAGCTCAAAGAACGTTCACAATCTTGATCGTTTTCTCTGTCACATCAGATGACAAGCTTGATTGGCAAAGGTCACAAACTGGCTTTGCGAATTATGCAATGTGTGTGAGACATACCAACTGCCTTTTTAGTGGGATGGAATAAACTGTTAAAATGTTCCTTCTTTCACTGAAGGTGTTCCAACTGAAACCAAGGGAGTCAGCTGTGTTATGTTTAGATGAAAGTGTAATCATCTGGGGTGTTTAATTAAAATACAGATTCCTGCATGTCAGAGGGAATCCAAATTTCTGAGGGTGCATCTCAGGAAAGCACATCTTTTAGTAAGCCCTCTATGTGATTATTAGGTACTCTATAAAGTCTGAGATATAATATTTTAGATAGTTCATGAGTGTTATATTGTTAAAGAAAACAAACAAAACAAAAATGTCTTAAAAGATATACAACGTTGTATTTGATTGAAGGGCTACATACTAGGTGCTCTTGATTTAGAGTAACTTGAGGGGGGTGAGGGATAAAAGATGACAAATTGGGTACAGTGTATACTACTTGGGTGATGGGTGCACCAAAATCTCACAAATCACCACTAAAGAACTTACTCATGTAACCAAACACCCCCTGTTCCCCAATAACCTATGGAAATTAAAAACAAAAAAGATAAGAAAAGTTAAGTGTATTGAGTGCACAGAATACTGTTGATTGTCTCTTTCAATTGCCATTCCAATATTCTCCTAGCATATCCCTCTAAACTATCATGGCTGGAAAGCTAAAAACTCCATTTATCAGACGCCCTTTAAGTTATCCAGGGTTGTAGATGGGACTTCGGTTCTGCCAATTAGGCGTGACTGCAAGATCTGATATGGGAAGGAAATACTCGAGAAGACAGGCTGGCTGTGGGCATGCATTTTATTGGCTTAGTTGGTACTGCGGGCAGCAAGACCCTCCAGTCAGCAGCAGTAACAGCTTTCTGCACTGGCCGCAACATATTTACAGACTGTAGTGGACTTAAGTTCTGAGTGCTGGGAGTGTTCTGGAAGCTCAGCTTGCAGTCTGCTCCTACGGCCCTTCCAAAAATTCCACAGGCCATCAAATGCACTTCAATATACTCTTTGAAGTATATCCCAGGTTTCAATCAGGCAGAGTAGACTATATTGTCCAAAATTAAATCCTAAGCAAAACAAGGGGAAAAAGCCCAGTAATTAAGCATTTATTTCTCCTAAGGGTGGTCAAAATTTTCCTTAGAAATTTCCCATTAGTGTTTCACAATTCAAGTTGAAAAATAAGGATTATTTTAAATTTTAAAAAAGACCAATTTTTTATAGGCAATCCATGAGAGTTTAATACAATTCTACCAGCTGAAACACAGCAAAGCATTTACAGTTGGCATGCCTGGGACAAGTTCCTCTGGTAACAATAAACTTCAATTGCAGATTCATTGACATGCCTGAGACACATTTCTCTGGTAACAATACTCTACAACTGCAGGTTCAATGACATGCCCAGGACTTGTTCTTCTGATAACAATATATGTCAATTGCAGGCTCACTGTTTATGAAGATGATGACATTTAAAACAGAGAACGTTATCAAAGTAAGATATGGATTCAAATCCTGGTGCTGTCACGTGTTGTAATCCAGAGCAAATTATGTAACCTCTCTGAGACTCAGTTTTCTTGTGATGATAACATGTTTTTGCAGTTTTGAAAAGATTACATAAGACAATGTTATGTAAAGCACTCACAAGCCAATTGGCAGATCTATGAGAACATTACATGACTATTAATGCTCTAATTATTATTTTGTTAATTACAGTTAATAGTTAACTATAGCTAGTTCAGTTAGCTACAGTTAAACCACAGTTGATGCTACAGTTATAATTTTATCTTTATTGATCCCTTAAATATTCTAAAAGCTTTGCTAACAGTAAATGACTATACAATCATTCACAATACAACCCATTTTTTAAAAAATGTGTTTTCTTTTTAATTGCACATAATAATTGTAAACAATCTCATTTATCCTCTGCCTCCCCATAGATTAAAGATCAGCCCTGGAAAGTGAAATAAAGAGGTTGTGAAACTGCCCCCTGAGCTTGGATTTGGATCCGCTCTTCCAAGCAGGCAGGCTCTTTTCTACCTAGTATAAAAGTGAGGCAAAAATTGTTTGGGCAACAGGTGAATGTTAACCTAAATAGCAAAGTTTCAAAAGTCAACTTCAGCTTCACTAATATATCCAAAACAGCTTTAGAAAACAGTGTGTTGGCTGGGCGCTGTGGCTCACGCCTGTAATCCCAGCACTTTGGGAGGCTGAGGCGGGCGGATCACAAGGTCAGGAGTTCGAGACCAGCCTGGCCAACACAGTGAAACCCCGTCTCTACTAAAAATAAAAAAATTAGCCGGGCATGGTGGCATGCGCCTGTAGTCCCAGCTACCTGGGGGGCTGAGGCAGGAGAATCGCTTGAACCTGGGAGGCGGAGGTTGCGGTGAGCCGAGATCGCACCACTGCACTCAAGCCTGGGTAACAAAGCGAGACTCTGTCTCAAAAAAAAAAAAAAAAAAAAAAAAAAGAAAGAAAGAAAGAAAACAGTGTGTTTACTCATGCACAGAGAAGTGGTATAGAGGAGGGGGTTGGAAAACATCAACCTTAGAATCAGACTGCCCATATCTTAATTTCTACTTTGACACAATCCTTATGGCCGTTGGAAAGTTATTTTATCATTCTGGGCCTCAGTTTCCTCATCTGTAAATGGGTGTAATAACAGAACTGACTTTATAGGTTTGCTGAGGATTAAATATAGTTATGTAAGTGGGCATTTAGTATAGTACCTGTCAAATAATACACCTTTATAAATGTTTGCTATGGCTATTGTCATTGCTGTCTAGAACAAGCATTCCTAGTAACATCATGCCCAAACTTGAAGAATGGTGGTTTAAGCCAAAAATCTGGGCACTATCCTTGATTCTTCCCAGTCCCCTATTTCCACATCTGATCATATTTTCTACCAGCAAAATAAATCTCAAAACTCATTTCTCTCCATTTCATCTTGTACAACTTTAGCTTGTGCTAAGCTCTTAGCACACTCTTACTGGAAGATTACAGGGATCCTCTAAATAGCCTTCTTTGCTTTCAGACTTATTACTCACAATAGTATCTTCTTCTGGGAATATATAAAACATGATCACTACCTGCTTAAAATCTCCCAATGCCTTCCCATTACATTTACAGTAAGACTCCAACTCCTAATCAAGGCCTACAGAGACCTTCGGAAGACAGACTTGTCCAACTCCATGTTTACGCCTTAGTAACCTTTATCTTCCCACCATGCTCTAGCCACACTGGCCTCCTTTATGTTCCTGAAATACCTGGAAGGTAATTCCTGCCTCAAGCCCTTTGTACTTGCTGCTGCCAGTTTTCTCCTTTTTGGGCTTTGCCAATGGCAAGTTGTTCTCATCATTCAGGACTCAGTTCAAATATCACCTTCTCAGAGAAGCCTTCCCAGGTAACCTGTCTTAAGGAGCACCTCTTATCACATCACATCACATCACAGTTTTGCTTTCCCTTAAGCACTTTTCATTCTCAGAAATTATTTTGATTACCCAATTAGTTTACTCTTATCATCTGTTCCTCCCAACAAGAATATACATGGTATAAGAATGAGGATTATATTATTCTTATCCGTCATTCTTACCTCTAGCACCTTGATTTGGTCCTTTCTCATAGTACATAATCCTCCATATTTGTGGATTGTATGTATTGCTAACTGCTACTGAATTGCTCATAAAAGTTCTCCTTCAATAAAATTCTCTTTTATATGGTACAGACCAAGGTACTGGCACTATCTAAATTGTGTTACTAGAGAATAAACCCAGGTACATATAATGGGGCAGAGATGAAGGCTGGACAATGTACAATTCAATCCTCAGCAGCTGGTTTCCATATTTACACAATAGAATTGCAACATCGCCAACCAGTTTTGCTTATTATCTGTTTCTTACACTTGACTGTGAGCACCATAAGGTGCCATATGGACTTTCAGTCCCTCCCTGTTTTGTCAGACTGACTAAGGCAATGGCAGGTGTGAAGAAGCCCCTCGTAAATATATTTAGAATGAATGAGTGAAGGATAAACAGGAGGGTTTTGTTCATCAGTTGGGTATAAACCATTGTCATCCTTCTCACTCTTAGGCTCAATAACTTCTAAATTCAAATAGTGACGATTAGCTAAATGCTTCTCAGTTTGAACTTTTAACCATTTTCTTTGTACCTTTAATACTTCCCTAGGTCCATGTAAGTGGAAAACTAGGCTATAAAACCATGAGTAGACTACAAGCTCCAAGAAGGGCAGGGACAACGTAAATAGACAATTTTAATGAATGAACAATCATTGAAAAATGCTTCTCCTGGTAGATGTGGCCCAAAATTGAAGGGCTGACCTGGCTATAAAATCCCCAGAGCTCCCTTTCTGAAGAAACTACGTAAGTATAAAGTGGAGTTTCTTTCCTTTATTGACAAAAAGGGGCATATTAAAAAAGCGAAAACACTGAAAGTATCACACAGAGCTGAAATGTAGACACTGTCCTGCAGTAAGTTCACTGGAAGTCTCTGAGAAGTCAACAATTCCATATACTGCTTTATTTAGAATTTATTGTAATACGCAACCATAAATTTTTTATTTCCCCAATGAGTTGCAATCCATTAACATTTCTAAAGTAGCCATTCATAAAAATTATTCATGGTGATTCAGCATTCAAAATGCATGCAAAGAATAAGATTTCACTCAGGGAAGACATACCCAGAAGTGATGACATGGGTTAAGCTTTTAAATGCTAATCTTATCTCTTCCCAAAGCATTGGTTGACTCTTATCTATCTGTCATCTTTTCTAAAGCAGGCAAAACAATGTTCATAAAACTGAATCCCTTTCCAGACTCATTCCTACTTTGACCAAAACAAAACCAGCTACCTTTTCTTCAGGGACACACTGGCATAGTGTTGATGTTCCCCTATCATGCAACTTGTTTGCAAGAAACAGAAAGTCGCATGCCAGACTACTCATGAGCTGATTCAATGACACTTCATCCCTCCCCCAAAATAGGCTGCATCATCACATTTTCATGCTAATAATCATGACTAAGTGGCAAGCTCTTTTATTCCAATTGTTTATCGTGAGATCCATGGAATTATCCTTAGCATTCTCTCTAATACCATTTTGATGTAGGAGGAGACTCTAAATTCATTAAGAAAGGAAGATGTGGCCGGGCGCAGTGGCTCACACCTGTAATCCCAGCAATTTGGGAGACCAAGGTGGGCGGATCACCTAAGGTCAGGAGTTCGAGACCAGCCTGGCCAACATGGGGAAACCCCACCTCTACTAAAAATACAAAAAATTAGCTGGGCATGGTGGTGGGCACCTGTAATCCCAGCTACTAGGGAGGCTGAGGCAGGAGAATTGCTTGAACCCGGGAGGCAGAGGTTACAGTAAGCCAAGATTGCACCATTGCACTCCAGCAGGGGCAACAAGAGCAAAACTCCATCTCAAAAAAAAAGAAAAGAAAAAAGGATGTAGGACACAGTAAGGAAGGAGATGATTTTTTACAATGTATCAGGATAGGAGTACTGGCATCACACTTGTTATTGTTATCTCTATTTTAGAAGATTCTGACTTAACAGTTTTCTCGGTAAATGTAAGTTATTGTGCATTCTGAAATTCATCCTCATGGTAGACTTGGGAAGATTATTTTGCTTTCAAGTTTAAAACAAAAGAAGAATATAGGAAATGTACCTTAAGGCCTCAAGTCTTGACTCTTAATAATGCTGGGAAAATACAGAAAGAAACTTTCTTCTTGGAGCAGAAAAGGGGGAGAGTGGGTAACCATTTCAAGGTAATCCTTTGAGCTTCTTTTCAAAGCAGCTGCTTTGCTGAGGAATCAGAAGGGGATGGAAGAACAAATGTAAACAGGGAAACTGGATAGCAAAGAGATTTTCTCACCATATGGGAGAGAATAGGGATCTACTTCCTCAGGAAATGAAGAGAGGGACTCGTGAGCAATATATTCACTAAATGAAATTTAAGATGTACTTCGGCTGCTGTATGTTTTAAGTGCCAAATCTGCACAAACCATTTTGTACATCTACTTCATTGCTCACCATTTGTGTGTTATCTCCTCTTCTTTATGGTCCTTTTTGGAGCTTTTCTTTGCAAATCAAGGCAGAAGGTAGACTTTGTGATATAATTATATAAAACTGGAAACATTTTATTGGTTCAAGAAATGTTAACTTTTCAGATCTACACCCAAAACCAAGAAGCTTACCTGATTAAAAAAAAAAGGAACACAGATCATGCTCTAAGTTTGTATCATTTTAAACACTTCAGAATTTTTTAAACTTGGCATCAAAGAGTATCCCCAAAATGATATATGTTTTTAAAAGTACATGCAATATCTGTAACATTATTTTAGAGCACTGTATTGTAAAGCAGTAGTATTACTGCCTTGAGTCACTAAGATGATGGCTTCTAACCACACATGAAATTTGAAAACATCACTTCTTGTTAATCCTTCTCCAACTTTCTTCCTCCACGCTTAATCTCTGATCTTATGTATTGAGACATTATTTTTGCTGAACTCCTTAACCATATCTGTTTTAAATACATAAATATCATTCTAATAGAATCATCTAAACCCTCTCATATTGTCATATTTCTGTCTTTCAACTCCTTTTAGACAAAGACTATACATCTCAGTATCCAAAACTACACAACATCCTTTACTTGAGTATTGCACTAGCTACCTATTAACTAGCACAAATTGTTAACAGAATTTTAAAGGAAGCATCTTGAGTGTGGGTGAGCTGGGAAGGAAGAATCCATTTACCATATTTGTAATAGTCTCATGAATTATTATGTATCAAAAAAAATCTCGGCTGGGCACGGTGGCTCAGGCCTGTAATCCCAGCACTCTGGGAGGTTGAGGCAGGCAGATCACGAGATCAAGAGATCGAGACCATCCTGGCCAACATGGTGAAACCACATCTCTACTAAAAATACAAAAATTAGCCGGGAGTGGTGGCACGTGCCTGTAATCCCAGCTACTCAGGAGGCTGAGGCAGGAGAATCACTTAAACCTGGGAGGCGGAAGTTGCAGTGAGCTGAGATTGCACCACTGCACTCCAGCCTGGTGACAGAGCGAGACTCCATTTAAACAAACAAAGAAACAAACAAACAAAATCTCTAGGTGAGAAAATAAAATGTCAACAGTACTAATACTAAGCAAGAAATTAGGAACAAACAGATCAGGTTTGATGACTGAGAGTTGTAAGATGCTGAGAAATTTGCTCAACCTCTGTGAGCTCAGATTCCTCCTCTTGTATCAAATGGAATAATCACACTACCACCACCCTCACAGGTGGGGAGAATCAGGAGACATAAAGTATGTAACACATTTAGCTCAGGACCTGGCACAGAGAATAAGCATCGGAAATCAACATTTTTCCTCTTCATCATCATCAACAATATTCTGCCCTAAAATCCTTTCTGGTTCTTAAGTCTTCATATATCTGGCATTAGCGAGTTTTAACTGGCCCTTGTCATTCAGCCTATTGTGTCATTTCCTTAAGAATGGCAAGCAATGGCCTCACCTTCTCCTTTATTTATTTATTTATTTTTAATTTACTGTCTCCATTCTCTTCTACCACCCAAAGTGGCTCATTTATCATTTCTCTCTCTGAGGAAAATTCTGTTTGAACAATGTATGTATGTTTATACAGGACAGTGTTACATGCAGTTTCATGTGTCTGCTGAGGTCAGCAGGCACAAAATTGTCAAATGTCTGGATCCATTCTTAGAATGCTGACAGGTGGATGTTGTCCCTCAAAGAGACATTTGGCATTAAATTCATAGTTTAGTTCAGAAAACCTTTATCAATATTTTGGCACTGTGCCACTAGCTAGGGATACCAGTGTTAGACAACTTAGCTAGGTAAGTAAAAAAATAACTTCAATATAATGTGATAAGTGATATGATTGTTTTTTTAAATGCTACAGGAGCTCAGGGTAAGATCACTAAACAACATAGTAGGGAGAGGGGCTGAGGAAAAAGAGCAAACAAAAGTCAGGGAGGACTTCCTGGAGTAGAGACCATCAAAGCTACCCAAATGCGAGGCCCTCAGGGCCTTGGAAACCAAGTGCAGCAATATTGGTATGTCATTGTACATAGTTAGGTGACGCTGGAATGAAACTTACCACTCGGGAGTGGTGGAGATAAGCAACAGCCAAACCACAGAGGACCTTGTATAGTGTGCTGAGGGTTTGGACTTTATCCTGAGGGTAATGTAAAGTCGGTAGAGGATTTTAGCCAGGGTAATGACACAGTCAGACTTCTGTTAATAACTCTAGATTGTGTGCATTAGAAAGAACCTTTAAAATTATAGGATCTACCCCTACATTTTGATGGACAATAAAATGGACATCCTGAAAGCTGCATAGCAATACAGTACCACATACATGAATTTAGGACATGGATCTCCTGCGCTGTCAGTAAGTTCTTGTTCTGACTTTCCTGTATTACTCCTCAAATGCTAGGACACAAATCTTCAGGGAAAAGTGCAAAAGGAATTCCTTTTTAAATCTAATTCTGTTCCTAAGCAATTCACAAAAATTACACATGTCAGTGTTTCTACTACATTCTCCTTTAGGCCTTAAAAGCAGGGACTTTAATATATATATATTTGTTTTTCTTTTTCAATATCTAAAAGAGATTTCTGCATTTTAATATTGGTTCAAAGTGTTGTGTTAGATCCCACTCTGAACTGAACCCAAAATTACTTCCCACATTTTCCGGCTTGGTAAATTAATCACTGTGGTATCCACAATCAAAGATTCAATCAAGAAACTTCCAGAAAACCTTTGGAAACAAACTTTGTATTACAAAAGAGTTATAAAACAGGAGCTGTTTTCTCTCTTTCACAAGTGTTTTGAACAAATCAGCACTCCATCAAAAAGAACATAACAGTTTAATGTTCTGTCAAAGAATGGAATGCTTGTTTACCTGAAGTAATGGACTGATAAAAGTAACTTGCATCTGTCTTGATTGATACAAAACTTACTCAAAGATGAATCTGGACAACCAAGCCCTTAAACTAAACAGAGTCACTGACAAGAAAATAAAACCTGAATTCATAATGGAAACATTTCCAAACTGTTGATTCTATAAAGTTATTAAATTCAACACATGCAAAAAAAATAAAAACAACAAACGAACAACCTTTGAATGCAAAACTGCATTTTATTTGAAAGGAGCTAACATTTACCGAGGTTTTCTGGTACCTGTCCTAATGCCCTTCTTATGCATTAGCTCATTTAATCCTCACAGTCACCTTAGGACTTAGACACTATTATAAACCTCATTTTACAAGTGAGAAAATCAGAATGTTATCCGAAGAATCAAGTGACTCAAAGTCATACAGTTTGAAGAGATGATTCCAGATTTATGAGTCTCCAAAGCTATTCATGATCATACTATACAAAAACTAATTTGAGGCTCATTTTAGAAGACATTAATAAACTAAAGTTTTCATGTACTTGGAAAATTTATATTTTTTATTGCTCAAGTCTGAGAACAATACAACAACACTAGGCCTCTGAATGGACAGTATAGTATGTAGAGCACTGCTCAGTTAATTAACTCTCTTGACTTTCACAACTTGTGAGGTCGCCAACATGTGTCAACATCCTTACAGACACAGAGCAGACAGTCTAATACATACTGATGTGTCTGCTGGCATAATCCATTCCCTAAAGCTTACAGATACAATTTATTGAGCATCACTTCTGGGTCAGACAATTTCCACATATTATCTCATTTATTTATTTATTTATTTATTTATTTATTTATTTATTTATTTTATTTATAATATTTTTGTAGAGACAAGGTCTCACTATGTTGCCCAGGCTGTTCTCAAACTCCTGGGCTCAAGCAATCCTCCTGCCTCTGTCTTCCAAAGTGTTTGGATTGCAGACATAAACCACCATGCCCAGACTATAATCTCATTTAATTCTTGTGTTCTTCCAACTATGTACTATTACCCCTACAACCCCATTACACCAATGAGGATATTGGGGCCTAGAGGAAGGAAATAAATATCATGTTGTAATCATAATAGTGGAGCTAAGATTTAACTCTCATTCTGTCTAACTCCAAACCCCATGCTTCTTCCAGTCTACACAAGGCCAATGAGCCAAACACTTTGAGAAATATAATTTACTTCTTAAAATTAGAGCAGGAAACCGTGTTAATTCTGAAAAACATTGTTTTCTAATAGTACAATTATTTGAGTGATTGTGAATCGTGATTACAAATTAGGTATATAACATTATTTCCAGGTTTTTAAAAAAAAGAAGGGAAAGAACAAGGAAAGAAGGGAGAGAAAAAAGAGTGAGGAAACAAGAGAAGGAAGCTGCAAAGTATTATTCTTCCATTTTACAGAAGTTTAAGAGAAGGTTAAGGAAAGATAAATAAATTGCCTAAGGTCCCATGTCAAGCTAGAGTCAAGAGCCAGAGGTAAAATCTATATGCTTTTGACACAAAAGCCATGTTCTTTCCATTTTCTTTTGACAAGTGGCTATATTTCTATGGATGCTGAAAATGACTTCACTCATATAGGGAAAAGTAGGCAATCACTCACTGATTCAAAATGGGAATGACTCATGTTCTGTCCCCCTAATTCCAGGTAAAGCAAAGAGCTTGGGAATGCGAGCTCTGAATCCGAATCTGTTTCATAAGCCAGCCACCACATATTGGTGCCGCGATCTTGGGCACATGATAGAAAGAAGTAACTTTGCTCTAGGTAAACTCTTTTGTGATTCTAATTATACACATTTTTCTTTTTCAGTTTTTGTTTTAAAAAAAGAATAAAAACAACTACATTACTCAGGACAAAAGTGAATTTGAGGCTGGAGTTACTTGGATAAATTGCTTCAACTTTCCCTTTCACTCTGGTAGTGGAGATTTTGCAGTTAAAGTCACTTTCTTTAAGAAAGGAGCCATCACTATTGATAAGCATTACATTACCATTTGTTTAATGGTAATAGCAAGAGTAAATGTTTATTTAGTATTTTCTTGGTGTCCAGCACTGGACTAAGTGCTTTTTTGTGGATTATTTCATTTTATCCTTATAACTACCTATGATAAATGTACCATTGCTCATTCTGTTTGGCAGATGGGGAAATTGAGGCTAAGAGGTTTTCGTTCTTAGGCAACCAAAGCAGACCATCTGACTGCAGAGTTTGGTTAAGCACATCTCTGTTCTGTTGTCTCCTTTACCTGTGTTGAGATGATGCCAGGACTTTTTAGCCAACATTTTCATTTGTACTAAACTGCTATTGAGTATGTTACAAGGTGATGCTGCTGATAAGGTTGTGCTGACAATCACCCATTTAAAATCTTGCGATATTAATGCAGAAAATATTTTTTTTAATATTAATGCAGTTGGATTGATAAGAAATGAACAAAACAAAGGCCACAATATAAATGGCTGGTAGCTTTAAAAGCCAGACATAAACGACATTATTATCAAATAATTTCCTAATATGATCACAGACATTTAAAACCATCTTCCAAAACATCATGTAAAGAGGATCAGAGCAAATTGATAAAAGTACTTTCTGAAGTATCTTTCTATTTCCAAGAAGTTATTTTGAAACATAACTTTAAAATATTTTAAAATCTGCCCTCTGCCAACAAAGTACCACTTTATTTGAAAGACAGAAAGCTTTTTGGCAATGAAGTAATTCCTGATTCCATAAAGTAAGACGACATCTTTAGAGTTTACAATGAGATTCCCTCACAACAGTCAGATGAGTCAGGCAAGGGGTTTCCATTTGACTGCTGGGGAGATGGGTGGGAAAGCCTGATGAGGAAACCCAGGCTCCCTGACCTGTGGGAGTGTTGCTCACATACAGCCATTTACACTTCTGGTAAGTACTGAGGAGTGTGGGGTCAGAAGCAACTCATCACTCAACCAGAGGACTCAGCTTTGCCTGCTCTCAGTCTTTCTGGTGTAAAGTTAAATTGCATCTTCTTCTCCACAAATAAATTAGAAAAAACAACAACAACAACAAAAAAAAAACAAAGAAGTTCAACCCTTTCAGTTTGTATGTGTATGCATGCGTGTCTATATTGGTGCATTATATTGTAGTGATTAGAAGGAATCTGGCCTTTAGATTTAAATAGGCTTGGCTTCAAATACAAACTCTTCCACTTGCACTTTTTAAATTCTCATTTTGGGCAAGTTTTCTTAATCTCTCTGAACTTCAGGGTTTTTATTTTTCTTTGTTAAAAAAAATGATGCCAAATAATAATATGTATTTTACAACATTTTGCTACAATCGAATGAGATACACTTGTGCAGTTTGTGGCATGGTGTTTCACCCATGGGGAGTAATTCACAGTTATTAACTTATTAATTTGTCTTATATTTCCTTATTCAGTAAGCTGCTCTTACTTCTTAAACAGCTTGTCTTTGGCCTACTTTGTTATTTCTTTTCAACAGAAAGGGGAGAAAAGTAAAGAAGATAAAATTGGGAAAATTTTCTAAAAATTTGCTAAGGGTGTTTATGAGTGTCAAATAAGATAGATAACGTATAAATAAGAGAGTTAAGCTATTAGTCTCTAAGGATTGGTTTTAATTTTTTTATTTATGAAAGCCCTATAGCCAAAGCCAGGAATTACTAACACTGAAGTTATTTCTTACAGCATACAGATTTGTATAATGTTCTGTGTGATTTACTATTCTTTTAGAGAAGGAAACAATGCTCTATTAAGTAAGTGCCAGTTGCTGTGATGTTAGACAGTCTATCTCTTTTAATTATCACATCAATACTACTACTAGGTGGTTACTTCTGTGCCCATTTTAAATATTGAGAAAGTGAAGTTCAAAGAGAAAAACTTACTGGGGTTGGTAAGTGGCAGAACCAATACTACATTTGATCTATATCCATTCAAACCTTTGCTATTCTCTCACATTGTCTCCAGTTTCACTAAGTAAATGATGTTATGCATTCACTGAAAATTAATGCTGTAAAATAGTAAACAAAGTAGCCTTGCCAGTCATGCACCAAACACATTTGTGTGTATAACAGACCTAGCACAATTGTTAAAATTTTGCCATTAGAAAAAAGGCTTATAAAAAATGTATCAGTATCTAACAACCTGAATTAGGTCTCCATTCATTTCACAACATTCCAAGTGTATTTACTGAGCAGTTGGCAGGAGCCACTCTTTGAGGCAACTGCAATCATGAAATTTTTGTTGTCCAAATTCTATTACTGGCAGCTTTTTTGAACATCTGAGTTGCATTTGTTTTTGATTCAATGTTCATGTAAACAGAATGCATATCTTTGAGGTATTAAATAAGCCACACTAATGCGCTGTGGTTAATGCCAGCTGAGTCTCTTTTGCAATAAACACCTGGGATTGGCAGGAGAAAGACCTTGTCTTAGTTTTCCTATCTGTGAAATGGGGTTTAAAAAAATAATAACTACCTCTCAGCGGAAAAGTGCTGTGAATTAATTAATCTTGGAACTGTTTTCTACTAAGTGCCATTTTGGCATGATCTATTATCAGGATGGTTTGATTTTATAATATAATGATAGAAGCTATTTAAAATGGCTACACATTTAAATGCCAAACACTTGACACATAGTACAGTAAATTTCATCTCTTCAAGTTGAATCATTATGTGTGACATTTGTACAGAAGTGCAAACAATAAATGGTCAAATCAGTCTTGGATTTAAAAGTCTCATTATTGAAAAATATAAATAAATAAATGCAAACGGCTTAGAACAGGTCCTGACATTGTGAGCATTATATAAGGATTTGCTAGTATTATTAGAAGCTACTTATAATTTTAAATTAAAATTAGCTACAGTCATATGTGTATCTATATATGAAATAAATCAAGCAAGCCTAATAAATGCCTAAATACATTTTTTTCTTAAAGACCCTAGTTTCATATTTTAAAAAAAGGTACATTATTTTTAAAGTATTATTAAAGCATAGAGTACTGTGGCTTCAGTACATTACAAACAGGAAGTAAAGTTTTAAAAACACTTTTCTGGGCAGGGGCTAAGAATAAATATAAATATGTACATTATATATATATTATATACATTATTATATATATATATATATATATATAATTTGTTACAAAGATATTGGAAGAATTATGTAAGCCCTATTTTGTAGTTCAGTGCTTTTCTACATACAATTAATGTCATCCAAATAGTAAAAACATTATGCTAATAATTTCCTCTGAATTTTTCATGAATGTTGCCTAATCCCTTTATTATCCCCTCATTTTGTTTAGTTCCCACTTTGGACCACCTGGAAGTAGAAAGCACCAGCCATTCTCCTATACTGTGATAATGTATCTTTCAAACAGCAGAATGACAAATGTGCTAAGGTCAGTCCTCTGACTAACAGAGCACATCAAAGATTTATGAGTAGGGCCCACGGAATACAGCAGTTTTCTAAAGTTGCGAGAAATCCAAACTAAAGCAATCACAGAGCTTTTGGTTGTTCATCAAAAAAGGAAATCCCTAATGTGTTTACTATTTCAGAAGCGTTAAATTGTACATTTACACAGAACCATAAATAATGATGTATGACTGCTGAGGTCTGTGTTGCAATCCTTGGGTTTTCTAGATCACATTAGAAACAATTTTATATGAAAACATCTCTACCCTCCCTTCTTACCACTCCTCCATCTAGAGTTCTGCAGTGAACATGAATTTTAACAGCCAGTACATCGATATGGATAACACATCCAGGAGGGTGACAAGGCCTTTATAACAAAGCACACTTTCTCTGTCACACTCTTCTTGGAAGCCAAAGAATCTGTGTGTTTTCCCAAGGCAGTTGTTTGGGAAGGCACTGAGAAAGGAACTCCAAGTAAACAGTAGAAAACTCAGCACTGTAGGGCCCTAAGAGGTTCCTTCACAATAGACCACCATTATTCAGTTGTATTCCTTAGAGGCAACCTGGTTCACTGCCACTCAAATACTCACATTTAGGTGAAACAAGCCAATAATGAGATGCAATTCAGCCCTGGAGCAGAGTGAAGACATTGAAAGGGAAAGGTCCTCAGCTTTAGGGATTTTATGTCAAGGTGAAAAAGAGGGAAAAGTTCTAAGCACTCACAGGGCTTATGTTCAGCAGATGAACTTCTGCTCCTGAAAAGGCAACACAGTATGGGCATACAAGACAAACACAACGCCCCCCTCCAACCTGTGCTCTTTCTTCCCAGGTTTGCACAGGGATGCAATTATGCAGTGGGGATGCCCTTTCTGCAAAGGTGAACAAGGCTTGCTTTTTCAAGTGAGCACCGATGAGTTTGCGGTGGTCCTTTCATGTCCTTTTACATGGTCACCCTAAAGAGCAAAGGCATTCTTTGTGAGCAACAGACAAAGTTTGAGCTGCTGTCTGTGTACCTGGAACACAGAAAAGGCTACCTTATTGCCCCGCTCCCTCCCAATTTACCCATGTTCTAATCAGCAGCATTCAAGAGCCCCAGGGCAACAGCTACAGGCACAAAGTCAAGTGCTGAATTTCTGCATCCAAATATCCCAATAATAGCCATTGCTACTTTTTTTTTTTTTTAAATTTTCTAGACTATTGCCTCAATTCTAAACTTTGTTTTAGTGGATAGCTCAGTGGGCAATGCCAGTGATTAGAGAAGAACATTATCTTCATGGTTGTGGCCCTGTTTTCTGAGAAATGTGTGTTCTCCTAGCTTGAGGAGGGTCCAGCTGATCTTGGAATATTCTCATGTCAACAAGAAAAGACTGCCATAGCTTCTGACTGCTAAAAGAAAAAAAAAAAAAGAAAAAAAGAAAAGGGCTACGGCTAGCTGCTGGGTTTGCTCCAGCTCTCAGCTAAGGAAAGGAGGTAAGCAAGCACTGTTCCAAGGATGGTACTGGACCCAGACAAAAGCCAGCCAAGGAGAGATTTGGCATAGTATCATCTGCAGGAACTGCCTTTCCCTGAGGCTCCCTCCTCTTTCCACCTCCGTGTCTCCAGCTGCAGCCTCTCATCTTCACTATCTTCTCAGGATTAACTATCTTGGGCATGATTCAGAGATACTAAGACTGGGAGACTAGTCCAAGGTCACACATCTTGAGGCAGAGCAAAGGGTAGGATCAGTTCCTCTGATTCTCCCCTCAGTGCTCTTTCTACTACATCATCAGATCCCTTCTTGGTTTTCTTTCTCCATTTCAACTCCATGCACACACGTACTGGAAGTTAAAGGGACAGAAAAAAAACAGGCAAATACAGGGAAGCATTACCTTTTGTAAGCTTATCTCCTCTGGTTAGCTGACTTTATCTTAGAATTCTTTTTCATAGAACTTAAAAATTTAGAACAGAGAAAGTAAAGATCCTCTTTAACTATGGATTTTGCTAAAACAGGAAAGTGTAAATACCATTCTTTTTACAAAGAAATATCAAGCAGTAGGTGAAATGCATAAAAGTAGAACAGTCTAAATTTAAATCTCCTTCATTTCTCCCCATTGGCTTATTCATAATCATAAAACAATGGTTATAATGTGCATTCACACTGAAGCAATGGCTGCATAAATCTGAGAACTGAAGGAAGCTTAAATACCATCTGGTTCAAATATCTATTTTACTAGTACTTTAGAAATAGAGAATTTTAGAACCAGAAGGCACTTAGAAATCACCTAGTCTCACTTACTCATTTTACAGTTGAGCAAACTAAGATCTGGAGTTCAAATAATTTCCCAAATTACTACTACTTATTATCCAGGTTAATAAAAGAAATCAGCCTCCTAATATCCAAGCCAAAGTGGCAGCCTACAAAAATAGTAAAATGTAGCCAAAGGACAAAGACAGGTACATAAAGAACAGTCTTCCTTTAGATGACACACATTATGATTTTAAAGAAAGAACCATGAGCCCCAACTATGAGAAAATCACTCCCCCACCTCTTTTTTCTATAGAGAAAGAAATAGGTAGAGATGAGATCATGACAATTCTCTTAAACTCCCAGCCCCTGTAAACAGTTTTTAGTATACCCATAATTAAGTGAAAAGGCAAACACATCTTGCTGCATCTATAAATCAGAAAGGCTGCAGTCAATTGTTTCTATGAAACAGAGCCTATACAAAACAACCCTGAAAGCAGCATATATTATAAAAATATCTTGGTGTTCCCTCAACTTGTTTTGTAAATTGTTCTGTCTACACACGTGACTAAGACCAAGAACAGTGTGTAAGACCAAGAACAGTTTCTTGCAGCTGCTCATGATTTATGTGCTAGAAAGAAAGATAAAAGATCACTCTTCAGAGATTTATATCCAAATGCCTTGCCCTAATTTACAAAAGGGAATAAAATTTACAAAAGGGAATAAAAATAATTTACAAAAGGGAACATTAAGATAATCCAGAAAAGAAAAATAAAAGTCTCAAACTAGCATAATGAAAAAAAAATGTCACTGCACGTTGCCTGGTAAAGACAACAAAGACACCCCACAGAAATGAATGCATGGCCTCACTCAGAAAAGCAAGTGCGAGAACATTAGGGATGGGAAACTAACCAAGTCTCTTTAGTCCAAAATAAAATAAAATAAAATGAAATAATTCCTTAGAATCATACAAGGAGAACTTAGCAAGAGTGTAGAAATATGAAACTGAGTCAGCGATAAAGATAATATTTCCATTTTCCATTTCTATTTTCTATTCTAATTATCTCATTCATTTGTACTTTAAAAGAAAAACCTTCAAAAACGTAGCACCTCTTAAGCCCACATATCACCTTTGTCTTCACATATTCCTGGATTGATGTGTCTTAATTATAGTCTATAAACAGATATTAGCCTATCATGGGAGTCACCAAATCGACAGACGTAGATTTAGGAAAACTTGGTCTCTGTGCTTGGTTCATTAGGCATAATTTACCTGCAATAAGTCAGTTTTTCTCTGGCTTGTAAAAGTAGGCCAGCAGGCACTCTCTTCTCAGGAACAATAAATTCAAACTGTACATATAGTAAGCTACTATGCTGGTATAAAGACACATATAAAATTTCATTTAGTCCTTAAAACCACCATGCGAGAAAAATCTTTATAACTTTTATAATCATCATACAGATTACAAAAAACAGAAATCCCAAAAAGTTTAACAAATATTTGCCTAAGGTCATTTGTCTCATGAGTAGTAAAACAGGAATTAGAATCTAAGTCTTCAGAAGCTAGAACCTAGAATCCTTCTACCAACCATATTTTAGGTGTTTCTCATATATGCTCAGATATGGTTTATTCTCAGATATAAAGCGAAGGCCACATGTAGTGGAATTTGCCAATCCATGTAAAAAACCTCCAATACCCACACTTGCTATTTGAGTGAGAAATTTTTATGTGATTTATGGTGATGGAAACATTTCAGTCACCTATTATTAAAAAAAAAATGTGACCCAGAATTTGCTATCTTCAAATCAGCAGTTAGACGTAAATAAAATTTAGCAATTTTAATTGGTTTGGCCCAGACTTTCAGATTTCCATATGGTTATTTTCCTTGTTTTATGTTAAATGTAATCAACTTAGCACTTGGGTTTTAAAGTCTTGGCAGAATGTATCAATTAAAAGCTACATAAATTGGAATTATTCAAAGCATACATTCCAAATTGAGTGATCTTAAGGACAAGACTAAAAAAATGCTCTTTTCATAAGTATGTTAATTTTCTTCTACAAAGTAAACTTGCATCATCACCCACATGACAAACTTCATACAGACATAAAAGAGATATTTTCTTTGGAGTAGTGAAAATTAGCATTCTATTTGCTTATTCTCTGAGAGTTAGTATGCCTAAAATGGCCTTTTTTACATTGTTTGCAAGATCAATCTTTCTTATCTCAGTATTTCTGAAATTGACAGGAGTTATGACACTTCTCACAAACCATCCCCAAACTAAAATGTAAGCACAACATTGATAAATGTAACACCAGGCACATTAAGCTAATGGCACTTTTAACCAAATCTTAATCAGTGTTGCAAAATATGGTGCCTTGATTGTTATCCAATATGGTGTATCAGAATATTATGTTTAAAAAATAGTTACACATTGAAAGAGATGTTTTTTCTAAGCCCAAGCCACAAACACCTCTAGAAAACTGTAAAACCACACAATCTGAATAAAATAAAATCAAACAGAAATCTGAAAAATTCAAAAGACATTCATTTCTGTAGAACTGTGCTTAAATTTATTGCCTGTGTCATTATATTGGAAATACTGAAGTGTACCAACATGCTAAATGAATGAATCATTCATCAAACCCCAAGTGGTTGTTGATGGAATTTTCACACTTACTTAGCTTGACGGAAAGGCCAGAATACCTGGAGTCCCCATGATTCTTGGAGAGCTGTGTAATTCAAATCAAACCCCATTTTAAAATATTACTATAAATTTTTTTTATATGTGGGGTAGTAGGAGAGTACAGAACAAGTTGCTTTATAATAGAACCATGGTATTGATGCCATGTTTATAAATGACTATTTAAACTACTAAATATTAATAGATATTCTTCCCTGGTGAGGATAACATTAGAATCAGAACAATCGATCCTATTTCTTAATGTCCAATTTACATAGGCTACCTTCCATCCATGCAGCATTGCACAGAAAATGTCTTTGTAATTTTTGGATTAGAAAATTTAACAATATGAAAGATCTAATCCCCTCCTCCATTTCTGCAGATTATTTTATTGATTTTGGGCTATTTCCAGTGTCCCCTTTTTCAGTGACTGTGGAATCGCTAGAAGTATTCTTAAAAAAAACCTTGAAGGTCATTAGATCCTAGGCAATGAATGCCTTCATTCAACAAGGGTACTGCCCTCCTTTGCCTACAAGCCGTTTAACATCAGCAAGTTCCCCCAAAGGGCCTGCACTTTAACTTGTGTGATGTGTGACCGAACAGGTCACATATCTAAAATACTTAGCTTTCTCAAATTTCTCTGGTCGGCAGCACTGAGTCACTAATGCCACAGTCACAATGTTTCAGACTAGATTGACCTCTTTCTAGTTTTCAATGGAATTATTCCATGTAATCCGATTTACACAGCCATTTAATCAAAGCGAGAAAGGAGATTACAGAGCTCACATTTGTTTTGCAAAGCAAGGGTGCAAGGATAATCAATCCTACTGCCTCTCAAAGTGACTTGATAGTACATCCCCTGGCTTTGGAGTGTTGGACATTAACCTTATCTGTCTCCTGTGTTCTTGTTTAAATAGGAAGGTTTAGGCTCTTTTCCTGAACTAGAAGGTAGCAGCTTCTTCCCCCAGATCTCACCACCATCCATGGGAGCAGATGCTACTATAAGAAGGAATAGGTCTCTACCCTTCTTATAATTTCGCAGAAAGCTTGTCTAAATCAAGAGATTACAATAAAACTTTTCTTTTGTTGCAAGAATCTTTAACATTTGCATTTCGACAGCACGCTGTGGTGATTCCAGGTGCGGTGCTCAATGCCTTGCCTGAAAGCTAACCTGCTTGTAAGAGAGGGGAGAGGCACATCGCGTCTTTTCTCTTAGAGAGTGCTCTAGAGACTATGCAAGCCTCTTTTAGCCAGGCAATGTCCCTTTCCCCTGCCTTTTACCACACCGGTACAAGGGGCTAGAGTCTTGCAACTTTTTGCAGGCCTAGATATCTGTTTAAAATATGATGCTAAGCAGGTCATTTGATAAAGCATTTTGAGCACATTGATGCCTTCATTCTACACCAACGATGTGTACAAACACCCCGGTTTCCTTTTTCCCCACCACTTCCACCCCTTCCACACATTTCAGGAACTGCAATCTCCAACAGAACCTCTGGGGGGTGAAAGGGCAACCCTTAGCCAACCGCGGCAGATAACACATAACAATTTCTAAGGGGGAAAGTGAGAGGAGGTAACAATCAACAATGGTGAAGAGAACTGTGGATAGGGGCACCGTGGCGGCCCTTTCTAAACGAAGAACCAGGTATTTTCTTCAAGGGAAAAAAAAATCTAATTGTCCCCCCAGGCAGCGCTTTACCCACAGTGCTTTATGTATAATGCAGAATTTAGCAGCACTGGGAATTATCTCAATCACTATCATTCAGAGGTGCCTATTTTATAAAAAGCCTTTATCCCTTTTGAAATGGAAAAAGGTGCGTGCATTGTGGAGGTACTAGAGCTCTTTAGAGCCCACACAGAGCTGCAAACTAGGCAGACACCGCCGAGAGCCAAGTTTCCCGGGCAGGCGGGCAGGTTCCCGCCCCGCCGAGAGCTGCCGCTTAGGAGTTCCGCGTTGGCTTCGCTCCCGCGGCTGCACCCGCGTTCGCGCCGCTCCTGGTGCCCGGCGCCCACCTCGGGGCTACACAAATAAATCTGAGTGAGAGAGCTAGTGAGGGTGGCGCGTGGGGTGCTGTTTCATAATCTCCTGGAATCCACGGGAAAACCGTCTCCTATGCAAAGACATGCCTTCCCGTGATAACTTAACATTCCATGGCCCAAAAGCCAATCTTTCCACCAGACGGGAATTACGGTTTCCGACTGACAGCTCAAAACTTAACTGCTGAGGCTCCAAACTTGACACTGGCTCCCTCTCAGCACTCCCACTCCTTTTCTCCCTGGCTCACCCGGCTCGGCTCGGGATCACACACCACGCCGGCCTCCCCCGCATCCTCTTGTCTCACCCGGCAGGCACAGCCCTGCACGCCCCAGCTGCAAGTCCCAGGGAGCGCCGGCTTCCCCGGGGCACCGGGCGCGATTTTTCCTGGAGAGCCTGGGAGCTCCCGGGCGCGCCCTACTCACTTGTGTCTTCTTCATAAGGAAAGGCAGCGCTGCGATCCAGCACAAACAGTGGTGTGGCGACTCCGTTTAGCTGTTCTGGAGCTCCAGCATATTGCACGAACAGCGGCGGCAGATAGTCCACGCATTGGGTAGCCCGAGCGCAGCGCCCTCTCCACTGTCCCTGCTTCCCGCAGCGCTTCTAGTCTCGGCGCGAGGCGGCGAGCGAAGCCCGGCTGCTGAGCCGCCGGCGCTTTTATACAGTTCCCGCCCGCCTGCTCCGGACACGCCTCCTTCCCTTCCGGAGCCCGGGGTAGGCGAGAAGCAGGCAAGGGCGCGGAGGGAAGAATCGGGAGGGCGGCCAGAGCACGGTAAATGCCCCAGAAGTTTGGCAGATTAGGCCAACCTTGTCCGCTCGCCTGGGGGCCCCGGACCTGCACTGGCGGGAGACCGCGAAGGCGCGGGGACGCAGAGGGCGAAGCTTGGTACCCTGCAGCTACTGCTCGCGAGGAGTCCCAGCTTACCCTCCCGGATCCGCTGGGGCTCACCTGGCACCCCCGGGGACAGACGAAATACCTCGCGCGCCAGAGAGGGCTCGGAGCTCCCTCTGTTATACAAAGTCGGAGAGGGAGAGGAGTCCGGGAGGTTCGGAGCAAAGAATTCACCCTGCCTGCCTTAGAGAAATAAAGTTTAATTGCGATCTGTAGTTAGGCCATTGTCCTATCACCTCTATTTTTTAAAAAAAACAATTACTTTAGTGAATGAATATTTAATAATTACAAGAATTGTTGACTCAAGGTTAAGTATTGCAAGGGGAGACGCTTCATTTGGAATGGTTTGTTACTGTGTCTTTAGAAATTAAGATTGAAAGAGAAGCGATAGATTATTAAACTACAGGTCGCCAACACAGCAAGGCTTTGAAAGTTGTACTTTTTTGAACGGAAAGATAATGCAACCACAATAATAATAGCTAACATCATTATGTGATGCACTTATTCATGTGCCAGGTGCCAGACTAAGAACTTCGCATAGATTATCTCATTAAATTCTTTCATCAAATCTATTAGTGTAGATCTTATTATTTTATTCCCATTTTATGGACGATGAAATACAAGGTTAATTTTCTTGACCAACCATATCTAGTAAATGGCAGAGCTCTAATTTAAACCTGGAGCTCCAGCTGTACAGTCTTAAAAAATACTTCAAATATTTTATTGATTCTCCAGAATGTGTCTGTTTTTGTTTGTATAACTGGAGAACATTCCAAAGCATTTCATTAATTTTTTAAAAGAAAATATTAGCTGAACATTAACATCAGTGATCTTTAAAAGAAAGAATAATGTATGAGTTTAGGAATTAGTTATTTTAATAATAGAGTAGGAGTCCAAATTTGCTTTAATTAGTTCCGGTGCGTTTGTTAAACATGAATATGCCAAACCTGTAATCAGGGCGAAGCTTGTTTATTTCACTCCAGATGTGCTGACTTCTGTGATTTCCCCAAATGTGGGAAACTCGACTGCATAATTTAGTGGGGGACTGCGTTCTCACTTTCTCATGTTAGAAAAAATATGTATAGACAGCACATCAATCATGATTCCAAGTTGATAGTTGCTTAGAAAGATTTTTATACATTAGGTACTCTTAGTACAAATATATCGAACATCAAATATCAAAATGAGCTTAATTTGGATACTGGAGGCATAGCAAATGATTGTTTTTTTTTTCTTCAAGATTTATTTTTATTTTTTATTTTTTAGATGGAATCTCGCTCTGTCTCCCAGGCTGAAGTGCAATGACGCAATCTCGGCTCAATGCAGCCTCCGCCTCCCAGGTTTAAGCGATTATCCCGCCTCAGTCTCACAAGTAGCTGGGATTACAGGTGCCCACCACCACGCCCAGGTATTTTTGTTGTTGTTGTTGTTGTTTTAGTAGAGACGGGGTTTCACCATTTTGGCCAGGCTGGTCTCGAACTCCTGACCTCAGGTGATCCGCCTGCCTCAGCCTTCCAAAGTGCTGGGATTACAGGCGTGAGCCACTGCACCCGGCCCCTTTAAGGCTTTTTTGAAGTGGAGAATTTTATTTTTTTTCTCCAGCTTTATTAAGTTATATTTGACAAAAATAGTATCTATTTACCACGTACAATGTGATGTTCTGCTTATGTATACATTGTGAAATTATTAAATCAGGCTAAATAGTATATCCATCACCTCACATACTCATCATTTTTGGGAGCTGAGAGTATTTAACATCTACTCTTTGTAGTTTTGGAGTACCTCAGTATATTCAGGGGATTGATTCCTAGACCTTTCAGGTATACCAAAATCTACATATATTCAAGTCCCACAGTCAACCCTGCAGAACGTGCAGACACAAAAGTCAGCCCTGCTTATACATGGGTTTTACATCTCTAGAACACTGTATTTTCCATCTGAGTTTGAAAAAAAAATTGCATATAAGTAGACCCATACAGTTCAAACCTGTGTTGTTCAAGGGTTAACTGTATACAGTACATTAACTGTAGTTATCATGCTGTACAATAAATCTCCAGAACTTATTCATCCTGTCTAACTAAAACTTTGTACCCCTTTACCACCATTTTCCCCCCAAGAAAAGAAATATTTAGTGTCAATATAAACTCACTTTCATGTATAACATTAAGTAAATAACAAGTAGTACTAAAGGAGGACAGATACGACAAAAATAATCAAAATGGTATGAGAGTTACTGAAGCCTGGGAATCATAAATCTAACCATACGGATTTTATGAGACCAATAGAAAGGAATGGCCTAATTTGTTGTACCAGGTTTAAAGAAACAAGGCAGTGTTCCTAACAGAAATTCAGTTCAATTTCTTTTCATTCAACTCAATAATACATGCTACGTTCATCTCCTACAATGCATTCTCATTCTCCTCTCTCTTTCTCCCTCTTTCCATTTTTTTTCCCTCTCAGTTCTGTCTCCTCCTCCCACCTCCACCATTCCCTGGTTCTAGCTTTCTTAATATCACTGACTTTCTCATACGTAACTGTATCTTTTGTTTCCCTCATACTGCTGCATTACAGTTTTGTTGTGTAATAATGTTACTTGAATCAAGAGAATGTCGAAGCAAATATCCAAGGGATTAGAAAGAGCTAATATGCAAATGAAAGATTTTGGGTAGGCTTATATGGAAGTCACAAATGGGTCAGAATGACTGAGATCTCTCCTTAAGACTGGCTTTTGATAGGGGATGCAGGCCAGCATTCAGTTGATTCGCAGAAGAAAAACCAAGGAGTTCCTTTAAACTGAACAAGAGGCAGGGCTATGTCCCAGGTGGACAGGAGGGATGGGGGATGTTTTCTTATGGAAATAGCAGGCTACCATTATACAACTCAGGGAATTCAACATTTAACACACTGGGTAGAAAGTTATTTCATGATTATCTAATTTTTACTTGAATACTTTCAATACTATTCGTCACTCATGCTATTATTGATTAATCCAATTTTGAAAAGCTTTTTTCCTGAGCTTTATCGTTTTTGTTGTTAAGAGGCAGGTGTAATTTACCAAATAAGTCTTATCTTGCTTTGTGCATGTGAAATATCTCTTGTTCATTCACTATTTTGTGGATATCTTCTTTTAGACACACATATTGTTTTCAATATTTTTCTTTTAAAAAATGTCTCTCACAAACTGAAACTTATTGCCTGACCAAGCCAGACCGGAGACAGACTGTCTATATCTGTCTTTGAGTGACTAGAGGAGGGGGAAAAGGAGAAGAATGCCTCTTTGATCATGAAATTTCCTCTGCTGAAAGCTCTTTGGTGGCTTGCCATTGCTCTTGGAATAAAGAAATTAGCACCTTAGCAAAGCCTTCAAGGCCTCCAGGATCTCGCCTCTCCCTCCTTCTCCAAGGTCAATTCATTATGTGCTCCCTTTTTTCCAGGGCCAAGGCCCTTCTGTCCTCATAATTCTCACCTCAGGCCATTTGCAAATACCCTCCTTTCTGCCTCTGTTTGGACCACTTTGTTTCACCCTATCATTGTGCCCAGTAAGTATGCATTTATCATGTAGATCTCAACTCAGTATTCCCTATATTTTCTTCCTCAGGGAGGTTTTCCCTGATCTCTTTGCTTTGTTCAATTCTCCTCTTACTATAAAGTCGAGCATGAATTACCTATTTTTTATAAAACAACTGCAGTTTTGTATTTGTTTGTTTGACTATTTGGTTAAAGTAATTATGACTGCCCTTGCTCATTATTTTATTGTCAATATCTGTCACAGGGGAAAGAACAGAGCGAATCCCTTAAATATTGGTCAATTAGGTTGCTGTTGCCCATATAAGCCAGGAATTGGTCTAAGCCCTTAGTTTATATTCTGTCAATAACTTCTTATGACAATCATGTAAGAGAGGTAATTTTTAACTTTTCTACTTGATAAATAAGGAAACTGAGGATCAAAGAAGTATGGTGATTTGCTCAAGATCCCTCAATTGATAAATGGGAAAACCATGATCTAACCTAGACATATGGACTGTGGTTAGGAATTTTTTTTTGTCGGGGGGGGACAGAGCTTCACTCTTGTTGCCCAATCTGGAGTGCAATGGCATGATCTTGGCTCACGCAACCTCTGCCTCCCAGGTTCAAGCGATTCTCCTGCCTCAGCCTCCTGAGTAGCTGGGATTACAGACATGCACCACCATGCCTGACTAAGTTTTGTATTTTCAGTAGAGACGGGGTTTCTCCATGTTGCTCAGGCTGGTCTCGAACTGCTGACCTCAGGTGATCTGCCCGCCTTGGCCTCCCAAAGTGCTGGAATTACATGCGTGAGCCACCATGCCCGGCTTAGATTTTTTTTTTTTTTATTTGCTTAGCACACTTTCCTGTCACTCTTCTTCCATTATTAGCACTCACTTTCACTTAGAGAATTCAGACTATTCCTTATCTTTCAAGAGAGACTGTCATTCACATGGTTCTGTTTTCCCACCTCCTTCCACTATCGGAGATAGGCTTAGTACCCTGATCTGTCCAGTCCTGATTGGTGGAGGAATGGGTACATCACATGAGATGGGCCAATCAGAATCCACTGTGGGACTTTTGTGCTTGAGCTAATGGGGAACAGTATCTCCTTCCTATGGAGTTTCCAAACTACAAGAATGTGAAGTTCTCTTTGCCTATGTGAAGGCGTGTGATTTTACCAGCCTTGAAAATGATGAAATACATAATAAGTTCACAGAGTATTCTTTGAATAATATAATTTTTCTAGTATTCAGAAAACAACATCAAACTGATTTGTCTAGTTCAGGGTTTTTCTTGATTATGTAATAGGGGTTAGCAATATTGTGAAGGATAGTGTATTAGTCCACTTCCATTACTATAAAGGGATGCCTAAGACTGGGTAATTTTTAAGAAAAGAGGTTTATTTGGTTCACAGTTCTGCAGGATGTACAGGAAGGATGGTGCTGACATTTGCTTCTGGTGAGGCCTTAGGAAGCTTCCAATCCTGGAGGAGGGTAAAGCAGAAGCAGGTGTGTCAGATGGCAGGAGAGAGCACAACAGAGTGAGTGGGGGAGGAAGTCCCAGATCTTAAACAACCAGATCTTTCATGAACTACCTGAGCAAGAACTCACTCATTACCAAAGGCATGGTGCTAAACCATTCATGAGGGGACCACCCCCATGATACAATCACCTCCTATCAGGCCCCACCTCCAACAATGGGAATTACATTTCAACATGAGATTTGGAGGGAGATTATGAGAAACCATATAATTCTGCTTTCGGCCACCCAAATCTCATGTCCTTCTCTCATTTCAAAACACAATCATGCTTTCACAATAGTCCCCCAAGGTGTAAACTCATAAGTTCCAAGTCCCAAGTCCAACGTCTCATCTGGAGATGAGTTCCTTCCACCTATCAGCCTGTAAGATAAAAAATAAGTAATTTACTCCCAAGATGTAACAATAAATAATACAGGCATTGGGTATATGTTCCCATTCCAACAGGGAGAAATTGGCCAAAAGAAAGGAGCTACAGGCCCAATGCAAGTTTGAAACCCAGCAGGGCAGTAATTCAATCTGAAGGCTCCAAATGATCTTCTTTGACTCCTTAGGACCCACATCCAGGGCACACTGGTGCAAGGGCTCCCAAGGTCTTGGGCAGTTCTGCCCTTGTAGCTTTGTGGATGCAGCCCCTGTGCATGCTCTCATGGGTTGGAGTTGAGTGCCTGAGGCTTTGCAGGTTCAGGATGCAAGCTGCTTTTAGATCTACCATTCTTGGGTCTGAAGGATGGTGGCCTCCTTCCCACAGCTCCACTAGGCAGTGACCTAGTAGGGGATCTGTTTACGGTCTTCAACCCTACATTTTTACTCTACACTGTCCTAGTAAAGGCTTCCTATGAGGGCTCCACCCTTGCAGGAGGCTTCTGCCTGGTCACCCAGGCTTTCTTGCATGTTCTCTGAAATCTGGGAGGGAGCTGCCAAGCCTCCTTCACTCTTGCATTCCATGCACCTGCAGGTTTAACACCATGTGGAAGCAACCAAGGCTTACGGTGCCTTATGGTCTCCAAAGCAGTATCTGGGGCCCTTTGAGCTGATTCCAGAGCCAGAGCAACCAGAATGTGGGGAGCAGTGACCTAAGGCTGCACAGGGCAGTGAGGCCCTTGGCTTGGCCTCCAAATCCACTTGTTTTTCTTAGGCTTCTGGGCTTATGATGGGAGGGAGTTCCTCACAGACTTCTGAAATGACTTTGAGGCTTTTTTCTCATTATCTTGGATATTAGCTCTTAGCTCCTTTTTAGTTATGCTAATCTCTCTAGCAAGTGGCCACTCCAAAGCCTGCTTGTATTGTGTCCTGAAAATGACTTTTCCTGTTCTATCAATGGACAAGCTGCAAAATATCCAAACTTTTTTGACTCTGCTTCCCTTTTAAATGTAAGTTCTAACTTTAAGTTCTTTCTTTGCTCCTGCATCTGAGTATAGATTGTTAGAAGCAGCCAGGCCACATCTTGAACACTTGCTGCTTAGAAATTTCTTCCACCATATATCCTAAGTCATGACTCTTCAATTCAAAATTCTACAAATCTCTAGGGCATGAACACAAAGCAGCCAAGTTCTTTGATAGGGCATAACACGGGTGACCTTCACTCCAGTTCCCAATAATTTCCTCATTTCCACCTGAGACCTCCTTAGCCTGACCTTCACTATTCATATTTCTATCAGCGTTTTGGTCACTACTGTTTAACCATTCTCAAAGAAGTTCCATATTTTCCCTTATCTTCTTGTCTTCTTCTGAGTGCTCCAAATTCATCCAGCCTCTGCCTGTTACCAGTTCCAAAGCTACTTCCACATTTTCAAGTACCTTTATAGCAAAATCCCACTCCCTAGTACAAATTTTCTGTGTTAGTCTGTGTTACTATGAAGGAATACCTGATACTGGTTAGCTTATATAAATAAAAAGAGGTTTAATTGGCTCAGAGTTCTACAGAATGTACAGGAAGTGTGGTACTGAAATCTGCTTCTGGTGAGGACCCAAGAAGCTTACAATCATGGTGAATGGTTAAGGGAAACAGATGTATCACATAGCAAGAGAGAGCAACCAAGCAAGTAGAAGGAGGTTCCAGACTTTTAAACAACCAGATCTTGCATGAATTAATTGAGCAAGAACTCACTCATCACCAAGGAGTTGGTGCTAAAAATCTTAATATGATTTTTAAGCTGGGATCCACCCAGATCATTTGGGATCCACCCAGATGATCCAATCACCTCCCACCAGACCCCACCTCCAACACTGGGAATCATAGTTCAACATGAGATTTACAAGGGACAAAACATCCAAACCACATCAGATAGTAAATACTTACATTGTTGGTGGTTGGCTTTTTTCCCCCTTTATTCTATGCCTAAAAATTAATTGTATGATCAATTTAAAAATCAACAGTAAATAATTACATTCCTGAAAAAAGTTGAGCTTGTATAATAACTCATCTTAGAAATTTTTATTTTTTTATCCCTCTTGTGAACCTCTAGAAATATTCATATTAACTCAGAATGTTCTGTTTAGTCTTATCAATAAACATTAATTACATATTAAATGGAATTTGTTTGACAAAAAATAAAAAAAGCATGAGTGTCCCTGGAGATAATTATGATATGGATAAGTAATTATAGTTCATATCTATCAAATAATCAAGAAGCAAGCTCAGCTACTCACTGCTTGTAACAAGCATGAAGTGCAGTGGAAGGAAAATTACTTTATTCCAGGGCTTGCAGTGAGGAAATGACCAAGGCTAGTGCCTTAAAGAAACCATTTCAAACTTTAGGGTGGGGAGAGGGGCTTAAAAAGGGAACTTGGAATGGGAGGCATGCTGGAGTGGCACTGGGTACAAGGTCTGTGTGTTTTGTACTAGTGGCTATCTTGAGTTACGGTTCGCCTAGAGTACGGGCTGGCATCATCTCAACAATGGTGGGGTTGTTGACTAACTACCTTGAGGTAATCTCTGGAATTTTGTGTCTGGGTCTTCATGCCTGGTCTGTCTCAAAATTAGCTTCTGGAACTTCTAAGTAAGCACAACTTCTAAGTGTGCATGGTGTAAGTTTAACAAGTATACAGTTAGATAAATGTTCATAGGATCAAGGAAGTGTGTGATGAGAGAGGGACATAGCATTCCAAAGAACACTTCAAGGCTATAATTTAAGACTAGGGAGAAAAAAAGAAGGTTTCTGCAGTTTGCCTCAAGGTTACATGTGGAGAGTAGGGGGAAAGGAGAAAAAGGAAAGAAGAAAAAGACAATTCTCAAAAGAAGAGATACAAACTGCCAACAAACATGAAAAATGCTCAACATCACTAATTAACATGGAAATGAAAATTAAAGCCACAATGAGATATCACCTCACTCCTGCAAGAATGACCATAGTTAAAAAAATCAAAACATAATAGACGTTGGTGTGAATGTGTAAAAGGGAACACCACACTGCTGGTGGAAATGTAAAGTAGTACAACCGCTATGGAAAACAGTATGGAATTTCCTTAAAGAAGGAAGAGCAGAATTACCATTTGATCCAGCAATCTCACTACTGGGTATCTACCCACAGGGCACTTGCATATGCATGTTTATAGCAGCACAATTAGCAATTGCAAAAATATGGAACCAGCCTAAATGCCCATCAACCAATGAGTAGATAAAGAAAATGTGTTATATATACATCATGGAATACTGCTCAGCCCTAAAAAAATGAAATAATGGCATTTGCAGCAACCTGGATAGAGTTGGAGACCATTATTCTAAGTGAAGTAACTCAAGAATGGAAAACCAAGTATTGTATGTTCTCACTTACAAGTGTGATCTAAGCTGTAAGAATGCAAAGGCACAGAATGATATAATAAACTTTGGGGACTTGAAGACAAGAGTGGGAGGGGGTGAGAAAAGACCACACGTTGGGTATAGTGTACACTGCTCGGGGGCAGGTGCAACAAAATCTCAGAAATTACCACCAAAGAACTTATCCATGTAACCAAAAAACACTTGTTCCCCTAAAACTATTGAAATTTAAAAAGAAAAGAAAAGAAAATCTTTAATGTATTTTGAAGCTAAAGTGCTCATTACAGTATTGGCTATCACAATCCAATGAGAGAACGAGATTGCCAAGAACATCTAAAGGAATAAACTTATTTACACATTCTAGTAGCAACTTGAGGGAAAATAAATCCAGTGGATCTTAGAGATAGGATTTCCTGGTATATTTCAAAAGTACAAATTCAGCTTTGCAGAGAGAACTTCAATCATTTATTCATTAGTCCCCTTGTTCGGCAAATATTTGTTAATACTTCCAGATGATACTATTTCCTTCAAAGCACATGATTAATAATTAATATTTAAATAATAACTGATTTTCTCTTTTATTGTTTAATAATTTCATCCAAAACATATTATTTATTTATTTTGTCACTGCCCTACTTTAGAGTCTCCTGAATCTCACCTAAACCATTCACCAATGGTCTTCCTATCCTTGGTCTTCTATTACTACAGTCCATTTCAACATTGCTGCAAAGTTACAGCTGCACATGTAAAAATCTGGTCATGCCACTTTTCTGTCTGTCATAGTATTTTTACCCTTGGTACCTAGAGAATAAAATCCAGGGCTCCTTACAATTTGGCCACAATATTTATCATTCTCTATGTTCATCTGTTATCTACCTCCTTCCAAATAACCATATTGAACTTCTCAACATTTTCTCTTTGACACCTTTATTCCTCTGCTACATTGTTCCTTTAACATGGAGTAGCTTTTCCTCCATTTTCTGCCCGAAATCTCTTTTTCATCATTCAAAGCCTGGTTCAAATATCACTGTCTCTTTGAAGCAGAGTGGTTGCTCATTCCTTACAATCTTAGGTTTACTGTTAACGGGAAAATTAATTTGTAGTACATGAGCCTCCACTCAGTGAAAGAGAAGCTGTTGCTCAAAACGTGCTGAGTAAAAGAGTAAAACGAGTTGTAGAAATGTGATGGGAACATTCTAGAGAGAGAATACACATATAGGACTTGATAAAAGTCCTATATGTGTATTCTTTTTTTGCAATTAAAAGTTTTATTAACATAAATATTTGCGACTCAAATTTAGAAACTAGAGAAAATTTAGAGATTTTTAGGAACTATGAGTTTGTGAGTTATTTCATGAACACAGGTTTTAAGACTAGAAGAAAATTTTGCTAAAAGGTAGTTTACACAATTAATCTGCAGATGATGAAATTGAGGTTACAGAGAGGCTAATTTATGATAGAATGAGGAGTAGAACCCACATCTTCAGACTTGACTTACGCAAAACCTTCTGGTTAGTCCAGAAGCAGTACTTCCAAGGAATCAAGATCAAAGAGTAAATATTCTAGTGCTGTTTATAGTAAAGAGTGACTTATTGTTAAGGAGACAGTGGTTTTAAGATTATTCAGAAAGGAATTTCTAGAGAAGAAGAAAAGGTGGAATTGATTTTCTAAATGATATGTATTTCTATGAATATACTTTTTTATATTCCATATTACCAGAATATAGGAGACTGTTGAATACATACATTTTAGATGCTCAAATATAATGTAATACCACAATTTTGATAAATTTTACCACAGGTCCCTCTTCTTCATAACCACTTAAAAATCTATCATATAATCGTACATTTCGGCATCATTTCAGTTTATGGCTTTTTCTATGTCTCATAACTTTTATTTGTACTAGATAAATTAGTTTAGGTTGGTGGTTTTGGCAGCAATGTTATTCTTTTTGGTTATTTGATCTTAAAAAAGATTTGTGGCTTCAACTGTGGCAATGTTGTTTTTCATATTCTACTTTTGAAACATGTGTCCTCCAGTGAATCATTTAAATGAGAAGTTCCTAGGGTATGGCTTATTTCTTAACTGACAAGTTTGTTTTGCATCACTCTTGAAATGACAAAGTTAATAAAGGGTGTAGGTATATAGACAAAAGCAATGTTTTGGAAAGTTTTGTCACAAGATGCAATGCAACTCCCATGGTGTATTTTCCTGTGAAAACTATAAACAGGGAATACTGAGAAGCTATCAAACATTTGGGACTTTCTTCTTTCTGTCTTTTTAGGGGTTGGGGTGGATAGGGAATGAATTTGACATGAAGTCAACTAGGTAACAGATAACTTTTACCATTTTGGGTTCCACAGTCCGAAACAGGCATTGTAATATTTCTTTTCTTTTTTCTTTTTGTGGATGTGCAACTTAGACAAGTTGTAGATTTTTCATATCTCCTTTCAACATCATCAGACCACTTATCAAGTTTGCATAAAATACATTTGTTAACAATGTACCTCATTGTCTGAGTTTTCTCTCAGCTAGAAACTGACTGCAGTGACCCCCATCTTCACAGGTTATGGGGATCTTAATCAGTTTTCAACCTATTTCCCAGAGGCCTTGAGGGTAGAGATGGCTTTTGGAATTTAGAGTTCCAAACTTAGACTGGTTAGTAAACCCCAGGCATTGTCATCATTGGCCGCATACACTACCCGCCCTCACCTATTTGTTTTTTTCTTTATTTTTGTTGGCAAATGCCAGACACTAATTTTCTTATTCTGAAAACTATACCCAAGGTGAGACACAGATTAAAGAAGATGCTCATTTTCATAACCTCTGAATTTTTAAATATGTTTCCTTTATTGTTTATTAAAAAATGCATTCTTGGCCAGGCACGGTGTCTCATGCCTGTAATCTCAGCACTTTGGGAGGCCAAGGCAGGTGGATCATGAGGTCAGGAGATCGAGACCATCCTGGCTAACATGGTGAAACCCCGTCTCTACTAAAAATACAAAAAAAAAAAAAAAATTAGCCGGGAGTGGTGGCATGCCCCTGTAGTCCCAGCTACTCGGGAGGCTGAGGCAGGAAAATCACTTGAACCTGGGAGGTGGAGGTTGCAGAGAGCCGAGACTGTGCCACTGCACTCCAGCCTGGGTGACAGAGCAAGACTCCATCTCAAAAAAAAAAAAAAAAAAAAAAGCAAAAATGCATTCTTAAATTGGATTGATTAATGCCATGATAGCTTTCATTTACCTTAAAATATGCAGTGTGGTATTGTGTGTTTGCTATTTGAGTGAGGCTACATCCCACATGCTAAGAGCATTCTATTCAAGAATTTGAGTCCACAGCTGACCAGCAGGCTTTCTTTCTTTTTTTTATTATACTTTAAGTTTTAGGGTACATGTGCACAACGTGCAGGTTTGTTACATATGTATACGTGCCATGTTGGTGTGCTGCACCCATTAACTCGTCATTTAACATTAGGTATATCTCCTAATGCTATCCCTCCCCTCTCCCCCTACCCCACAACAGGCCCCGGTGTGTGATGTTCCCCTCCCTGTGTCCATGTGTTCTCATTGTTCAATTCCCACCTGTGAGTGAGAACATGCGGTGTTTGGTTTTTTGTCCTTGTGATAGTTTGCTGAGAATGATGGTTTCCAGCTTCATCCATGTCCCTACAAAGGACATGAACTCATCATTTTTTATGGCTGCATAGTATTCCATGGTGTATATGTGCCACATTTTCTTAATCCAGTCTATCATTGTTGGATATTTGGGTTGGTTCCAAGTCTTTGCTATTGTGAATAGTGCCACAATAAACATACGTGTGCATGTGTCTTTATAGCAGCATGATTTATAATCTTTTGGGTATATACCCAGTAATGGGATAGCTGACCAGCAGGCTTTCTAATGAGGAGTTCCATGCTTGATATGGTTCGGCTGTGTTCCCACTCAAAACTCATGTTGAATTGTAGTTCCCATAAACCTCACATGTTGTGGGAGGGACCCAGTGGGAGGTAATTGAGCCATGGGGTCAGTTACCCCCATGCTGCTATTATCGTGATAGTGAGTGACTTCTCACGAGATGGTTTTATTAGGGGCTTTTTCCCTTTTGCTGGGCACTTCTCCTTGCTGCCATCATGTGAAGAATGACATGTTTGCTTCCCCTCCCACCATGATTGTAAGTTTCCTGAAGCCTCCCCAGCCATGCTGAACTGTGAGTCAATTAGACCTCTTTCCTTTATAAATTGCCAGTCTCGGGTATGTCTTTATTAGCAGCATAAGAAAGGGTTATGGAATTTAGAGATCCAAACTTTAGCAGGTACTGATACAAGCACTTGTATTACCCATATGTAGCTTATCCATAGATGTTGGAAATATGTTCAAAATAAGAATGTTATTAATAGATATTATTCATGAATAGCATACTATATGGAAAAATGGTTTTTTAGAGGTGAAAATAGTGGCTGACTGATCAGCATCATTAATGTAAAAAGAGAGCTCTAATTGGTAAGATTAAAGTTCTTAAGAACATGTGGATTGGTTAAACTTCTTTTAGAGACATAAACATGATCAGGGTATAAGAATCCAAGGAGGCCTGAAGCTTGTAGCAGTAGAAATGATGCTAAGGACGTGAGCCCTAAACAAACTGGTTCTAGCCATTGACTGAGAGAAATACAAACTCTAATGATATGTTTGTATTCAGTGAATTTTTCACTTAAGATGTTAAAGGGAGCACTTAACTGTACCAAGAACTAGGACTTACTCAAGCTTTAAATAATATTTTGTGTGACCTGACTTGTGTCCACTTGTCAATGTGTTGGTTAGTCATATCTACATTTGTGAGAGAATTTGATCTGTGATTTACTTTCTCTGTGGTCTGGTAGCCAAATAATCTATGTAAATAACCTAAGAAGTATGCATACTAAATAGACTTAAGATCAGTTCATAATTGTTTAGGGAGCATTTACCAAGCACTAAGTACTTTCCATATATTGTTTAATCTTTACTATGTTCTCTACAATAGTCCTCACAACACTCCTAAGAATGCTATTGTTGCTTGTTTTGGTTTTGGTTTTTGGTAAGCTCACTGTGAATAATCTGGTGCTTATCATTGTCATTATTTAGAGAAAGGGAAAAAAGACGATCAAATCCATCTATGAGATGGGTATAATTACCCTGTTTTGCAGATGAGGAAACTAAGTCACAGGGGTAGTTAAGTGGCTACTCTAGGTCACAGAGCTAGAAAGTGGCCAATTTTGGATTCAACTGGTGTTTGAGTAACTCTAAAAATCCACTCTTTTAACCATGATATTTTAGTGTATCCCTTAATAATACTTTGTTGTTAAATAGGAACATTTATGGGCTAGGAAGTGAGTTAAACATTTCTGATAATACAGTGTAGTATTTACATTGCAGAGTTTCCTTATGTAGTCAAAAGGTAAAAAAGTAACTTGTCTCGTCCTAGGGCATGCTGGATAGCTACCCGGACTACAGGATAATTAGACAGCTTTCAAAGGAGTACTCACAGCTTGGAAAATGTCCTTAAGGATTTTGATTCAATGACTGATTTCATGACAATGAAGGGCTCCGAAAGCGGAACAAGGTTCCTTTATATAGAGTAAAGGAAATAGTTAGGCTAGCACTAGACCTTTTTGGTGCAGACATTAGAAGCTGAAGATTATCTGTACTGATTTTCCCCCTAATCCCCATTATTGGGTTTCTGGTTACCAACCTTAGTATAGCTTGTACAATATCATCTCTGTAACCTTTGTGTTGGTTTATCTTGATCAACTGTCAGTGCAAAGTGAGAAGCTGCCTTTCATCTGGTTTCCAATGGTGTTAACTAGAAAAAGAGAAACTAAAAAGTTTGCGTTGAGCAGAAATATGTAGTCAAGGTATTAAAGCACTAACAGTGAACCTAAAAAAGGTATTTGAAGAAAGAAGGATTCCTGGAGAGAAGTTTCACTAAAAAATAGCCTACACTGTAGGACATTGCGAACAAAGAGAGTTGGCTAAAATCTGGATTATTTGCAATGGTACAAAGTTTTTCTATTTGAACTTCAATGAAAAGTTTTTTGTCAATTTATCCTTGCACTGAAACTGTCCACTTAAATCTAATGCATCAAAGATCTGGCATTGTTAAGGAAGAAATCCTTGAACTCTAAGCAGGCCTGGCAAAAAAAAAAAAAAAAAAAAAAGATAATGGTACATCAATCTTCCTCTCTGGAAAAAATGAATAACTAAAGCCAGTTTGACTTTTGGAGTCCAGTTAAATCAGTTAGAAGAATAGAGAAAGAGCTTTCTAGCCAAGGAGGGAGGAGAAAGTGAACAAGGAAGTTGTAAAACACAGTATGATTATTTTACAATGGTTTATTAAATGAAAGGAGGTAGCACTTTTCTTATCTAACATAGATCATTTTACACTGTGCCATAGTAGAAATAACATCAGCTTTGTGATACACAGACCTCAGTTTAAGGCCTGGCTCCACCACTTTCTGCCTGGGAAATTCATAGCAGCTTCTTAACTCCCAATACTTGCCTCACAGTAGTATTGGGGCCTGTGTGTGACAGTAACCTTCTGTTTGACTTTGGCCAACTTAACCCCAATGCCTCAGAGGCTTCATCTCTTAAATGGGAATAATAATGCTTCATCACTCCATTCTAGAACTTTTTCCTGCGCATGGGGACAAAACATACAGAACTAATATTCCTAGTGGTTTTTGTTCTCTCAAATGAGGATAATGATGATGACTACCAATAGTGGCATTTTGAAGGTTAAGCGTTAGTGTATTAAAGGTCCCTAATTCTTAAGCAGACAATAAATGCTGCATAATAAGCATGCAGTAAATATTAGAGCTACATTATTAAATTCATACAAGATCTATTGGTGGCATTAACTTAGTACTTACTTTTATAGAGAAAAATATATGCCACAGCAGACAACATACAGGACTATCATCTCATATCTGAATTGTGCTCGTGATTGTTCAAAGCATAATCACATTCTAATGGAGAAGGGCATGCATACATCACAATTCTCACCTTCCAGAAAAGGAGGATGAGATCCAAAGAACTTTAGTGATATTAACCAGAGATGATGTAATTTTAAATAGGGAAGTCAGGGCTGGAATCTGAATTCCTGAATCCTGTCTTAGTGATCTTCCCATTACTCCATTTATTTTTATTTTTATTTTTATTTATTTATTTATTTTGCTGTTCTATAGGTCTGGCATACTTTTCTAGAAATCCTTTGTTAGAGTAAACTATAAGAAGAAGAAATATGCAATCAAATGGCCTTTCATCTTATGAGTTTATGATGCATTGCTATCCTGAGTTTATTGTTTCAGTTTTTTGAATGTGAAAAAAGATAAATTCTCTGTAACATTCAAAGAGGAACAGAGAAAACACACTTGTGCTAAATTGAGTGGACTCGTGCCATTATCAGTTGTGAGCTTTGAACTGATTTCAGACGCATGAAAGTTGAAAATTAACAAAATGCTTTGCTTTTTTCAAAAAAAGACTGAAATTTTAAAAAATAACAAATCAAATTTATCCACTCTAAGTTACTACAGAAAGATAAATATTTTGATCAATAAAACAAATTGGAATATCAACAAAATTATTAAATATTCTGTGAAACATGTCTATTTAGAATAGAGTAATTGGTTACTGAGTCTTTATTGTTTAAAAGTGTTGGGTTTATAGAATTAAGCCTGAACTGACTTTGATTCCTCAATATAGTTTATTTTACCTACCCAGTTAAGTACTTTAATATTTGAGAAATTTTTTTTCTTTGCAATATCAAAATACTTTTAGAAAGTAACAGAAATTTACAGCATTGTGTAAATGTAATATTTATCTATTTTATTTCAGTCCAGCTGAATTTAACCTACACTATCATTAAGAGTCTACACCACCAGGCATGATGCTTTCCCCAGATAACTACAGTCTCTGCCTTTGAGGAATCCAATGTCTGAGCTTTATGGCAATAAAAGCTTATAGTTGCTATCATTCATTAACCTCTTGCAATGTATGAGCCACTCTGCCAAGAGTTTTGTACATGTTTTCTGATTTAATCCCATTGTCCAAGGTTCTGGAGACAGTGTTTTATTAACCTAGTTTATAGATGAGGGAACAGTGGCTTAGAATAAGGAACTTATCCTGAGATACTCACCTCATCAATGGTTTAATCTATCTGATATGGTTTGGCTGTGTCTCCACCCAAATCTCAACTTGAATTGTAGCTGTCAGAATTCCCACGTGTTGTGAGAGGGACCCAGAGGGAGGTAATTGAATCATGGGGGCTGGTCTTTCTCATGCTATTCTTGTGATAGTGAATAAGTCTCACGAGATCTGATGAGCTTATCAGGGGTTTCTGCTCTTTCTTCCTCCTTGTTTTTTCGTGCTGCCACCATGTAAGAAGTGCATTTTGCCTCCTGCCATGATTCTGAGGCCTCCCCAGCCCTGTGAAACTGTAAGTCCAATTAAACCTCTTTTTCTTCCCAGTCTGAGGTATGTCTTTATCAGCATCATGAAAACGGACTAATATACTATTCTTAATTGATATGCCCGCACAAATATAGAGACACATAGCAACATATATACACAAAATGCAAACAAAATTGCTTGCAGCTTTAAGTAGATCTAAGTATACTTTTCCTTCTTCAGTGGGAACAAAGGTGTTGTAATTGTTGTTTCTACCTACAGGTTATGCTTCAACATTGATTACGTGATAGTAGCATTGCCGTTGTGCAGAGAAGGCAATGCATTAATAATCATAGAGGGGTACAAAAGTCCATCATGGCTAGTAACTCAAATCTCAAATGCTCTGACCTTGACCCTATAGCCTCAATTTTTCTTAAAAAAAGATTATAACCAAAATTATATTTAAACTTTAGGTTGACTTAAAGGTCTTTAATTATTTTTAATGTTTTAAGATCATTAAAGATCCTTGTCAATCTAAAGTATATTAAAGATAATAAAACTTCTCATCTTAACTCTTATCTTGTGCTTTTTCTAGGAAACTGAAGTAATAAGAAATGCTTTGAATATACTCAGAACTGTATCTTATAAAAGGATCACAAACACACAATGCCAGAAGACCTTAGACAAGAGTGTATGAAGGGCACAAATGTAGGAGAGAAATTAGTGAAGACATAGTACTTTAAAAATAATAGACTTTCCCCCTTTTTATTTAAATTTTTGTAAGCAAAAACTTATGATAGAATATTTAGAAACATATTAGAGATACATAATTTCATCCTTATTTATTTATTCATTTATTTTTAAGACAGAGTCTTGCTCTGTCGCCCAGGCTGGAGTGCAATGGCCTGATCATGGCTCACTGCAACCTCTACATCCTGGTCTCAAATGATTCTCATGCCTCAACCTCCCAAGTAGCTGGGACTACAGGCATGTGCCACCATGTCTGACTAACTTTTTATTTCTTTGTAGAGATGGGGTTTCGCCAGGCTGGTCTCAAACTCCTGGACTCAAATGATCTGCATGACTTTTCCTCCCAAAGTGCTGAGATTACAGGTGAAAGCCACCATGCTAGGCCTCATTCATGCATTTAAATAGTAAATGGAGTGATTGTATTCTAAATTTGCTAGGGCTTCTATAACAAAGTAACGCAGACTGGGTGGCTTGAGTAACAGAAATTTATTTTCTCACATTCTGGAGGATGGAAGTCCAAGATCAAAGTGCCAGCAGAGTGGTTTTGTCTTCCTTGGTTTGTAGATGGCCATCCTCTTGCTGCCTCATCACACTGTGTCTGTGCACACCTGGGGGCTCTCCGTGTATCTAAATTTCCACTTCTTATAAGAAAACCAGTCAGAATGGAATAAAGTCTTCCTCTATGACCTCATTTTAACTTATTACCTCATGCCCTATCTCCAAATACAGTCACATTCTGAGTTACTGGGTGTTAGGGTTTAAACACATGAACCTGGATGAGGGGACACAATTCAGCCTATAGAAGTGACTTTAATTGCGAAGAGCTTAGAGTTTCTTTAAATCTAGAATCTAGTGCAACTTCTTCAAAATTTTCACTCTATATAAATTAACCATGATCTAATTTGCTAATAAAATGCATTTATTTATTAAAATGACATTCCTGAATTAGCTTTATAGGACAATATACACACATGTGTACATATTTGAGTATATATACATGCATACATACACTAAACATATATGTTAGAGTATTGGAGAGACAGCAAGGCAGTATGGTTATGGCTACGTGTTATTCATCCACACATTTACAACCAAAAGTATAGGTTTATTTATTGACCAATTAGATATGGCCAAATGAATAACCAAAATAGTACATTTTCATCATGCTGAAATCTTTCCTTTTAAAAATGCACTTGACTAAGTTTCTCTTTTAGATTAACCTACAATTTTATTTCTACATTCAGCTTCATTTTTGGAAACATTTGAATAGACTAAAATAAATTATTTGCAGTTGTACTGTGAGTTCAAAGTAATCTCAAGTACGTTAAGACCTCCCATTGTTGTGGATCATATTTTCCAAAAATGGCTACAACAATATTCCTAGTCCGACAGACCCTTGTAACTTTCCAGCCAAGAGTAGTTTATCTCTCCTCTAGACACAGTTTTTAAAACTTGATGGACCTTTGTGAATGCTTGAACAAATAGAATGCAGCAGAAGCGATATTATGGGATTTCGGAGAACATGTCATAAAAAAATATATAGTCTCTCTCTCACTTTCTTTTTCTCCATCTCTCATTCTGGAACCCTGAGCAACTATGTAAGAAGTCTGGCTGCCATGATGCCACCATGCTGGAGGGACCACATGGACATACCATGAAGATATATAGAGAAATGCTTTAGAAACCTCAGCTGTTCCGTCTTTCAGCTATTTGAGTCTTCCTAGGCCAAGGGCCAGATATATAAACAAAGAAGACTTGATGGTGACTCCAGCCTTAGTCAACGTCTAACTGCAACCACGTGAGAGACTTTCAACCAGAACTATGCAGTGGAGCTGCTTCTGAACTCCTGACCCATAGAAACCATGAATGATAATAAATGATTGCTGTTTTCCTTAAATGTTTGGTCGCATTTCTCAGTGAAATCATCTGTGCCTAGAATTTTCTTTCTAGAAAAGTTTCAAACTCCAAATTCAATTCTTAATTGAATTTTATATCTGTATATCTATAGACATATACAAATATCTGTATATCAACAAGATAATTCGGATAATTCAGGTTATCTGCTTCTTTTAGAATATGCATTGGGAGTTTGTGTTTGTTAAGGAATGTGTCTGGTTCATTCAAATTGTCGAATTTATAGGCATAAGTTTCTTCTCAATATTTCTTCACTAGTCTCTAGATATCTACAAGATCTGTAGTGATGTTATTACTCTCATTCCTGATACTAGTAATTTGTGTCTTCTCTTTTCTCTTGGTAGCTCTGGCTGGTGGTTTATTAATTTTACTGATCTTTTCAAAGAATCCAGATTTTGATGTTAATGCTTTTTTTCTACTATTGTTTGTTTTCTTTTTCATTGATGTCTGTTCTTGTCTTTATTACTTCCTTTTTTGGCTTTCTTTGGGTTTAGTTTTTTTATTTTTACTGTTTCTTAAGGTGGAAACAGATAATCAATCTGAGATATTTCTTCCTTTCTAATGTGAGCATTCAATGCTACAGTTTATCTTCTAAGCACTGCTTTAACTGCCTCCTACATATTTTGATATGCTATGTTTTTATATTTATTTACTTCAAAATATTTACTAACTTCCCTTTTGACTTCCTTTTCAACATAGGGGATATTAAGAAATGTGCATTATGACCAGCAGTATCTGAGAGTTCCTGTTGCTTTGCATCAGCGTTAGCCATACTAAGCATTAACACTTGGTATTGTATTTTTTTCTCAGCCATTCTAATAGTTGTCCAGTGGCATCTCAATATGATTTTAGTTACATTTCCTAAGGGATTAATGTGATGGCTAATTTTATGTATCAGCTTCACTAGGCTATAGTACCCAGTTACTTGATCAAACAATAATCTTACCATATGACCCAGCCATGCCACATCTTCGTGTTTATTCTAGAGAAATACCAACTCCTCTTTCCTAGTTACTCTTTATTTCCTTACTTTCTTAATTTTTTCAAAATATTTTTTATTGTTAATTTAACTATATTAGTTATTTACTTATTTACTTTTTCTGATGATGACATATACCATTTAGAAACTTCTGCTTGTCCATGGCCCTACCTGTAGCATCCAGAGGAGTGCAGAGCACATAGTGGATGTGGCATGAAATGTATTGCTTTATAGATGAACAATAACAATGGACATTGTTTGGGAAGAGATAAGGACTAAGAGTATGTAGGATGACTAGGACAAGAACAAATGGCATGTGATGGTAAATGCAGAATGTCTTTGTCTTTACAAAAGTGCAATATTGTCTATACTTAGACGAAGATGCTGGGATGGAGAGTGGGGGCTGCCCGGACAGAGCTACAATCAGGGAATTCAAGGCCTGCCACTGTCAGTGACTTACATTGTTTCCTTGGAGTTTTTCACAAATAAATTCAAGTTTATGTTATTATTTAAAAAATCCCAAGGCATACAAGTATTTTTGGATAAAATAAATATATCTGTGAATCTATTGAGAATAAAGGTAGCATGTTAAAACTCCCATCAACATTCTGTTTCTTCCCACTTCTATTTTAACAGTTTTTATTGCACATGCTTATATAGATACAATCAGCTTTATTGAAGCATAATTTATGTATAAAAATTTACCAATTTTAAGTACATGCTTCAGTGCAGTTTGAAAAAATGTATAATTTAACCGCAATCTCTGAACCTGACCAAAACATTTTTGTTACCTCAGAAAGTTTTATTATGTCTCCTTGCAGTCAGTGTCCTCCCCTAACCCTCAGGACCTGTCAACTATAGTTTTCTAGCACAATATCTTTACTTTTTTCTAGAATGTTATGTAAATTGACTGATATGATTCTATATAGTGTTTGGTTTCTCTCACTTATGTTTTCAAGATTCATTTAATTTGTTTCATGAATCAATTTATTTCCTTTTATTTATTGTTTCCTTTCCATGAATCAATTTTATTCCTTTTTATTGCAGAGTAGTTACAATGGACTGAATGTTCATGCACTCCAAAATTTGTATGTTGAAATTCTAACCCCCAATGTGATGGTATTAGGAGGTGGGAATATTGGAAGGTAATTAATTTGAGGCTGGAACCCTCATGAATGGGACAAGCACTCTTCTTTATTATTATTATTTTTTTTTTTTTATTTTTCTTTAAGTTCTAGGGTACATGTGCACAACGTGCAGGTTTGTTACATATCCATACATGTGCCATGTTGGTGTACTGCACCCATTAAATTGTCATTTACATTGGGTATATCTCTCCTAATGCTATCCCTTCCCCCTCCCCCCACCCCCCTGCAGGCCCCGGTATGTGATGTTCCCCACCCTGTGTCCATGTGTTCTTATTGTTCAGTTCCCACCTATGAGTGAGAACATGCAGTGTTTGCTTTTCTGTCCTTGCTATAGTTTGTTCAGAATGATGGTTTCCAGCTTCATCCATGTCCCTATAAAGGACATGAATGCATCCTTTTTTATGGCTACATAGTATTCCATGGTGTATATGTGCCACATTTTCTTAATCCAGTCTATCATTGATGGACATTTGGGTTGGTTCCAAGTCTTTGCTATTGTGAATAGTGCCGCAATAAACATACATGTGCATGTGTCTTTATAGCAGCATGATTTATAATCCTTTGGGTATATGCCCAGTAATGGGATGCCTGGGTCAAATGGTATTTCTAGTTCTAGATCCTTGAGGAATCGCCACACTGTCTTCCACAATGGTTGAACTAGTTTACCGTCCCACCAACGTGTAAAAGCGTTCCTATTTCTCCACATCCTCTCTGGCACCTGTTGTTTCCTGACTTTTTAATGATCACCATTCTAACTGGTGTGAGATGGTATCTCATTGTGGTTTTGATTTGCATTTCTCTGATGGCCAGTGATGATGAGCATTTTTTCATGCGTCTGTTGGCTGCATAAATGTCTTCTTTTGAGAAGTGTCTGTTCATATCCTTCACCTATTTTTTGATGGGGTTGTTTGATTTTTTCTTGTAAATTTGTTTAAGTTCTTTGTAGATTCTGGATATTAGCCCATTGTCAGATGGGTAGATTGTAAAAATTTTCTCCCATTCTGTAGGTTTAAGTTCTTTGTAGATTCTGGATATTAGCCCATTGTCAGACGGGTAGATTGTAAGAGTTTTCTCCCATTCTGTAGGTTGCCTGTTCACTTCGATGGTAGTTTCTTCTGCTGTGCAGAAGCTCTTTCGTTTAATTAGATCCCATTTGTCAATTTTGGCTTTTTTTAATGCTATGTTTTAAAATACATATTTGTTGTAACTTTATGGTGTGTTATGCCTTACATAAATATAAAACATCCTTGTTAACGAATTTCATCCTCACAATAGCCCTATGTCATATTTATTATTATTATCTTTCTTTTGTAGATGAGCAAGATTTAGGAAGGTTAAATATTAATAGCTTGTCCAAGATCAAATGGTTAGCACAGCAGAGCATAAAATTGTGCCCAAGTAGTTCCAGATTTCAAGCTTCTTAACCACTTATAATGCTTCCCTCTAGAAATGAGATTGTTTATAGTGTTTGCCCTTGTTCAGTTGATACAAGTTTACTCTATCAGGTTTATGCTAATTTTACAAATTAATTATATGTATTTTCAAATATTTCTATACTGTTAAAGAGCTAATCCATTAAAATAGCTAAGCGTGAAGGTTTCTAAAAAATTTATTAATTTTTTTCTATTTCTCTCTTAATAATTGTTTTTTTGTTTGTTTGTTTTTACTTTTTCCTAACTCAGTTTTAGTAATTAATTTATTTCACCAAAATCAACTATATGAAATGGATTTACATGTTTATTAGTGTTCTATTGTACATTTTATTCATATAACATTTTAATTTTCCTTGAATATCCATATTTAATTTCTGATGTTTTGCTGGAACTTTATTTGATTTTTGCTTTTATTTTCTTTTATTGTTTTATTTTTTTAGAGACAGGGTCTCACTATATTGCATAGGCTGGTCTCAAACTCCAAGCCTCAAGCACTCTGTCCTTTTTAGCCCCCCAAGTAGATGGACTACAGGTGTGAAACTTTTCCTGATAGGACTCCTATGGTTAAGCAAGTTTTGGAGTAATTTCTTGTGCAATTGTTTAAAACTGGAAGATTAAAGACTAAGAATTACAGTTAATTCAGAAACATCATCAATAATGAGAACAGGATGTTAACTCAAAAAAATGAATAAATCCCAGATGTTACATTTTTGGATTCCAAATGGGTTTTACATTATTTTGTCTATAGTCATATGTTCCAAATTAGAAAACAAATAATCCTTTTTCATGCAGATATAATAATTAGATTTAATTGCAAAATCTTTATCAATTATATATAGTTACACCATTACCCTTGGTGCTGTAATTAAGCAGGGGTTGACAGACACCTCGTACAGGAGAGCTCCAGCTGGTACTTGGTGGATGCTGCTGTGGGACGAAGTTTCCAGAGGAAGAAACAGGCAGCAATTATTACTGATCTGCAGCCTCTGCTGGTGATACCCAGGCAAACAGGGTCTGGAGTGGCCCTTCAGCAAAATCCAGCAGACCAGCAGCAGAGGGGCCTGACTGTTAGAGGGAAAACTAATAAACAGAAAGGAATAGCATCAACATCAACAACAAGGACGTCCACACAAAATCCCCATCTGAACGTCACCAATGGCAAAGAACAAAGGTACATAAATCCACGATGATGAGGAAAAACCAGCGCAAAAAGGCTGAAAATTCCAAAAACCAGAAGGCTTGTTCTCCTCCAAAGTATCAGAACTCCTCGCCAGCATGGGAACAAAACTGGAGGGAGAATGAGTTAGATGAATTGACAGAAGTAGGCTTCAGAAGGTGGATAATAACAAACTCCTCTGAGCTAAAGAAGCATGTTCTAACCCAATGCAAGGGAGCTAAGAACCTTGAAAAAAGGGTTAGAGGAATTGCTAACTAGAATAACCATTATAGAGAAGAACATAAATGACCTGATGGAGCTGAAAAACATAGCACAAGAAATTCGTGAAGCATACACAAGTATCAATAGCCGAATTGATCAAGCTGAAAAAAGGATATCAGAGATTGAAGATTAACTTAATGAAATAAAGGGTGAAAACAAGATTAGAGAAAAAAGAATGAAAAGGAAAGAACAAAGCCTCCAAGAAATATTAGACTATGTGAAAAGACCAAACCTATGTTTGATTGGGGTACCTGAAAGTGACAGGGAGAGTGGAACCAAGTTGGAAAACACTCTTCAGGATATTATCCAGGAGAACTTCTCAAACCTAGCAAGACATTCAAATTAAGGAAACACAGAAACACCACAAAGATACTCTTTGAGAAGAGCAACCTGAAGACACATAATTGTCAGATTCACCATGGTTGAAGTGAAGGAAAAAATTTTAAGGGCAGCCAGAGAGAAAGGTCCAGTTACACCCAAAGGGAAGCCCAAGAGACTGACAGCGGATTTATCTGCAGAAACCCTAGAGGCCAGAAGAAAGTTGGTGCAAAATTCAACATTCTTGAAAAAAAGAATTTTCAACCCAGAATTTCATATCCAGCCAAACTAAGCTTCATAAGTGAAGGAGAAATAAAATCCTTTACAGACAAGCAAATGCTGAGAGATTTTGTCACCACCAGGCCTGCCTTACAAGACCTCCTGAAGGAAGCACTAAACATGGAAATGAACAACCAGTACCAACACCTGCAAAAACATACCAAATTGTAACAACTATCGATGCTACGAAGAAACTGCATCAACTAACGGGCAAAATAACCAGCTAGCATCATAATGACAGGATAAATTTCATATATCACAATATTAACCTTAAATGTAAATGGGCTAAATGCCCCAATTAAAAGACACAGACTGGAAAATTGGATAAAGAGTCAAGACCCATCAGTGTGCTGTATTCAGGAGACCCATCTCATGTGCAAAGACACACATAGGCTCAAAATAAAGGTAGGGAGGAATATTTACCAAGCAAATGGAAAGCAAAAAAAAAAAAAAAAAAAAAAAAAGCAGGGGTTGCAATCCTAGTCTCTGATAAAACAGCCTTTAAACCATCAAAAATAGAAAAAGACAAAGAAGGACATTACATAATGGTAAAGGTTTCAATGCAACAAGGAGAGCTAAATATCCTAAATATATATGCACCCAATATAGGAGCATCCAGATTCATAAAGCACGTTCTTAGAGACCTACAAAGAGACTTAGACTCCCACGCAATAATAGTGGGAGATTTTAACACCCCACTGTCAATATTAGACAGATCATGGAGACAGAAAATTAACAAGGACATTCAAGGCTTGAACTCAGCTCTGGACTAAGCAGACCTAATAAACATCTACAGAACCCTCCACCCCAAATCAACAGAATATACATTCTTCTCAGCACCACATAACACTTATTCTAAAACTGACCACATAATTGGATGTAAAACACTCCTCAGCAAACGTAAAAGAACAGAAATCATAACAAACAGTCTCTCAGACCAAAGTGTAATCAAATTAGAAATCAGGATTAAGAACCTCCCTCAAAACTGCCCAACTACATGGAAACTGAACAACCTGCTCCTGAATGACGACTGGGTAAATAACGAAATTAAGGCAGAAATAAATAAGTTCATTGAAAACAATGAGAACAAGGACACAGCATGCTGGAATCTCTGGGACACACCTGAAGCCATGTTTAGAGGGAAATTTGTAGCACTAAATGCCCACAGGGGAAAGCAGGAAACATCTAAAATCGATACCCTGACATCACAATTAAAAGAACTAGAGGAGCAGGAGCAAACAAATTCAAAAACTAGAAGACAAGAAATAATTAAGATCAGAGCAGAATTGAAGGAGATAGAGACATGAAAATCCCTTCAAAAAATTAATGAATCTAAGAGCTGGTTTTTTTGAAAAGATTAAAAAATAGATCAACCACTAGCCAGACTAATAAAGAAGAAAAGAGAGAAGAATCAAACAGACACAATGAAAAATGACAAAGGGGATATCACCACTGATCCCACAGAAATACAAATTACCATCAGAGAATACTGTAAACACCTCACACAAATAAACTAGAAAATCTAGAAGAAATGAATAAATTCCTGGACACATACACCCTCGCAAGACTAAACCAGGAAGAAGTCGAATCCTTGAATAGACCAATAACAGGTTTTGAAATTGAGAAAGGAATTAATAGCCTACCAACCAAAATAAGCACAGGACCAGACAGATTCACAGCCAAATTCTACCAGAGGTATAAAGAGGAGCTGGTACCATTCCTTCTGAAACTATTCCAAACAATAAAAAAGAGGGACTCCTCCCTAACTCATTTTATGACAAAAACCACGTGATTATCTCAATAGATGCAGAAAAGGCCTTCAATAAAATTCAACACCTGTTCATGCTAAAAACTCTCAATAAACTAGGTATTGATGGAACATATCTCAAAACAATAATAGTTATTTATGACAAACCCACAGCCAATATCATAATGGGCAAAAGCTGAAAGCATTCCCTTTGAAAACCAGCACTAGACAGGGATGCCCTCTCTTACCACTCCTATTCAACATAGTATTGGAAGTTCTAGCCAGGACAATCAGGCAAGGCAAAGAAATAAAGGGTATTCAGATAGGAAGAGAGGAAGTCAAATTGTCTCGGTTTGCAGATGACATGATTGTATATTTAGAAAACCCCATCATCTCAGCCCCAAATCTCCTTAAGCTGATAAGCAACTTCAGCAAAGTCTCAGGATACAAAATCAGTGTGCAAAAATCACAGGCATTCCTATACAACAATAATAGACAAACAGAGAGCCAAATCATGAGTGAATTCCCATTCACCATTGCTACAAAAGGGAATTAAGTACCTAGGAATACAACTTACAAGGGATGTGAAGGACTTCTTCAGGAGAACTACAAACCACTGCTCAAGAAATAAGAGAGGACAAAAACAAATGGAAAAACATTTTATGCTCATGGATAGGAAGAATCAGTATCTTGAAAATGGCCATAGCGCCCAAAGTAATTTATAGATTCAATGCTATTCCCATCAAGCAACTGTTGACTTTCTTCACAGAATTAGAAAAAAAACTACTTTAAATTTTATATGGAACCAAAAAAGAGCCTGTATAGACAAGACAATTCTAAGCAAAAAGAACAAAGCTGGAGGCATCGCACTACTTGACTTCAAACTATACTACAAAGCTACAGTAACCAAAACAGCATGGTACTGCTACCAAAACAGATATGTAGACCAATGGTACAGAAGAGAGGGCTCAGAAATAACGCCACACATCTACAACCATCTGATCTTTGACAAACCTGACAAAAACAAGCAATGGGGAAAGGATTTTCTATTTAATTAATAGTGTTGGGAAAACTGGCTAGCCATATGCAGAAAACTGAAACTGGACCCCTTCCTTACACTTTATACAAAAATTAACTCAAGATGGATTAAAGACTTAAATGTAACACCTAAAATCATAAAAACCCAAGAAGAAAACCTAGGTAGTACCATTCAGGACAAAGGCATGGGCAAAGACTTCATGACTAAAACACCAAAAGCACTGGCAACAAAAGCCAAAATTGACAAATGGAATCTAATTAAATTAAAGAGCCTCTGCACAGCAAAAGAAACTATCATCAGAGTCAACAGGCAACCTATGGAATGGGAGAAAAATTTTGCAACCTATCCATCTGACAAAGGGCTAATATCCAGAATCTACAAGGAACTTAAACAAATTTACAAGAAAAAAAAAACAAACAACCTCATCAAAAAAATAGGTGAGGCCAGGCATGGTGGCTCACGCCTGTAATCCTAGCACTTTGGGAGGCCGAGACGGGCAGATCACAAGGTCAGGAGATCGAGACCATCCTGGCTAACATGGTGAAACCCCGTCTCTACTAAAAATACAAAAAAAAATTAGCCAGGCATGGTAGCGGGTGCCTGTAGTCCCAGCTACTTGGGAGGCTGAGGCAGGAGAATGGTGTGAACCCAGGAGGCGGAGCTTGCAGTGAGCCGAGATCACGCCACTGCCCTCCAGCCTGGGCAAGAGCAAGACTCCATCTCGAAAAAAAAAAAAAAAAAAAAATTGGTGAAGGATATAAACAGACACTTCTCAAAAGGAGACATGTGGCCAACAAACATATGAAAAAAAAGCTCATTATTACTGGTCATTAGAGAAATGCAATTCAAAACCACAATGAGATACCACCTCACACCAGTTAGAATGGTGATCAGTAGAAAGTCAGGAAACAACAGATGCTGGAGAGGATGTGGGGAAATAGGAATGGTTTTACACTGTTGGTGGAAGTGTAAATTAGTTCGAGCACTGTGGAAGACAGTGTTGCAATTCCTCAAGGATCTAGAACTAGAATACCATTTGACTCAGCAATCCCATACTGGATATATACCCAAAGGATTATAAATTATTCTACTATAAAGACACATGCACATGTATGTTTATTGCAGCAATGTTCACAATAACAAAAACTTGGAACCAACCCAAATGCCCATAATGATAGACTGCATAAAGAAAATGTGGCACATACATACCATGGAATACTATGCAGTCATAAAAAATGATGAGTTTATGACCTTTGCTGGGACATGGATGAAGCTGGAAACCATCATTCTCAGCAAACTAATACAGGAACAGAAAACCAAACACCACATGTTCTCACTCATAAGTGGGAGTTGAACAATGAGAACATATGGACACAGGGGAGGGGAACATCACACCCCAGGGTCTTTCAGGTGTTGGGGGGCTAGGGGAGGGATAGCATTAGGAGAAGCATCTAATGTAGATGATGGGTTGATGGTTACAGCAAACCACCATGGAACGTGTATACCTGTGGAACAAACCTTCATGTTCTGCACATGTATCCCAGAACTTAAAGTATAATAATAATAAAAAATTCCTAGGATAAAAAATTTTAAAAAAGAAAAAAAATGTATGTGGCATCCCCACCCCCTGTCTCTCTTTGTCCTGTTCATGCCATGTAAGCGGGAACAGGCTTGTTCCCACTTTGCCTTCCTGCATGAGTAAAAGCTCTTGAGATCTCCCCAGAAACAGATGCTGCCGTGCTTTCTTTATAGCCCACAGAGGCTAATTAAACCTCTTTTCTTTATAAAAGAAAAACATTCTCAACAACACTAATTATTAGATAAATGCTAATTAAAACCACAGTGATGTATTGTATTAGTTCATTTTGAGTGGCTGTAAAGGAATATTCAAGGCTGGATAATTTATAGAGAAAAGAGGTTTATTTGGCTCACAGTTCTGCAGGCTGTACATACTTAGTAACAGCACCTGCTCAGCTTTTGGTGAGACCTCAGAAAGATTTTACTTATGGCAGAAAGCAAAGGGGGAACAAGCATGTTATATGGTGAGAGAGGGAATAAGAGAGAAAGGAGAAGATTCCAGACTTTTTTAAACAACTGGTTCCGGTGTGAACTAATAGAGTGAAAACTCATTCATGTGCTAAGGAGGGCACCAAAGCATTCATAAGGGATCCACCCCTATGATCTAAACGCCTCCCACCAGGCCCACCACCAATACTGGGGATGATATTTCTTTGTTTGTTTGTTTTTTTGTTTTGAGACAGAGTCTTGCTCTATTGCCCAGGCTAGAGCACAGTGGCGTGATCTTGGCTCACCACAACCTCTGCCTCCCAGGTTCAAATGGTTCTCCTGCCTCAGCCTCCCAAGTAGCTGGGACTATAAGCACGCACCACCACGCCCAGCTCATTTTTGCATTTTTAGGAGAGATGGGGTTTCACTATGTTGGACAGGCTGGTCTCGAACTCCTGACCTTGTGATCTGCCTACCTTGTCCTCCCAAAGTGCTGGGATTACAGGCATGAGCCACTGCACCCGGCCTTGGGATGATGTTTCAGTATGAGATTTGGAAAGGACAAACATCCAAACTGTATTAGATACCATCTCACACCAGTCAGAATGACCATTATTAAAAAGTCAAAAAATAATAGATGTTGGTGAGGTTGCAGAGAAAAGGGAATGCTTCTACACTCTTGGTGGGAATGTAAATTAGTTCATTCCCTGTGCAAAGCAGTTTGGAGTTTTCTCCAAAAACAAAAAACAGAATTACCATGCCTAAATTATTGATTTATGAGAATTCATTTAACTTTTTTTTTGGCTCAGCTGGGGAACACTCATGTATTAATCAGTCTTCTCCAGAGAAACAGAACCAATAGGATAGATAGATAGATAGATAGATAGATAGATAGATAGATAGAAAGATAGATAGATAGATAATGAAGAATTGGCACACACAATTGTAGATGCTAAGAAGTTACATGATCTACAAGCTGGAGACCCAAAAAAAAGCTGGTGATGTAATTTCAGTTCAAGTCCAAAGGCCTGATAACCAGGGGAGCCAACGGTATACATTCCAGTCTAAGCAAACCAGAAGACAGATGTCCCAGCTCAAGCAGGCAGAAAGGAGGGGGATGAATTATTCTTCCCTCTGCTTTTTATTCTATTCAGGCTCTCATTGGATTGGATGATGACCAATGACATGGTTTGGATCTGTGTCCTCACCAAGTCTCATGTAGAATTGAAATCCCTAGTGTTGGAGGTGGGGCCTGGTGGGAGGTGATTGGATCGTGGGAGCAGAGTTCTCATGGATGGTTTAGCACCATCCCCGCTTGGTATTGTATAGTGACAGAGTTCTCATGAGATCTGGTCATTTAAATGTGTGTAGCACCTCCCTCCTCTCGCTCTTGCTCTTTCTGTGGCCATATGACATGCCTGCATCCCCTTTGCCTTCCACCGTGATTGTAAGTTTCCTAGGCCTCTCCAAAAGCAGAATCTGCTATGCTTCCTGTACAGCCTACAGAACCATGAGTCAATTAAAGCTCTTTTCTTCGTAAATTACCTAGTCTCAGGTATTTATTTATAGCAATGTGAGAACGGACTAATATACCCACCAACATTGGAGCGGGCAATCTATTTTACTGAGTCTGCTGACTCAATGCTAATCTCACCTGGGAACCCCCTCACAGACATACCCCAAAGTTTTTAATTTAAGCACCCCATCTCCCAGCCAAACTGACACATAAAATTAACTGCTACATCACATATGATCATAAAGGAATCCATTGGGTTTCATATGGATTCTGTGGTACATGCCCCACTGACTGTCACTGAAAATTGTGACCAATATAAAAACAAAACCACAACAATCATTTTTTAAGATAGTGTGTATATTTCACTCATGACCATAACAGATCCTCTGTTATCTTATATATGGCCCCTTTTCTCCTTTCATCCTAGTACCTTACCTAAAGTTTTAATTTTACTTCATTATTTTTGCCTATTAGGTAAGTATGAATTTTGTGTCTTAATGATACTTGCAAATGCTTTATTATTCTTAAAGACTTTTTACTCTATAGACCCAGAAATTTTGCTTGCAAAATTTGATAAGCAGAAATTCATACATTAATAGTATCTACAAAAACAAAACCCAATACCATACTCATAAATTCTGAGCCCTAACTGGTGATGGGATTTAAAAAATTAATAAATGCTTGGTGAATGATTAAAATAATAAATAATGTTAAATTTTACCTGTTTATTTAAATCTGGTTTAGTACTCAGCTCTAGAATGTTGAAAATAGTGATCAAATTTTATCAAGTTTATTTTCCACCTATACTTACATTTGGTTGGTTCCACTCCTACCTCCACTTCCTAATGATAAAGGACACAAAATCTCTCTAAAGCACCCTTCTAAAAATTCTCTGGAAACCCAAGAGGTATCTCACATGTGCTTATGTGGCAACTTTATTCATTGCTTCCTGTGGGCATTTGCCATTTCTTCCCTCTTTTATTCCAGGCTTTTTCTACTAGGAACTGTGGTGCCTGCTGGGCTTTGTCAGCTGTGCTGGATACTACTGCTGCTTTTGTCAGATTCTACCACTTAACATTGGTCAGGATATAGGATTTGTTCTTCTGATGATCCCACTCACATTAGCTTGGTGCCTTAGTCTCTTTCTGGACACCACCACGCTCTCCCACTAAATTCAGCTGTCTTCTGCTACCTAGCATGCCCTGCAATCACCTGGGTGCTGGAGTTGAATGTTATTCCTTTGCAAAGCAGGGAACCTGCTTCTCTTTTGGATTAAGCATTTCTAGAGCTGGTATCAGAGACAGAGAGAAAGACAGACAGAGAGAGAGAGAGAAAGAGAGATGGTGCAAGAGAGAACAGATATAAAAGGAAAGCACTATTTTGGTAATACCTAAAAGTATTTTTAGAAATTTTGATTTGGGTTCTCTGTTAGTCCGTTTGGGCTGCTATAACAAAATACCATAGACTGGTTGCTTATAGACAGAAATTAATTTTTCACAGATCTGGAGGCTTGGAAGTGCAAGATAAAGGTGCTGGCATATTTAGTGTCTGGTGAGGGCCTGCCTTCTGGTTCACAGATGATGCATTCTAGCTGTGTTCTCACATACTGAAAGGAGCAAAACAACTTTCTGGAGTATCTTTTATAAGGACACTAATCCCATTCATGAGGCCTCCAACCTTATGATCTAATCACCCACCAAGGCCCCATCTCCTAGTCCACCATGTTAGTGACTAGGTTTTCAACATATGAATTTTGGAGGGAACAAATGTGCAAACCATAGCATGTTCCTATGTTATAAATCCCAGGGTCTCCCCAGTAAAGTCTTCTGCACAAGACTGTCTTGGCTCTTGTTGCTGCTCCCATCTCCCCACCTGAAATGTGGGATTAGGGAAACAGAAGAATCTGGTAATTGAATTAACATGATATAGAATAGGAACAATACAGCTGTGATGCAAAATGACCCTAACATTGAACTAATTTGATGAAAAAACTAATTTGATGAAATTTGTTTATTCAATAATTATTCAATAAAGTTATTATTGAACTAATTTATGAACCATGGAAACATAAACACTGTAATTTTTTTCAGAAATCTTGAGAATGACGTAGGGCTTAAATCTATGAAGGGACTGGGCTAATGCATTCTTATCTAGTTTCTATAAAGCAAGGTGACTCTACGTGACCTCTGAATTGAATTCATCTCACAATTACCCTTCTTCTATAGTAAGGGAGTTTTGGTACTGGGAAAGCCATAGTTCCTCACTATCTTTTTCCTTAGAGCCAGTTGCATCCTAGGAGGCTACTTAGGATTTCTTATACAGAGACTTCTAGTAGGTCACCCCACTGATTCATTAAACATGTGCATACAAAACTAAATCTGACCAGGGTTAAAACTCAAGCTTAATCTGGGTCCCTTGCTACCCCTATAAATACTGTGGAATTTTTAAAAATCAGTAAATTATACGTATTTTTTTTCACCAAATGGTGTTTCCTCCTTGAAATGGTCACCTACATTGCCAAAAGAATGTTTATTAAGAAGATAACATGTTGTGTTTATTAGGGATGCTGAGGAAGAGCAATTATTTGTTAGAAATAGAATAGGGTGGCTGAAGAGCTAGTGAATGTACAATCCACTTGTAAGTTCAGGTTTACTCAGACTCTGAAACCAGATGATACTTGAGACAAGATAGATATTTATCACCATTGCTGAAGCAGCTTTTGGCAGAATATACTCTCATGCTAAGACATGGACATCAGCAGGGAAGAGTAAGTTAAAAGGAGTAGGACTAAGATCCTGCCAGACAAGGAGTCAAGTGTGTTAGATAATATATCCATGGAAATTAGATAAAGCATCAGCAAGTGAGTTTTCCATGTTGGGTCAGCAGTGGTTTTCTGGTATATGTTTAACAATGAACTCTCTTGGGCAGGAGAACAGGAGTATGGTTTGAGGAGGATGTTAGGTAAGGGTAGGAAGAGGAAGAACACCTTGATTTAAATCTTGTGCCAATTTCTCTGGTGTAAATACTCCTGCTATGACCAGTTTCAAGCTACCACAGCGAGATGAACAGGCTCACATATTTTTTGAAGTTTTAACAATCCATTCTTGTGAGCCAGTGTGAATCAGCTCCAGCACACTACAAGTACAACCACTGAGGTGCATAACTCAGGCAGGAATAATGGATCAGGGATCAGGGACTTGGTCAAAGAGACTGGGTGAGAAGTTGTATGAATTCAAGCAAAGTATCCAAGTGGTATGTTCTTGTGTCCTCCACATGAAAAAGCAAGCTATGTTACTAAAAATTGTCTGAGTCATGGCCTCTCTGTTCTATCTGTTAAAGGTTAGAACCAGTCTATGTGGAGATGGATCAGAGACAGGTAGAGGCAAGTTGGAGTATTTGCCAGAGTGGGAAACACGGGGCCTAAGAGGCACTATATGGCAGTCCTGTTTTGTTTCTACTGAGTGATATGCTGGGTTTCTGGATCATTGTCAGGGGCTTGCTTCTTCTCTTTGATCTGAAGCTTCATTCCCAAACCTGCACCTAGACAGATATAGAAGAGGTAAAGACAGTCGCTGAAGGAAAGCACTTTGTACAGCAGGGTAGTACGTTGCCTGCTTCTAACTAACTTCAAGAATGAAATAATTTGTACAGAAATAGTCTTCCAATCTTCTCTCTGTCTCTCTCTCCCTCCTCCCTGCCCCCAATAAATGTTCTGCCTTCTTTGGAGCAATCTATCATTCCAAATGACATCATTTACAAATATAATATACTATTGTAAGGATATTCTTTAGTTCACAGTCTAGAATGATAGGAAGGGAAGTGTCAGTGTTTACATTTGTGAATTTGTCATACAACCCTTGCTTTATATCATTTTATTTCCTGAAAGAAATTTAAGTTCTAAATAATAGTAAAAAAATTCCGAATTACATGATGACTGTAGCTTTCATCACTTACTAAATAAATCTCTTCAATAACTGTCCCTAGGGTGCCAATTTCTTTATAAGTCTGGCCTTTGGATACAGCTTGAGTAATGACACTTGTTTTAATAATCCCTGATAATTGATTATTAGGTAAGAGAAGCCCAGGGAAGCCCACCAGAATGTCAATGAAATAGTTGAATATGGTATTTAAAGGATCTAAATTTTGTTAGAGAATGAAACAAAACACTTCTTCATTACAATATTCCTATTTAAAAATGACTTTTGTTTGTTGTAATGCAACGTTATGTGTATAATTCTGGAAATAGTGTTTTCTAAAGCTACGCATCAGCCTGATAGCATAAAAATTGTTGGCACATTTGAAAAAATAATATACATAAAATTAATTACGTAAAAACAGGGGATTTCATGGAATTGGAACTAGTTTGTAAGTGGGCTCCATGTCTCCTGTGTAGAGAAAAAAGAGATAAATAAATAAAAAATAAAAATATTAATTTAAGAGACACCCTCCCCAAGACTACTACCCATTTATTTTCTTGTTCGAGAACTGGGCTACCTCTGCTTTTTAAGGCTACCAAGCCTTCTTCAGCCTGACTGGAGCATTCAGGTCCAAGCTTGTTCTTGATAACATGCTTTGATTTGTTCCACCCCACCTGCACTTCCTAATGATAAAGGACACAAAATCTCTCTAAAGCATCCTTCTAAAAATTCTCTGGAAACCCAAGAGGTATCTCACATGTGCTTATGTGCCAACTTTATTCATTGCTTCCTGTGGGCATTTACCATTTCTTCCCTCTTTTGTTCCAGGCTTTTTCTACTAGAAACTGTGGTGTCTGCTGGGCTTTGACAGCTGTGCTGGGTACTACTGCTGCTTTTGTCAGATTCTACCACTTAACATTGGTCAGGATATAGGATTTGTTCTTCTGATGATCCTGCTCACACTAGCTTGGTGCCTTGGTCTCTTTCTGGACACCACACTCTCTCACTAACATAACGTCTCTGAAGTTCCCCATAAGGCCCTAGGGCTGCAAGGTTTCCCTTCATTATAAAGTCCAAAGTTCTCCCAAGAGACATATGACCCATAACTGTATTCTCTTGTTGAAAACATTTCTGTCTATTCATACTTCTCATGAATCCACAGGAAATGGTGGCAAGATGAAGGGCACTTTGGGTTCCCAACCATTATATACCATTTATTCCTCCCACTGTTTTTCCTAAGGGACTGAAACAGAGGCTCAGTGTCTTACTTTCCCTGGATTTTATAGGAAGCTGTCCCTAGAGTACAGACTAGAATTATGATATCTTAAGCTCTTCCTCGACTGCTTTATTTAGAATACCCCCACCCTTAACCATGTCCCAACACGATTCCCTTTTCTGCTTGATTTTCCTCCCTAACATCCATTGTTGCCTGGGATATGATATATTCTACTTAAATATTTGTTTATTGTTTGTTTTTATCACTAGAATGTAAGCAGTAGGAGGTCGGGTTTTTATCTATCTTGCTCACTGCTCTATCCCTAACACCTAGAGCCATGTCTGGCACACAGTAGGTACTTGATAGTTACTGGATACATAAATATATGAAAGAATAAATGGACAGATTTTGGAAGATAGGGTTTAGATCTGTTACTAGGGTTCAAAAATGTGTCTTTGTAGCACCAGAGTTCTCAGTTTAGTAGGTTTTCTAGAGTGAGTAGGGTTTTGAAATGATGTGTGTTATCACAATATATTGTTATGAGCGCTTGCTAACGTGTTGGCCAGATGAGGTTAGAATGCATCCTGATAGAGGTAGATGCACAGTGGGAGCACAGAGGAAGGTCTCACTGCTTATGAGGAGGTGTGGAGAGATGATGCCAGGCATGGATTTATGGAAGAGAAACTGTTTACTTTACATTCTGAAGGAGTTTTTTTGGCAAAGAAGGACACTCCAGCTGAAGGAAATGAATGGTCAAAAGCATAGATTAGGAAGATTCCAGCATTTGAGGAATATTCTGGCATTTTGGTGCAAAATGTTTGGGATTGGAGGAGGACAGAGATTCCACATAGGGATGCCTTCTAGGGCATCCTTTGCTCCAAGTGACAATGACAAGGACTGGGATAATAGCAATGGGAGGAGAGAGGAGATGAAAGAGTAAATAAATATTTGGGAGGTGGACTTCTTAGGAGTTGATGATTGACTGATGTAAAGAGTAAGTTAAGAGGAGGAGTGAGGAACGGCAATGCCATTTCTAACGTGAAGAACTGATATACTGGTTTATCCTTAACTGATATGAGTAATACATGGGGTGGCGGGAACAGGGTTGGTGGGAAAGTGAGGAGGAAGACTTCCATTTCCTGTTAGACATGCCATGCTTGAGATACTGGTGGCTATGCAGAAGGGGGTCCTTGAGCTCAGTGCAAAAGTGGGGCTGTTGATGCAGATTTGGGTGTCATTGCTGAGAGTATAGGATTTTATCAGCTCTGTTAGATAGAGGATACAAAACAAGCATAAAAGCATCCTAGGTTTCCAGAATGGAACCCTGAGAGATGTGAATATTAAAGAGAAATCTGTAAAACAGAGGTTGAATACTCACTTTCATCAGAACCAGAGGAGAAGGAAGGGAGGAGGAATCTTTGAAGAAGGAAGAAATGGTCAACCAGCAAATGCCGCCAAAGTCAAGAGGATAAAGTTAAGCAACTAGAATTTCTTGGTAATCTTTGCAAGAGCCATTTCAGTGGAATGCTGAGGGTGAGAAAGCAGGGTGAATGCTGTACACTTTATATGAATGCATAAAAGCATCCCCCATTGTACCCTCGGCCCCACCTCTCCAACCCTTCTCATGGAAACATTCTCAGTCCTGCAGAGTTTGCAATGAGGTGAATTAATTTAGCACCTTGTGCTCAAGTGAAGACTATAATGGTATTCATGAGTTTACATGATGTGACTGTCAGCCTTTTCCTCTTCCTTTAGCATCCTCACAGGTATTTTTTATATGACTAATGAATATCACTTACTGACCAACATGTATTTGAGGAGGTGAGTAAGGTCCAGGAAGTCTTCATTTCTAAAAAGGTCAAAAGTTAATGCTGCAATTACCAGTAACAATCATGCATCTTGAAGTGCCCTTAATTTAAGTTTGATACTGTGGTGGTGAGGTCATCTTCTGTCACCTATATAATAAAAAAATGCCTTGATCCTTTCATAAACATAACTTTTCAAAAGCAAAAGGGCAAAAAAGGCACAAACACTTGTGTATGTCATTGCATATAAAAGACTGAAGGGTCCATAACCAACAGTTAGCAGGAGTAACTCTGGGTAGAGGGTGAGATTAGGGGAGGGGTGAAGGGAGAAATTCACTTTTAATGTATCTTCTTCTGCACTGTTTAATGTTTAAATTTTTAAATGGGCATATATTTAGGCATTGCTTGTGTAATTCTTTGAAAGACATGGCATCTTCTTAGGAGGGAGACTGTGTTTTCCATACTTACCCTCACCCAAAATACTACATAGAGTTTATCATGCCTCTGGTTTAAACATGATTTCTACTTGTTGATGTTAATCTTAATTATGAGCCTGTTGATGAAGGGGAAAATGTGAGAGAATAACCAAGGATAGAATAAAAATGTCTATAAATACCGGGAGCAAAATCGATGCCCTCTTCAGCAGCCAGATGCCCTTTCCACTTCCCCAGTGTTGCTCGAATCACTGGGAACTCAGTAGCAGTACAGATTCCCAGGTCCCACTCTCCCAAACAGGATTCTCTGAGGAGGAGACAAAGAAACTTGCAGGTTTTAGAGAGCCCCATTGGTAATTTTTTTTTTTTTTTGAGACAAGGTCTTGCTTTATCACCCAGGTTGGGTGCAGTGGCACAATCATAGCCCACTTTAGCTTTGAACTCCTGAGCTCAAGCAATCCTCCTGCCTCAGCCTCCTGAGCAGCTGGGACTACAGTTGCACAACACCGTGCCTGAATAAATTTTAACTTTTTTTATGGAGATGGGATCTCACTATCACTGTTGATGATTCTTTCGCACGTCAGCATTTAAGGGTCACTGGCACACGTTAAAACTTGGGAATCTGGGGGCCTGAGTTTTAGTCCTGATGCTCACCATTTATGTGGCCTTGGACAAATTGCTTATTCTTTCAGAGTCATTCCCTTTGAGGATTCTCTGAAGAACTTTTTCTCCAAATCAATCTCATTATCATATTTATATTTATGCCTGGTCCTACCAAATAAAAGGAAGCCTTCAATGAAGTTGTGTTTACTGAAGTATATATAAGTTTCAAACTTTCTTTGTCTGAGCCAATCAAACCCTCAGGTACTTATTACTGAGGGAGTTCCTGTGCTAATATCATGGGTGTGAGTCATGGGGAGAACCATTGCTAGGGTGGCAAAAACACAGCAATTATAAAAATGTCTCCTGTTTCTTCCTATTGTGTAAATATTTGGATGTTCAGTGTCTGTAAAATGGCGGAGGCAGGAGATGGTATTAGTGGAGGAGACACGGGGAAGAGAGAGAGACCTGTAAACACAAATAAATTCTGTTTTTTCATATGTTAGTTGGTTGCTTGTATTTTTTCTTTTAAGAAGTGTCTGTTCATGTCCTTTGCCCAGTCTTTAATGGGATTTGTTTGTTCTTTCTCATTGAGTTGCATGAGTTCCTTGTAGATTCTGGATATTAGTCCTTTGTTGGAGGTATAATTTGCAAGTATTTTCTTCTATTCTGTAGGTTTTCTGTTTACTCTGTTAACTATTTCTTTTGCTGTGCAGAAGCTTCTTAGTTTAGTTAAGTCCCATTTGTATATTTTTGTTTTTGTTGTGGAGGCTTGCTTTGCTCCTGTTCTGGGACTCTGGGCCGGATTCCCCATCCATTGGCAACCCAGTGATCAAGGGTCAGCCTAGTGAAATGACCTTGGAGTCACGCCCTAATGTGAGAAAGCTGGAGCAAGTGGCTGGAAAATTTCAGGACAGAGATTCTCTCCTCTTCTGGCTTTTGCTCCGCCTCTAACCTAGAAAAGAAAAAAAGGAAGAAGGAGGTGATTTAGTTTGAATATGTGTCCCTGTCAAAATCTCATGTTGAAATGTAATCCCAGTGTTGGGTGGGACCTGTTAGGAAGTGATTGGATCATGGTGGGGGTGGGCATTTCTCATGAATGGTTTAGTACCATCCCCTTGGTACTGTCCTCACTGTAGTGAGTGAGTTCTCATGAGATCTGGTTGTTTAAAAGTGTGGTTTTAGGTCTAACGTTTAAATCTTTAATCCATCTTGAATTGATTTTTGTATAAGGTGTAAAACCATAAAAACCCTAGAAGAAAACCTAGGCATTACCATTCAGGACATAGGCGTGGGCAAGGACTTCATGTCCAAAACACCAAAAGCAATGGCAACAAAAGCCAAAATTGACAAATGGGATCTAATTAAACTAAAGAGCTTCTGCACAGCAAAAGAAACTACCATCAGAGTGAACAGGCAACCTACAACATGGGAGAAAATTTTCGCAACCTACTCATCTGACAAAGGGCTAATATCCAGAATCTACAATGAACTCAAACAAATTTACAAGAAAAAAACAAACAACCCCATCAAAAAGTGGGCGAAGGACATAAACAGACACTTCTCAAAAGAAGACATTTATGCAGCCAAAAAACACATGAAAAAATGCTCATCATCACTGGCCATCAGAGAAATGCAAATCAAAACCACTATGAGATATCATCTCACACCAGTTAGAATGGCAATCATTAAAAAGTCAGGAAACAACAGGTGCTGGAGAGGATGTGGAGAAATAGGAACACTTTTACACTGTTGGTGGGACTGTAAACTAGTTCAACCATTGTGGAAGTCAGTGTGGCGATTCCTCAGGGATCTAGAACTAGAAATACCATTTGACCCAGCCATCCCAATACTGGGTATATACCCAAATGACTATAAATCATGCTGCTATAAAGACACATGCACACGTATGTTTATTGCGGCATTATTCACAATAGCAAAGACTTGGAACCAACCCAAATGTCCAACAATGATAGACTGGATTAAGAAAATGTGGCACATGTACACCATGGAATACTATGCAGCCATAAAAAATGATGAGTTCATGTCCTTTGTAGGGACATGGATGAAATTGGAAACCATCATTCTCAGTAAACTATCGCAAGAACAAAAAACCAAACACCGCATATTCTCACTCATAGGTGGGAATTGAACAATGAGATCACATGGACACAGGAAGGGGAATATCACACTCTGGGGACTGTGGTGGGGTCGGGGGAGGGGGGAGGGATAGCATTGGGAGATATACCTAATGCTAGATGACACGTTAGTGGGTGCAGCGCACCAGCATGGCACATGTATACATATGTAACTAACCTGCACAATGTGCACATGTACCCTAAAACTTAAAGTATAATTAAAACAAAAACAAAAACAAAAACAAAAACAAAACAAAAACAAAAAAAAAAGTGTGAGGCTCCCCCTCTCTTCATCTCTTTCTCTTGCTTTGGCTGTTTGAAGTGCCTGCTCCCACTTTGCTTTCTGCCATGAATAAAGGCTTCCTGAGGCCTCCTCAGAAGCTGGTGTCATGCTTCCTATATAGCCTGCTGAACTGTGAGCCAATTATAAAGAAATTAAGCTTCTTTATAAAATACCCAGTCTCGGGTGTTTCTTTACAGCAATGTGATAATGGACTAACACAGGAGGATTTGCTGTGTTTTTGGTATTTCACTGTCTAATAATTCATGAGAATTTCTTTTTTCTGTTTTTTTTTTTTGCAGTTGATATGATTATAATCCCAAAAAGTCCAGTCTAGTGACAGAGACAAACATGTAAACTTATCATTACAAAAAGTGAATAATTTGACAGATATAAGTAGAACCCCATGAGAATGTTTACATTTATTTAAACTTACAGTTAATGACATAAAAGTGTCATTTTATTGTTATGTATAATACTCTACTGAATTCAGCACAGCCTGGTATATTATACTCACATACACACACACATATGAACACTACCTGGATATTTCCTAATGGTATATAGGATAGCAAACTCCCAGTTGTATTTTGCAAGACATTGTGTCCCTTCTTAGCTATGTTTTCTTTTCTTTTCAAGCTCTGGAACTTTTGCCCTCTCTTTCTTCCTCTGTCCATACTTCCCTTTCATTTTATCTCCTTCAAAAATTAGACATGTCTAATACTGCTGAGCCCCAAGAACACATTTCTATAGATTGTAGTGATTTCATGCACGTGCAGTAGGAAAACATTTTAACTATTTATGAATTCTGTGGTGAGAGGAGGTTGGGTAAAGCAGAATTCAGTTTTGAGTAGAGTGAAGACACTTTTTATTTGGGAAAAATGCCTTAACATGGATATTGCTTATGAAAAGGTAAAGTTCAGAGTATGTTGGATGAAAGAGGTTTACACAAAGAAAAAGAAATTGCTCTGCTCAGTAGTAAAAAGGACAGCATCCATTGACTAAGCAGGTGGTACTGAGAGATTGTTAAGCTAACTAACTCTTTGCTTCCCCTGGGTGATGGCTGACAGGGGCAAAAGACAAGGTCACTGGGGTATGATAAGAGACAGAGTAAAATACCCTGATTTGCTGAGGTCTGGGATTCAGCCTTAGGGTCCAGGGGAAAGAGGGAGATGACAACCAGGGAACTTCTGAAAAAAAAAAAAGGCATGGCATGTGACCTTTATTAGTACTAATAATATCTGACCTTAAATGTTTTTTCTTTGTTGTGATTCCTTTATTGGTACTTAAATTTATAAGTAAGCCTTATTAATCATTGAAGCCTGCTTTAAACTTTGCTGAAGAAAAAAATTTTTAGGTGGTTTTTTAACCACAATTGTACTCAGCTCACGATGAGTGTAGCTGTTTTCTCTTCTGAGGCTGACAGGAAGGCAGTAGCAGCATGTTTTCAAGAGATGCCACCAGTACTTGAATTCTATGAGTTGGCCAGCAACAAAGAAAGTGGCTTGAAAGAGCAAGAAGTGAGTAGTGACACCCAAGGTGGGCGAGTGGAATATAAAAGCATTCTCCAGGGTTCTTAGTAAAATTAAGGAAGCGGAATGTGAAAGGAGGCATGCATGACTGCAGTCATGCAGGATGGAGAGCTGAATGATTTTTATTTGGAAATTAAAGAAAAGGCCAATTCAAAAGTCCTGAAAACTTGAGGACCCTCAGGTTAGTCATATTATATTCTATCTTTGGAATGCCTTACATTTATGAGGATCCATTCTATAAATATGAATGAATGTGGCACCTATACATCCTGTAAGTTAATGTTTTTAAAATTTCCTTAAATTTAGGATTATTTTGTTTGAAGTTATTTTACATAATGTTATACCCTTTGATATTTGGGGGGGGGGTTAAATTTTATCCAGATATGTAAGACAACTATTGGATTGCAATAAAAAAGATGGGTAAAGTTGGAGAGACTGCACTTTTAGACGGCATCTAACTATCTTTAAAAAAAATGAATGGAGTTTACTTGATTGACAGATCTCCTAAAAGGGAATTTTGATGGAAAAACAATCTGACTTTGTAAGCAGTGTGTGCTGTTTTCCACTATCACCCTGGAATTCCGCCGTTGATACAATGCCTGCTTTGCAATCCCAGTTTTTTCTTAGTCGCTGCTTTATTCTTCAGAATTCTCTTCAGATTAACAAATACAAAACCACACTCAGTGACAGTGATTCATGAATAAAAATTTCACAATCCATAGTCTTTCTACAGCTCTGAATTTTTTTTTCTACTCCTTGAGCTTTTCAGTTTAAAGATAGAGGCACTTCTGGGAAGATTCAAATTACCTTTTGTCTCAAATTGTTGTCATCAGGTTAAAAATAATCCAATTCATATTGGCCTTTTGCTAGCCCTAACAGTGAGGGTTTTATAGATAATATTCCTTAAGCATAGTTGTTTTTAATCTTTTGGGGAAAAAATTCTGTTAGTCAATAGTCTGTTTCCTGGGAATGGAAAGTGAACTTGGGTATTAATTGCGGTTGACACTGCGCACCCTATATCAGTGATTATATCAGAAGCCAGGGGCCTTAAAGGGAGTTATAAATCGATGCTGCAGGCCTGGCGCCAAGCACAGACAGGGCCTGGCCCTCGGTCGTGACAGATGTTCCACTATTAAAGTGATTTCTGGATGTTGTGACCTATTACCAGCTCCCCTGCCGTGAGATGCACAGCCAGTATTGAATAAACTTGCCATTAATTTGTCTTTTGGGCCCATGACTGAGATGGAATGAAAGAAGTTCCCACTGGCAGGAAGCTTGAAGGAGCATGGACCTCAAAATATGTGGAAATTAGAAAGAGATAATTAGGAAGAAGGAGATATTGAGAAAGAAAACTTGGGACATAAAGGATTTCCTCAAAAGAGTATCATGATCCTGACAAAGGGAGGCAGCATGGGTGTCACCTGGGAAAGAAAACATCACAGCAGAAAAATCAATGGGAGTCAGGCTGAGAAAGAAAAGGAGGAAGAACTGGTTGGGAACAGGTAATAGAGAAATCAAGAGGTTGGGAAAGAAAGCAGGAGTATGCTTAAGAAGCTTTCATTAGAAACCATTTCAAGATCTCCCTAACCCAGAGTATATACTAATGCTTTCCCCATACCTGAACTTTTTTTGTAATTTAACCAGCATTCAAAGTAGAGGCATTTCCAATAATAATTAAATTATGTATAAAGACATATTAGGAACATTCACAGAATAAATTTTGTTATTGGGTATGAAAATCCTTTCCCTCCTACTCATCCAGTTTTCAGGGCCTCATGGAAAAGAGACTCGGATAATTTTCTTAAATCATTATTAAAAAAACAAATCCGGCTGGGCGAGGTGGCTCACGCCTGTAATGTCAGCATTTTGGGAGGCCGAGGTGGGCGGATCACGAGGTCAGGAGATCGAGACCATCCTGGCTAACACGGTGAAACCCTGTCTCTACGAAAAATATAAAAAATTAGCCGGGTGTGGTGGTGGGCGCCTGTAGTCCCAGCTACTCGGGAGGCTGAGGCAGGAGAATGGCGTGAACCTGGGAGGCAGAGGTTGCAGTGAGCCAACATCGCGCCACTGCACTCCAGCCTGGGTGACAGAGCGAGGCTCCCTCTCAAAACAAACAAACAAACAAACAAAAAACAAAACAAAATCCTTTGATCCTTAACATTTTTTCTGCCCTACACTTTTTCTAGCAAGTAATTACTTGGCTAAATAATATTTAAAAGTCCTAGAGAAGATCAAGTATAAAAGATAATTGAAGATGATTCAGAGAAAAAGATGAACTATTTTTGAAATAATAATTCAAATCTGGGAAGTTCAAGTTAATAACCATTTGATATGTGTTTAATTCATCTTCAAAATAATTATTGTAGCTTACCAAATTATCATGGTTGTTTTGAAGTTTTATCTTTTTATTTTTGGCTAACCAATAGAATAAACTGGAATATGCAAGAATAAAAATAAAAAATAAAAATCAAATCTCGTCCTTTTCTCTTTCGCCGTTAAAGTCTTACATGACGGAGGACCGAGGGCATTAGAGTTACACTGGTCAGATGTTAGCAAGGAAACCTATAGTAGAGAGGATGAGAACATTTGTGCTGCCCTCTGTTCTACAAGCCTTAATTCACTAAGGTTACCATCAGTATTTTTCTTAAGCTGGATTTACTGTGTATATTCAATTTTCAATTAACTGCACAGATGTATTTACTTTATGGATTATCTAAAAGTCCTTTGAAATTTAATATCCCAATAATATTAGGTAGGGCTTTAAGGTCTGAATTTCCTCCCATTAGGCAGTTGATATGTAATCATGAAGACAGTTGTGATGAGTATCAGCAGAACATGGCAAAGTTTGACGTGAAAAAACAAAACTCAAACATACAGAATATCTAAAATCAAATAGGGCATGATTTAAGTTCTTGATAGTTAGACATTATTTCTGCCACTAAAATTATTCCTTCTTATGTGTAGACAACTGTCAGTTCACCAAATTCTGGTGTCTGTGACTCATAGATAAATGAGGAGACTATCAAATACTGTAAAATCACTGATAGGTATATTCTTAAGTGGCCAAACATTAGATACTCTTCTAGAATCACTCTTAATCTCATTTTAAAATCAGAGCAGTAGTAAAAGAAAAAACAATTCCTTCAAAAGCTTCCAGTTTTTTCAACTTATAATATGATGGGTTATAGTATTATAATCACATTTTTGCAAAAATTAGACAACTTGTGCCAAGATAAAGATTGTGCAATGCCCTAAGCTATCATAATGCCTTCAGAAGTAAACTTACAACAAATTTTTAAAAACCAACTCTGCAAAGAGTTGCAAGGCAGAAATTGCAGTGTATTCATTGCAAGGCAGACATTGCAATGTATTCTTTTTTTTCAAGTTAATATAGTTTTTTATTTTGAAAGAGAAGCATATTCGTATTGAAACCAAATTCTGGTATTTTTAGTAGAATTAACTTTATTGCAGGAGTGCCCAAGTGTGTGGTGTGACTGAGAGAGAGAGAGAGAGAGAGAGACAGGCAGAGAGAGTAAGAGAGTGCATGAACATAGCAAAATAGAGTCTAAATCTAAAGTCCAAGTGATTCCAAGTAAAGGAGTCAGCTTTTTCACATGTGTTCTGCACATGTACCCTAGAACTTAAAGTATAATAAAAATATATATATATATAAATAGTAATCTTATAAGGTTTTGGAAAGGACAAATAAATTAATACATGTAAAGGGGCTGGCATAGCACCTGGCTTATAGTAAGCACTCTATGAGAGTGTGTTATCATTACCTTCCATGAAGTCCAGTTTGGTAATACAAATATTTACTTCACCCAGTGAGATAACATATACAACGTATTCTTGATAGACATTCAATACATAGCTTAGGGAATATAAAAAGAATACATTTTTATTTGTATTTTGGAATAAAATCTAAGAAACAGCTCATAGTTTTTTAATTGATTGTTCTTGGTTGATATCAAAAAAGCCTTCTTGACTGCTTTTGTTAACTACATTTATAATAGATAGCAATAGTATCTGAAGTCTTTTCATGTTGTAATCTGGGCTGTGGTTGGGTCTCCCTAAAAATTTGTTTGGTTGCTCTTGTACTTGAGATCAATGTGATGGTTAATGTTATATGTCAACTTGACTGGGTTACGGGGTGCCCAGATATTTGGTTAAATGTTATTCTGTGTGTGCATATGTAAGATAATTCTGGATGAGATTAACATCTGAATCTGCAAAATGAATCATGCAAATTGGCCTCCCCTATATGGGTGGTCTCATCCAATCCATTGAAGGCCTAAATAGAACAAAAAGGCTGAGGAAAGGAAAATTTGCTCTCTCTGCCTGATGGTCTTGAGCTGGAATTATGGTCTTCTCCTGGCTTTAGACTTGAACTAGAACTACACCATCACCTCCCCTGGGTCTCTAGGTAGCTGACTGCAGATCTTGGGAATTCTCTCAGCCTCTTTATTGGTGTGAGCCACTTCCTTGTAATAAATCTGTGTGTGTGTGTGTATATGTGTGTGTGTGTGTAATGTGTGTTGTGTATATTTGTGTTATACACACACATGTTATGTATCCATTCAGTTCTGTTTCTCTGGAGAATCATGACTAATACAGTCACCTATTTAGCCTTCTCATGAGACTGTTAACAGGAGCTATATTGGACTATAAAAAAAAACAGTTTCAAAGATTTATACTCCCTTACTGCAAATTCTCTTCAAGGAGAGAGCTCTAAGAGCCATTCCCATTCATGTGCTTCAAAACTCTGTCCCAAGGCAACCCCATTTAAACAGACCATCAGAGCAGAGAAGCACTACTCTGAACCTCCTACTTCTGGCTCACTTCACGTAGCTCTATGTTGTTTGCCTCTGGCTTGGAGTCCCAAAATGCTTTTAGCATCTGGCAGCCACTTGCTCAGTTCCCAACTGCTGATATGATGTTGCTGCTGGAGGACTCACTCAGCCTCTGGAAGATTACACCCAGCCTCCGAAAGGTGTGTTTGCTCTTATTTTCAAAGCCCACCAGTCTAGCAGCTTCTGCTACAGTTGCTTCTGACTTCCTTGGGGGTCTTTACCCTCATATGCACAGATGGATGGACTTCTGGAAACATTATAATTTCATAATACTTTAAGAAAAATAAATGTTCTTTTCAAGTAAACAGATTATATTTTTTTCACCAGATTTTCAAAATGTGTGTCTAAAATATAATAATTTGAATACCTGCAATGTCCCAGAACCCCCCAGAAGGTCCTTTGTTTTAGGGATTTGACAGGTTTCCTGGTTCTTTAAAGCTTTCTGATTCTTATTCTGCCTTGGGAAGTGACATTAACTCAGTCCAAATCATGCTATGTTGAGCCCAAATTTTCCTCCCCCCTAACTCAGAAGGTTATATACACTTCTTCCTCAAAAGGCCATACCAAGCCTTCTCAGCAGTCTCAGGTTGAGAAAAACAGCTTAAGGTTAAGCATAGGTACATTTTCCCAAGGAAACAGTAGGCTCTAACCTTTCAGAGTGGGGTATACACACATTTACTGTTTTTTCAAGTTACGTGATGCTTTGTCTGTCTTAAGCACACATGTAAGTAAAACATACATTTTTCCCACTTCCTCTAAGATATCTTCCTCCCTCCCTACCTATATTTGGGGATACTAAAGTTCTATGTTAGGGTTTTCAGTGATCTCCAACAAATACTTATTGAGTGCTTCTGTTATGCTAATGCTTGGATTTTTGTAGTTGTATGCTACAGTGCCAGGGAAAGTCACTGCCATATTTTTTTCCCAAATAAAGAAATATTACCGAAATCTATTTGTGTTCTGCCAGTTTGCTGCTATGCCACCATGATAACTTTTAAGGTTTATCCTTAGTCATGTTCCCATTGCCTTCAAGTAGGTTTGGTCCTTGTCTGCATGGAGCTGTTAGTCTAGCATAAGAAAATAATAATTTTAAGCAGCAACTATAGTAAATGGTGTCCATAAAGCACAATGGAACTGCAGCCTATGGAGCAATTAATTCTGTTTCCATGTGTGCAGGTTGCGGGGAGGTTGGGAAAGTCACTAAAAGAAGATGTTTCTCTCTCGGGTCCTGACGTAAACATAATTTGGCCAAAAAGAGTACTAGGGAGGGAAAAGAGAGAAATCTGAAAACTGTAAAATACTCTAAGATTTAAAAATAAAATCTAGATAGACATTCTTTCTTAAACTAATGTTTAGAAAACAATTACTGTTTGAATAAGAGTGGCTAAGTGTTCCTATTAAGCAATATCTTTAAGATGCTTATTTAAAGCCAAGAAATTCTGTGCCAATTTTCTTTCAAATTCTGAAGCAGCTGTATGCCTTCAATGCCTTATTAGTTTTAATTTTGAACAACAATTTAAGGCATTTTAAGGATTATTTTTTCTTTTGCTTTTGAATTAAATCCATAAAAATACAGAGATACTAATTCCCTTATTTGCCTAACATTTATGGAGTGTTTTTATATACTTTATCTAATACATGTTTACTCTCTTAGGAAAGGATTTAATGCTTTCTATAAAACAGAATTTCTACTGCCAGCAACTGTAAGATTTGATTTATTACAAGAGTCTATAATTTAGACTCATTAACACACTCCATGCAAAGGGTCATTTTGGAAGAAATTTGTTTTAAATATTTAAAGTTGTTGTCATTACTGGATAGAACTTCTTGAAATATCTAGTGCTCTATTCCAATAAAATATCAGAACTCTATATTATTTGAGTCTTCATAGATTAGGGTTATTTTTGGACAGTTATTTGCGAAATATACTTGAAAATATTTATGCACAATCATTTAGCCTCCCTTATTTAAATAACACTTCAATGACCATAAATCTTTGCTGTTTCAAACACTTTCCAGTATTAAGTATTGTCTTTAATAAATTCTTTGCCAATTCGTTATGCAGATATTTTTGTTGTTTTAGCCAAATAAAATGTACATCTAAAAATATAATAAATGTGAATACCTACAATACACCAATAATGTGCTTAGGACCTGTAACACATGGTCTTAAGGAAAAATAAGTCTGTAGACAAGGAATTATAGCATTATTGGTTAGGTACTGTAAAAGAAATATGCACAAAATATCAGAGACTCATAAATTATGAAGAACTAAATTCTAGTCAGGAGGGATGAGATATCTAAGAAAGACTACAGAGGACAGAGGACAGTTGTCAAAGACTCTGGGAGGATAAGGGGAAGAAGAATGTTCTAGTTAAAGGCAACATCATGCGTATAGTGAGTGTGAGGCAGGGTAAGAAGTCCCATGGGGCAGGAGATGAGATTCAGAATGAGGGTTGGACCACATTGATAAGGGCCCGGCGTACCACTTAACCTGAAAAGGAAATGGCTAGGGGCATGTACTAGAAAGATCACTTTGGTAACAATGAAAGGGAATTGACTCTTTCCAGAAAACAGTAATGACAGGAATATCAGTTACTAGTCAATAGGCAGTATAAGAGCCTTGACTGTGGTGACAGGCAAGACAGGTGGGATGCAAGAACTGTTTGAAGACAGTGGACTTGACAAAATATAGTGACCAATGCGGAAGCAAGAAAGGAGGAGCCATAATGAAAAAGGAAGAGTGGCAAATAATTCATTTTTTATTTTGAGAAATACAATGAATAGCATTATTAACTAACAGTATTAATACTAATATAAAACTATATAATATATAACTATATTACATATATTACATATATCAAATTATATAAACTAACATTAAATAATAGTAATTTTAATTTATTATTATTATTTTTAAAGGTGGGGTTTTACTATGTTGCCCAGGCTGGTCTCCAATTCCTGGCCTCAAGCAATCCTTCTGCCTTCGCCTCCCAAAGTTCTGGGATTATAGGTGTGAGCCACCCCACATAATACTAGTATTAGTCAGTATTAGTATTAGTCAGTATTATTAACTAATCTAAGAAAGATGGAAAGATACATTTTGGAAGAATCAAAAATAGTCGGTTTTGGAAAAAGAAACATTTTATTGGGAAGGGCATGGACACAGTTTCAATCTTGGCTCTCTGCTTTATTACTTATCAGCTATGAGAAACTTGGGCAAGCTCTTTAACCTCTTGGATTTTCCTTTTCTTCTTTTAAAACAGGGAAAATTATATTTACTTTGTATATTTGTTGAAAGGATTAAATGACAAAATGTATGCAAAGTGACCAGCACTTTCCTGAAGTATCAGAAGCACTCAGTAAATGTTATTTTCACTTCTAACTTCTCCCTCTTTTGAATTTGAGAAGCAGTAAAGATCCAAGATGTCCATTCAGACAGTAGAGTTGGTGAAAAAAAAAAAAAAGGAAAACTCAGTCAAAGGAGGGACTCAACCAAAAGGTTCCAGATAATTTTTCAAAATTAGGGCATAATTGATTCAAAGTTCTAAATATACATAAATTCTTCTTTGGGATCATATTTAAATGTAAAATTATAGCATCCAATAAGTGTTTAGTGTGACCAAGTCCAGAGAAAGGTAATTTGACTATAATTACTACTCTCATTATTACTTTATCTGTAGTTAGGATTTTTAAATCTTGATCTCTGTAGCTACTTTAGAAATATATACAGAACAGCTTATTTCTGTGGGTGTATGTGTCCAGTTAAGGCAAAATTCATCTAAGGAGTGTTAAAGAAACCAGAGCCACTAATATTAGCCAGAGTAGGAAATGGATTCTAGAAAGTAAATGTGTTCTAAGAGGAGCACATCCAAGATGAGATATAGTTGTGATTGTTTTCTGTTGTGGTAAGATACTGGAACGGAGGAAGGAGGGGATGATAGCATAACCAATATCCAACTGGAAGTTGATAGTGATTTGCAGAGTGAATAAATAGACATGTTTTATTGAGCATTTTGAAATAAGTATATTTTGGACCATACTGTTCTTCTAAGTCATTATTCACTTATGATTTTTTATGTTACAAATTCAAAAAATAATTTTTTCCCATAGAATGTCTGAATATTCTACAGATGACTCAATGCCAGGTTAAATCGGAATAAAGATTTGAAAAACTTTTACCCTTTTTTCTCTTTACTTCCTACCACAAGAGGGCATATATCTCATCTTCTCTTAGAAATTAACAGAAGATATGTAGAATGTGGGTTATTTTCAATCTATTCAGTTGTCTATTCTTTCCTGAGATCTGATTGACAGAAAAGAAGATTCCCTACCACCTCATGGTTGCCTTCAGAAGGAAAAAGTTCTATTTCTAAAAATTCACATTTAGTATAATAAATTTACCTAGTACCATCTAGAGATTTTTTTTCAACCTGTATCAACCCTCTGTATCAAGCAAAGAAGATGAAAAAGATGCCTTTACCATCTCTTCTATCAAATACTTTAGTATCATGTAGTGGTAAACCACCTAAGCGTCAGGCAATGCTGTCTTTCTACTATTCTGCAGTTTGATCAATAAAATGATGTTCACTCTTCCCATAGAGCATCAAGGTTTCACCTGTTATGAGAAAACGGGATCATAACCTTCCCTCCAAACTGGGAAGGAGCTGAGAGACCAAAGAATGGTGCAGACAAGTCCAGCTTGGCAAGTAGGTGAATTTATTAGGACTTACATGTGGGGCACCCCCAGGTGGTAGCAGGACAGCTCTGAAGATCTGCCCCATTTCTCATCTCTAAGCTGCTTTTAAGCAATTTTCTGGCTCTTTGCCTACTGTATATGTATGTGCAATTAAACTGTTTTCCTTGGTATGTTCCCAGCTATGCTCTGGGATGTTTGGGTTCTCAGGGACAGCTGCTGTTTGGCTGGGCACCGTGGCCTTGGCTCACCTCCCAGTATCATGGCCTTGCTCACTTCCCAATATTCAAGGTTCAAGCAGCAGATATACACCCTTAAGTAACCTGGTGGGGGACCCATAACACTGCAATCTACCTTATACCTTAGCTCTTATATTCTTTCTATCAATCTTGTACAAGAGTCCCTGAGTTGGGTGTGAGGGGAAGAAGTATACAGCCCTATAAGGTATAGCCATGGCTTGTGCATACAGGAAACATCTACAGTATACACAACAGAATAAAAACCAGAAGCTAATGACAATTATGATACCTATTAGCAAAACATAACTGCAGTGAGTAGGTAAGGTGTATAACCAATTTGCGAGTGAGTCAAAGAAACCTAATTGGGCTATATCATGGGTTTGAATTGACAAATGATTTAAAGCATTTGTGACATTACTTTCTTCATCAGGGACATAGGTGCAACAGGTAGCACCTATAAGGGTGCATGTTGTTGGGTCTCTGTCATGTTGGCAATTGATCCAGGTCGATGCAATCTCCAATGAGTCTGGGTTGCATTATCTGTGCTGTTGAACAAGCCACTCTAGTTTTATTGTGAGAAAGGCAGAATTTTCCAACGCATACCATTACCATCTGACAGGGTAGGTATTCACATTCCCAACAATCGGACTGGTTGCTGACTGCAGCTGTAGTTGCAGCCCAGTACAGGAAGACATTACCAGCTGCCATGGGTAGCAGGAACAGCAGCCTATGGGCATAAACACAGGTGTTTAATAGGGCCCTTCGTGGATGTATCCACTCATTGTAGCATTACTATTGTTGTATTTCTTCCCATTGGTCCTATTAGGAGGCTGACACAGGCTTCAGGCCTGGCTTACAGTACCACACACAGGCAGAGCCTCCCCAGTGATGAATATTACCCACTAGCATTGTACATTTGTTAGAACTGATGAACCTACATTGACACATCATTATCATCTAAAGTCCATAGTTTACATTAGGGTTCACTTTTGGTGTGATATATTTTATGTCTCTGGACAAATGTATAATGACATGTATCCACTCTTATAGTATTAGACTGAGTAGTTCACTGTTCTAAAAATCCTGTGCTCCACCTATTCATTCCTCCCTTCCATACTAAACCATGGCAAGTACTGATCCTTGGACTCCATAGCTTTGCCTCTTCCAGGACGTCATATACTTGGAATTTTATGGTATGTAATATGTTCAGATTGGCTTTTTCACTAAATAATATACATTTATGCTTCCTCCATGTCTTTTCATGGCTTGATAACACATTTCTTTTTAGTGCCGTGTTATATTATACTGTCTGATGTACCAGTTCATTCATTCATACACTGAACAAGTTTTGGCAATCATGAATAAGACTGCTATAAACAACCATGTGCAGGTTTTTATGTGAACATAACTTTTCAATTCCTTTGGGTAAATATCAGGGAACAAAATTGTTGGATTGTATGCTGCGAGTATGTTTTAATTTTGTAAGAAACTAACAAACTGTCTTAAAAAGTGGATGTATCATTTTGCATTCCCATCAGCAATGAATGAGAGCTCCTGTTGCTTCACAATTTCATCAGCATTTGGTAGTGTCAGTGTTCTGATTTTGACCATCCTAATAGGTCTGTAAGTGCAGCTAGAATCTTTTTTTTTTGCATTTGGATGTCCAGTTGCTCCAGAACCATTTCTTGAAAAACACTATCTTTCTCTTTTGTATTGCCTTTGTTCATTTGTCAAAGATCAGTTGACCATATTTATGTGGGTCTGTTGCTGGGTTTTCTGTTCTATTCTCTTGATCTATTTGTTTATTCTTTCATGAGTACCACACTGTCTTTGTTACTGTAATTTTACAGTAAGTCTTGAAGTTGGGTAGTGTTAGTCCTCCAACTTTGTTCTTTTCCTTCACTTTTATGTTTGCTGTTCTGGATCTTTTGCCTCTCCCTATACATTTTAGAAGCAGTTTGTCAATAGCCACAAAATAGCTTGCTGAGATTTTGATTATGGTTATATTAAATCTACAGTTTTAGAAGATTTTGTTGCTTCTTTTGGATTTTATGCATAGACAGCCATGTTATATGCAAAAACAGTTTTATTTCTTCTTTCCCAATCTGTGTACATTTTAATTTCTTTGCATGTCTTATTGCATTAACAAGAACTTCCAGTATAATTTTGAAAAGTAGTGGTGAAAGGGAACATTCTTGCATGCTTCCTGATCTTGGAAAAACTTAGAGTTTCTCACCATTAAGTATAATGCTAGCTGTAAGTTTTTTTAGGTGCTCTTTACCAAGTTGAGAAAGTTCTCCTCTCTTCCTAGTTTGCTGACAGTTTTTATCATGAATGAATGTTAGATTTTGTCAAGCACATTTTCTGTGTTTAATAATATTATCATATTCTTTTTACTTCTTTAGATTGTTGATATGATAGGTTATATTAATTAATTTTCAAATGTCAATCCAGTCCAGTCGTGAATACCTGCAGTAAATCCACTTGGTCATGGTGTATAATTTTTAAAATTGTTTTTGGTTTTAATTTCTTAATATTTTATTGAGAATATTTATATCCATGTTCATGAGAGATATTTCAATGCTGTTTTCCTTTCTTGTAATGCCCTTATCTAGTTTTGATATGATAATATTGGTCTTAAGAAATGAGTAAGGAAGTGTTTCACCTGCTTCTCTTTTTTTTTGAAGAGATTGTAGAGAATTTGTATATTTTCTTCCTTAAATGTTTGGTAGAACTTACCAGAGAAATCAGCCTTGCTTTATTTTTTTGCAGTGTTATTGATTATTATTTTAACACCTTTAATAAGTATACGTCTATTCAAGTTATCTATTTCTAATACAAAACTCTATTTTGTAGTTTATTCCTTTCAAGGAATTGATGAACTTCAACTAAGTTATCAAAGAACCTTCAACCTGTTTATAATATTTTTTATTATCATTTTCATGTTCATGGAATCAGTAGTGATGACCTTTCTTTCATTTCTGATATTTTATTTGTGTCTTTCCTATTGTATTCTTGGCTAGCCTAGCCAGAGGTTTATTAATTCTATTGATCTTTTCAACAAACCAGCTTATATTTTTGTTTTCTCTAGTGAATTCCTATTTTTAATGTCATTGATTTCAGTTCTAATTTTTATTATTTCTCTTCTTTTACTTGCCTTAGGTTTGCATTGCTCTCCTTTCTCTATTTTCCTAAGCTTGGATGATCAATTTTAGGTATTTCTTATTTTTCAATACATGTTATCAGCGTTGTGAATTTCCCTTTATGCACTAGTTTTGCTGGCTCCAACAAATTTTGATAAGTAGTATTTTTATTTACATTTAGTTCAAAATATTCTAAAGTTTTACTAAGACTTCTTCCTTGATCCATTAATTTCATTTTTGAATGTTGGACATGTGCTGCATTTTGCATTTTGCATAGACATTTTGGTCCATGATAAATGGCATATATGGCAATGGTCCATAAGCTTATAATATTCCATTTTTTACTGTACTTTCTATGTTTAGATAATAAATACTTATCATTGTATTACAATGCCTACAGTATTCAGTACAGTGACATGCTGTACAGGCCTGGAGCCTAGGAGCAATAAGCTATACCATATAGGGTAGGTGTGTAGTAGGCTACACCATCTAGGATTGTGTAAGTACACTATGATATTTGCAGGATGACAAAATCACCTAAAGATTCGTTTTTCAGAATGTGTCTCTGTCATTAAATGATGCATGACTGTAATTGTACAGGTTATAGTATTTAGATTTTATTAAATAGCCAATTGGATATATATTAAATATGAATCACAATAAGTAAATTATCTAAAAACAGTTATGTATTTTTCATTGTAGGATAAGAAATACACATTTGTATTCATTCTGACCTTTAATGTACTAAAAATTAGAAAAATTCGTTGTATATATTATACCATAGATAATTAATGATTCAATGAATTGAAGTCCCTAAGATAAATAATTTAAATTTTCTCTTTAAGTAGGCTTCTAGCAAGCTAAGTATATTGCTATAAAATAGTTTTACTTATAGACTACCCATATTAAATCGTGGCCAGCTCACTATTCAGTGAGCTTGTCTTTTGTCTTCTTTCCAATGCTATAACTATATGTCACATGTATAAATATGTATTACAAAAGTGGTCAGGATTGAACATACGTCATTTGTCTTAATTCAGTCAAACAAATTAGACCTAAATCTTCAAAAAAATCCAGAACTCATATCATTGAATTTCGCTATTTAAATGATTATTTGCCTGGCTTTACTAGTACAATAGCTCCAGCTTTCTTTTGCTCATTCACTTCAGCTCTACAAAGTGCTTGCATCCTTGCATTGTGAGTCCAGGGGTGGAGCTCCCTGTTCCTTCTGGTTTCGGGAACCTTGTATTTCCTCCCCTGCTTGTCTCTTCCTCCCTCTTTTTCTGAAGTTCAAATTACTTGGGCACTGAACAATTTCCCTTATTCTACTTTCAGGAATTATCTCCTGGTTCTGGTTTGTTTACCTGATATGTGACCTCTTACTTCTCTTGACCTCTGTTATTTGAGGGAGGAAACCACTCTTTTAAAAAAAAATTATGAAAAAAGAGCATGAGAGGAGATGTGCTCCTCTTGGAATTTTCTTAGTTGTGTCTTAAGTTTAAGATTGAAATGAAAATATACAATCTTCATTGGAAACTAAGGCATCCTTTAAAGAAATAAATCTTCTGGAAGAAAAAAACCTCCCAGCTATGATGAAATGCTAACTCATAAGTACATTCCATTACAATAAATTATCTAGCCTTTAAAGAGCTTTTACAATTTCAACAACGAGAATCATTTCTAGGAGGAGAAGAAATTTTTTTCTTTCCACAGCATGATTACAAATCATTCTTCCTGCCTTCTGTTTTTCACAATCATAGTGCAGTGAAGAATCCCTTTACTTCCTCTGCTGTAAAAGGAAGGAACTGAAGTCATTAATGGTTCTGATGAAATTAGGAAATTCATACTCTCACATCCCCAAAGAGACCGTATTAGTAGTTTTAGCAGCTTAAAAGACTCTCTCAACTTCCCTCTGAGTTCATTAAGAAAACACACGAGAAATTCCCATATGGAAAGTATGGATTTTTCTCCCCCTAATCACATAAAGTAGTTTCTTGTATTTTCTTTCCTTTCTACTGGAGTGAACTGGATCAAACCACAGGCTACTGCCTATTTCAGTGCATTCTGGTTTATCTATACCACCAATTAGTTGCCACATGCACGTGTACCAAGATAGTCAGCTCTTACGCTTCTAGAAATGTGTTGACCCCTTCTCCTAAGTATGTTTACAGAGCTTTTTGCTAAAGTTTCCAGGCACTTTGTCAAAGATTTACTGTCCATAATGAAGATGGAAGAGACTACAAGCACGGAGAGCAAAGCACACAGCTGCTGGGAGAGACATTGCCAAGATAGGAGTAGCTTTGAAAGATAAATGAAGAGATTATGTTACAAGCATGGCTAAGGACTTCTGGAGGGCTGGCAGAGGCTGCACTTTCATATTACAGGTCTCAGAGTTTTATCCCTTTCTAATGAATTGTTTATGGTCCCTGTACAAAACCAAAAAAAATTTTTCCCCAAAAGAATAATATTTCATCAAAAGTCTTTGTGGCTTTGAGGTAAACATACATTTTAGGACCTAAGAGAGTCAGGGACAATGATTTTCACAAATATTGTATATATTAGAAATGAATGCTTAGATGAATTCAGCATAGTCACACCGTTGTCTTTTCTGCAAATATTTTCTTTAAAAAAATGATGACCTTTAGGGCAGTAGCTTGCTCTGTGGAATATGATTTTAAATAAAATCTAATTTTTGTTTTCATGTTATAGCTACATTTCTTTTCTTTGAAATAATTTCTTTCCCCAATTTGTGTGGTCCTAGGCTATAATTTGTTGAATTTTTAGGTTTCTTTATGCTATATTTTTTCATTTGTCTTTGAGCATCACTCATAACAATTAAATTTCAGAAGATGGTACAGAGATTTGTAATAAATAGAATTTATACAAATGCATGCTAATCTGTACAATTTACATAAATATCTAAATTCTAAGCTTTAGATTTTGTTGTGGTCTATAGAATTTTTTTGTTGTAGGCATGCCTTCCAAATTATAACTTTTATTAGACTAACATTAAATTCCATTTCCTTCCTGAAGAATACACATTGGAAAATAGACAGAGAAGGCAGCCTAGGGTAATACTACACATAATAGATGCTAAATATATCCCGTAGGAGTAAATGTATATATTCTATATAAGTGAAGCAATGTTGCTGAATAAAGCCCTTAAGAAAATCATTGTAAAAACTTTTAAATCAAATATCAGTAATAGAGAACATACCATAGTTAATATAGATATTTGAAAATATATCATGTTTTTCAATTTTTCATAATCATGGTATATCATTTTTTCTGTTTCAATAAATGAAATACATATGTTACTTTAACTTATTTTAAAAACATGTTATGAGGCTTTAATGAATATTGAATTTACCTAGATAATATTTTAGAGAATAAAGTCACATTTTTCAATAGTGCGCATGGTATTAGTCTCTACCAAAGTAACTTTTTAGGCTTATGTTCTAAATTAGTTTGTATTCACCCTTAAATGCTTTTTGATATTGGTCTGAACCCCATAGGACAAAAGGCTACTTTTATTCACTGGTTTAATCCCTTCCTTACGTTTTTCCCCTGTCAAAATGCATTTGCCAGAAATCTTTCCTTCTAGCTATATATTTGTAACAATTACCCTTAGCTGTATCAAGAATGGTGCCATTTTAACATCTTTACTCCATGTAACACAGGCTATCTTTACAGCCTGTAGAAAGACTTGATTGATACACTCAAGGTATTGTAGAGGCTAATTTGAGAATTTTTACCAGATGCTAGGCAGGAAAAGATCATAAAAGTCCAATAGATGCTAGGCAGGAAAATATCATAAATGTCCACTTCTACTACTCTTCACCTGATGCTCCATAAATTACATACCCATTCCTCTTCACTGAATCTTTAAGTTGTGTTGAACGATTAGCTCTAATAAGCATTTTTTTCTATAACTAATTTTTAGGAGTAAAATTATTAGGCACAAATATTTGTGTTTTTTCCTGATAGTCTATTTTTGTATGTTTTTAAAAATAGTTGTAAAGTAATTGTGGTTTTTGCCATTGAAAGTGATGGCATTCATTGAATGCCATTGAAAGTAATGGCAAAAACCGCAATGACCTTTGCACCAACCTAATACAATACCAAATGGGCATCATCTGTATGTGAAAGTAAAGTAGCAGTTTTCACAGAGGGAGTTATAGGAAAGAATTGAATGTGTCTAAAGATATGCACCTACTGGCATTTAGCCCAGAAGACCATGTTTGCAAAACAAAATCAAAAACAAACCCACAAAGAAAAAACACTTAAAACAGTTTAGAAACCTGCCTTGTGCTTGGTTAACAATTGTACCATGTATTTATTTATATCCCACCTTATTCTAGAAAGTATTTCAAGATGACTAAATGTATTTATAATAACAACTCAGAACAGACTTTACAAAACTGGGCAGAATATGCATCAAATTTCTTTCCAAGCCAAAGATAGTGGAGATAGCAAAAGCCACTTTAAAAATCCTTTAATTCCAACTTCTATATGGAGCTTGATCCATCTTAAAGCTGCGCTACAGGTAGAATTAGTCTTCTGGCATAAATTTTTACATCCCTTTTGGAAAGTAGTTTGGCAAATACATCATAAGCCATAAAAATGTGCCCATTCTGCCCCAATAATTTCACTTCTGGGAATCCTAAAAAATAAATTGTCAAATATAAGGATAATGAATTTTGTATATTGAATGTTCATTATGATTTAATTTGTAATATTCAAAACTTGGAAACAACATAAATCTCTATCCAAAAAAGAAACATTAAATAAATAGTATTATACCTACTCATTAGATAGCGATTTGACCATTAAAGTATAATCAATCACTGCAAAAATTAAGATAATATTGAGTGAAAAAGAAGCATATGAAATGCCATGTATAATGTGACTATAATTGTGTTGAAAATGTTATGTACTACAGAAAATAAGTAAAATAGGGCTGGGTGCGGTGGCTCATGCCTGTAATCCCAGCACTTTGGAAGGCTGAGGCTGGCGGATCACCAGGTCAAGAGATTGAGACCATCCTGGCTAACACGTGAAACCCCGTTTCTACTATAAAATACAAAAAATTAGCCGGGAGTGGTGGTGGGCGCCTGTAGTCCCAGATACTCAGGAGGCTGAGGCAGGAGAATGGCGTGAACCTGGGAGGCGGAGCTTGCAGTGAGCTGAGATGGCTCCACTGCACTCCAGCCTGGGTGACAGAGTGAGACTCTGTCTCAAAAAAAAAAAAGAAAAAAAAAAAAAAGAAAAGAAGTAAAATAGACCAAAATGTTCATGGCAACAGTATTAATATGAGGAAAACTACGGATACTCCAAATAAATTACTTTAAGAAATAATTAAGCTTCCAATATCTAAGTAATCCCAGATTCTGAAGTAATATCAAGAAACAGAAAACATTTCTATGAGAAGGCTGCCATCTGGTAAGTATTCCCAGTGTGCTGTGGCCTGTATTAACCCCAAGCAGGACTGCAGAGGTACCATGTGGAGTTCTGCAGTGGGAGCACAGCTGAGATCAAAGGGAAGAGTGAGCTTATGGGGAGGGGAGATCATGGAAGCTCACAGAATTTGAGAATTAGAGAAGAGCCAACAGCTTAAAGCCAAAAATCAAAATGAGGCATGACTTAAGCAATTTTTGCATGAGGGAGCCCCAAGAAACCAAGAAGATCCCACATGCAGGGAACCAGTGAGTGTCAGAGGAAAGGTACATATCAAAATTTATGCTAATTCATATCAAAATTCTATTACAGGAAGATGTGAACCCAGTCACTAAAATCTGTTTCTACTACTTATAGATAAGAAATGGAAACTGGCAGAAACAAAGGTAAATGCCACAGCTAGTTGGAATGAAGTCACATAAGTTTGGCATTGAGCATGGGAAGAGAATTCTCTTTGTGTGTGTGTGAACCTGCTATTTTCCAAAACTTTTGTTAAGTATTTTTATATATGTTAGTTTATTTAGCCCACACAAAACCATACAAAGTATGTAATATCATTCCAATTTTACAGAGAAAGAATCTGGACCCCAGAGAAGTCACATATCTTGCCCAGGGGCACATAGCTGGTTGTGGAATTAGGATTTGGATCCGGGTTTCCAAAGCCCGGGTACTTTCTGCTATTTCTAGTGGGGCTGAGAGTAAGTGGTCTAGTAGCTTAAGGCAGACAGTGGATAAGATGAATTCTGTATCTCATTATCTATGGAAAGCAATTGAGTTATCTTAACCCATTAACCTATAAGTGGTAACATAAAAAGGAGATACTTACCCAGGTACCTTCAGAATACTTGGAAGGTATGTAGGCCTGGAGTCAGACCTACCATGAAAGGTAATATTGATAGTGCTAATAGCACTTGTAGAGCAAATTTTAGATTTTCCCTCCAGTCTTGTGAAATTTAGCTTCTGATGAGAGATGGGTTGACTCATGTTGACAAAATGTGTGTGTTTCTAGAGCTCAAATCTCCAAATTTAATCCAGACCAACCCAATCCAAATCCAGTAAATCAAACAAAAACAAAGTATCTTTTACAAACAGCTGGTGACACTATTGTGTAATATAGAGTGTGTGGTCAAACGATAAAACAATTAAGGTCCAAATGTCTACTTACATAGTTGTGTAGAAGAAAAATACCGTGCACAGATACATGTGCTTATGAATGTGTAAGTTTCATATATATATATCTACATATATCTATACATATATATTCACTTAATTTGGTAGTTTGTATTTTGTCCCAATTACAGCTTTTGAAGTCAAGAGTGACCTCCTTTTCTTTTTCCTAAAATTTTACCTATTTCATTGTCAGTTTCTTCTTCACTCCTGAAGACTTGTCTCAATCTTTCAATATTCATTCCTCTTGGCTCTCAAATAACATTCTTCCCAAATCTTCTATTGGAGTCATATATTTTAAAAATGTTAACCTCATAATGCCTTGTTATTGATAAATCCACTGAATTTTTTCACTTTTAAAATAGTGAATCTTTAATCAAATGCCTGGTGCTTTGGTAAAAGGTTTGGTTTACATACTTAGTGGAATGAGGCCATCACATCTTAAAAGAGGAGATCTGAATCGACCAAAGAGTTGGTCAGCTCTCTGAAAGCAACACAATCTAATAAGGGCTTGAATTAGGGCTACTTAGACCACTCTTCCTATTACTGAAAGGTAATCATTTTTAATAGAACTACCGTAGTAAAACAGCTGAGAAAGCTACTGCCCTTCTTAAGACCATAACAGCTGACTTCCTTAAAATGTGATAATCACACCTCAAACTATCTATTCTAGAGTCATTTTCAAACTTAATTGAAATGTGTGACAGGAAAGAATTTAGAAAAGGAAAAAAACCCACATCATTATCAAGCCTCTCTGTTGAAATATTGAGGTTCTATTTAGTATCCAACATAGTATGGAGCATTACAATCTCCCCTCATTTTTTTGTCTCTCATTTCCCCCCTACTCCTTCTACCGCCCATTCTCAGAAGCTCCTCTCTTCCTGAGAATGGTAAATACTATTGTTGTGTAGTCTTCTACATCAGCCCACCCCTTATTTAACTATTTCTCCTTTGCACAACGGGATACATTGATTCTTTTCTTAACCCCCTTTCCTGATCCAACATTGGCTCAACATTTAATACCGTTTAATGCTTCACTCTTGCCAGTCTTCGCAGTTTAAAAAAATACCACCCTTTCAGAACCTAAAGTTTCAGGCAGAATTTCTGACCTTCCTGTTTCTACTTACCCACATTGCTCTGAGTCACAGGTTTCATTTCCTACCTTCCGATTGGTTTTGTCTATAGGAGTGGATTTCTTCTTTACAATTCCACTACCCAGTGTAACCCAGGGACTGCCTAAGGAAGCAATGACTTTTGGGACTCATGTGACATTTTATCAATCACACATCATTTCAGTGGAAGCCCTCTATACTTATCATTACTCTAGTGCTAGTGGTTGCAAAACTAGAATAGCAAAATAACCTATAAGCTAACCTCCATTGGAAGCAGGAGTATAACCTATTACAACCTATAAACTAACGTACAGGCCATTTAATCCTGCATCCAATGTAGGTTAGCTCATAAGTTGTCTCGCTATTCTAGTTATACAACCACTTTTTATACCTGACATGGATTATAGCCTTCTATGCTTGAGTTCCACCAAAAAAAATCACTCACATGAGTCAGTTGTGTGTGGAATAGAGTTACTGCATATTCAGTATTCAACCAGCTCGAGTTTCTGGAGCTGAAATTCAGCCTGTTCCTCACTTAAAGGTGAAGATGGGGTTGGGCAGTTCCTGGGTTAGAAAGCTCTGTGGAAACCATTATCTACCTGCCTAATTATTATTTTCTATAACAAACCTCAGGATGGGTTTGGATTGTGTATTACTTTGCCTGGGAATTGTTTTCAAGGAAAATATATTTACATCCCAGGATTCAATAATTCCCAGATGACATCTGGATGTCATTTATTTTATAATGGACTGAGTTCAAGAAATAAGGGAAATCAACAGTCTTGTTGACCATCAATTTACTTAAGAAAACTGTGGTCATGGGGAGGCAATGGAAATGTAAATAACAACTCATTTATTCATTTATCTATTCAAAAATTTATCGAATGCTTTCTTTGAGTCAAGCAAAGTACAAAATGTTTTGGAGATACAGTTAATAAAAGGGCTGTTGTCCAACTCCTCATGGAACTTGCAGTCTACTGAGAGAAGCACATAATAAATCAGAAAACTAGCAAGTAAATATGAGGTCTATAATTTTTATGAATAACTAATATAGGAAGTTATTTTTTAAAATTGACCTTATGCAAGCCATAAGGGTGCAGTGGCTCATGCCTCTTATCTCAGCACTTTGGGAGGCTGAGGCTGGAGGATTACTTGAGTCCAGGAGTTTGAGACCAGCCTGGGCAACATAGTGAGACACTGTTGTCTATCAAAAATTTTTTAAAAACTTAACTGGGCATGGTGGCACATGCCTGTAGTCCCACCTACTCTGGAGGCTGAGATAAGAGGCCTTTGATCCCAGGAGGTCTAGGCTGCAGTGATTGCATCACTGCACTCAGCCTGGGGAACAGAGCAAGTCTCTCTCTTAAAAAAAAAAAAAAAGGTAAAAAAAATTGACTTTATTGAAGTATAATTAATATGCAATGAATTGCATCCATTTTAAGTGTATAGTTTGATGAGTTTTGATACTCACCAGTCTAATCAAGATATAAAATATTTTCATAATCCCATAAAGTATTCTTGAATTTTTTACAGTCAACAAATACTGTTACTCAATCCCAAAATGCCAGGCAATAACTGACTTGCTTTCTTTGAGCAGAGATTAGTTAGGACTGCCCTAGAATTTCATATAAATGGAAACCTAAAATTGTATTTTTTGGTGCCTGGATTCTTTCCTGCAACATCATATTTTTGAAAATTTTTTTCATGTTGTCATAAGTATCAGTAATTTGTTATTTTGTATTGCTGAACAATATTCTATTTTAGGTGTATTCCATAATTTATCTATTCACCTGTTAATGAACATTTCAATTACTTACAGTTTCCAAATCTGCTATGATCACTTGTGTATAAATCTTTGTGTGGGCATATCTTTTTCCTTTCTCTTGGGTAAATATCCAAGAGTGAAGTTGCTGAGTCATATGGTAAAAGTAAGTTTAACTTTATAAGAAATAGGAAAACTACTTTCCAAAGTAGCTATATCATTTTGCTCTCTCACCAGCCATATGTGAGTTCACACAGTTGTTCCACATCCTTGTCAGCAATTGATAATGGCATTATTTTCCATTTCAGTCATCTTAATATATGTTTAGGAACTCATTGCATTTTAATTTGCATTTCTCTGATGACAAATGACATGAAGCATATTTTCTGTGCTAGTTCACTATTTCTATATATTTTGTGAAATATATGCTTACATTTTTTGGCCACTTTTAATCAGTTGTTTGCTTCCATATTATTGAGTTATAAGAGTTCTTCATACAATTTGGATATAAATAATTTGCCATATGTATGCATTGCACATATTCCCCCAGACCCCCAGTCTGTAACTATATTTTCATTTTAATTTTGATAAAGTCCAATTCACCATTTTTTAGTGATATATGCTTTTTTGTGTCCTATCTGAGAAATATTTGCCTAGCACAAGGTTGCTAAGATTTTCTTTATCTTTTCTTTAAGAAATTTCACAGCTCTAGCTTTTGCATTTAGATCTATGATTCAGTTTGAGTAAATTTTTATATGGCGTGAAATAAAGACCAAGGACCATTTTATCTTCCATATGGATATCCCGTTTTCTTTTTTTCTATACAGATATCCAGTTCCAGCATCATTCATTGAAAATACTTTTCCCTGTTTAATTATCTTCACATCTTTGTTGAAAATTAGTGGATCTGCTGGGCGCGGTGGCTCACGCCTGTAATCCCAGCACTTTCAGAGGCCGAGGTGGGCGGATCACCTGAGGTCAGGAGTTCAAAACCAGCCTGGCCAACATAGTGAAACCCCGTCGCTACTAAAAATACAAAAATTAGCCAGGCGTGGTGGCAGTCGCCTGTAATCCCAGCTACTCGGGAGGCTGAGGCAGGAGAGTCGCTTGAACTCATGGGGCGGAGGTTGCAGTGAACCGAGATCGTGCCATTGCACTCCAGCCTGGAGCACAAAGCGAGACTTCGTCTCAAAAAAAAAAAAAAAGAAAATTAATGGATCCTACATAAGTAGGTTTATTTCTGACCTATTTTGTCCCATTGATCTATTTGTCTATTCTTACACCAGTACCACACTGTCTTGATCACTGTAGCTTTGTAGGAAGTCTCGAAATCAGATATGTTAAGTTTTCACCTTTGTTCTTTTCATAAAATATTATTTTGGCTATTTTAAGTCCTTTACATTTCTATATAAATTTTAGATGGCTGGGATTTTGATTGGGATGGCAGTTAATTTATAGATCAATTTGGGAAGTATTGACCTTAATAATACTGAGTTTTACAATTTGTGAACATAGCAAATCTCTTTCATTTTCCTCAGCAATATTTATAGTTTTAAGTGTACAAAACTTGTATGCATATATTTTGTTTTTTAAAGCTATTGTAATTGGCATTGCTTTTGCTTAACAAAAATTATTTTCTGAACCTTTGTTGATAGTAGGTGATTTTGATGTTTATCAGAAGCCAAATATTTTGCAAGTTTCCAGTATCATGGCATACTTGTATATCATACACAAGTCTAGCTGCATTGTGGTCATCTAATAAGCATAGCACCTCTAAAGTGCAGTAATTAAGTATACTTCCACTGTTGACAAGATACACATAGAATAAAATTAATCTGTTTCATGCAATTTCACTTATTATTTGAGCTGTTTATTTCAATGTTTCTTCTACAAACTTTTCTGACTGCATACTCCCTCCTACTAGTAGAATATTTTATTTATTTATTTATTTATTTATTTATTTATTTATTTTCTTAGAAACAGTGTCTTGCTCTGTTGCCCAGGGTGGAGTACCATGGGATGATTATAGCTCACTGCAGCCTGCTGCCTTAAAAAAACAAAAACAAAAACAAAAACAAAAAAAGACAAGGTCTCACTCTGTTGCCCAGGCTGGAGAGCAGTGGTACGATCACAGCTCACTGCAGCATCAACCTCCCAGGCTCAGGCAATCCTCCCACTTCAGTCTCCCGAGTAGCTGGAACTACAGATACACATCACTAAGCCCAGCTAGTTTTTGTGTTTTTAGTAGAGACAGAGTTTCACCATGTTGCTCAGGCTGGTCTTGAACTCCTGAACTCAAGCAAGCCACCTGCCTCAGCCTCTCAAAGTATGGGATTACAGGTGTGAGCTACCACACCTGGCCTCTAGTCGAACATTTTTAAATGCAAATCCTTATATGTGTATCTTGGGGAACATATTTATAAATTATATATGCATAATCTTTTACTAAAGTGTTATGTAAATGGCATTAAAAAACTGACATTTTCAAAGGTCAGGATAAAGTGTGTAAACCACATTTTAAAATGTATTATCAGTAGTGATGAATTTATGTTATTTCTTAAAGCATGAAATACATATGGAAAAAGTTTCTTTGTTAACAACTGTGGCTATAAATCCATTGTTTAAAATACTCTTCTTGATAATTTGAATTTTGTTGGCAGACTTCTTGTCAAATTAGATTAGGGTGTCCTTGCCTTTAGTCTCGTATTATTACTGAACAGCTTGTTCTAGGAGTAGCAAAGAGTCAGCTCTGCCATTCTTTTTGTAGTTTGCCTGGGCTTGCATTAGCAGCAATATTCTCAATTTATAATGTACTTGCTAGAATCTTTTAAAACCATTTGTTTATTTTGTAAAGTTACTTTTAGCTAAATCTGGGTAATTTAATTGGTAAATACAATCACTGAGCTTACTTAAACTGCAACATGCTGAAAATTAACAAGTGAATGAAGGGCCTTGTTTCAGAATAGGATCCCTTACTAGTGTGTCTGATACATATAGCAAGTGACAACACCGGTTCAAGTGTATATCAGTAAACCTTCACTTCCTTCTTAGCTGTTTCCATTAAAAGTGAATATAAGTAAAAATTGTAATTATTTTCTATAATTACAGTATGACCTTCAGTAGGTCATCTTGGCATTGTCTAACATACAACTATCCCACTCCGCTTAGAAGACCAATGATTTAGACCCCATTGCTACCAAGTCCACATCATTGCATTTGATTCCTCTAACAGCCAACATGTTTCACAAAGAAATAAAATAAGGGAAAATAAAATAAAACAATATCCTGTATTCTAATGCTCTCTGTTGCAGCCAGCTGAATCATAATATGTTTTATGGGTCATAAAATAAGAATGAAATTTGAATATTCTTTTCAGACCTACAAGTTTGGGAATAAAAATATAAAACATATGTGTTTTTGAGGTCACATAAAAGTTCAGTGTCTTCTCATCCCAAAGATTATTTTACTGGGAAATTTTGGTAAAGAAAAAGCTTTTTTAAATATATCAAAAAACTTCCTAAATATTTGTAAGCTTTGTTTATTGATTATATAACCTCCAGTCCCAATCCATCTCTATGTTGTTGTATACAACTTCTTGGTTAAAAAAGTAATAAAATAATAAAACAATTATGTGACATAGTTCCTGGTTTTGAGATCTTTGCCATATTCACAGGAAGCTAAGAGGTTTATCAAGTGAAAAAATTGTGGAACAACAAAAGCCAGGATATAAGTAGTGTCTAAAAAGCTTCCCATTCTTTTATTAACACTAAACACCAAGCCCTCTTAAATATGACTAGGGAAGAGTTTAGGATGAAAATATTCTCGCAAGAAGCAACCAGCCTCATCTTAATCAAGGTCTTTCTCTGCTGGGAGTCTCTGCTTACACTTTGGAGTATTGGATTTTGTTATAATATAGACTAGTATTACCTTAGTGTGACAGCACAGAACATGAGTTCCATGAGGGATATGAGAAGGAAGAGATGAGCTGAGCATGGAGCAAAACCAATTAGGAAAGCAGAAGAGCCATGTGAAGCAATGCTGGTTTATGATTCACCCCACTGTCTACAGATTCCTGTCTTTCTTGCTTTCCTTGGATCTTTTTCAATGCTGAACAATCTTTTCATTTAAATGTTGATTCTTCAGAATGGGGATTGGCAAACTATGACTCCTGAACCAAATCACTTGTTTACATATTGTCTATGGCCACTTTCCTGCTACAACAGTAGAGGAGAATAGTTGTAACAGAGGCTATGGGGTCCACAAAACCAAAAATACCTTACTGTTTGGGCTGCTACATACAAAGTTAGCCATCCCTGTTTTAGGTGGTTGTCTATCCTTTCTTTCTGTCTTGAACAAAAGTTATTTCCTTAGAATATACAGGAAGATAACTAATATTATGGAGTACCTGTTTGCTAAGTCATTTCACCTAGTCCTACAAGAACCCTATTAAATAAGCATTAAGACTCCATTTCATAGATTAAGGTCCTAAAGTTTAGAGAGTCTAAGTAGTTTAGGAGATGGTGTAGGTGATAGGTTTTGGAACTAGGCCTCAAGTGCATGTTTTACTGTATCATGTTATTTGCCATACTATGTGTAGTTCAAGAAGGTAGATTCGTGCCACTCCAAAAGCAAAGAAGAAAGTGATTGCGGGATTGTGAGAAGGAAGTCAGTCATTTAATGAGTAGATGGTCACCAGTGTTGGGCCTTGGTATACCACCAAGCTATCTCAGCAAAAATGATTTTGAGCGATGACAGGAAGGTAGCCTTAGGTATTTTTCATTAGCCCATTGATGCTTTCTCTATAGATCCTCTTTCCACTGAGGATGAAGATTCTTATTACTAAGACTAAATTAATTTATAAAGAAGCATCTTTCCACACTATATGAATAAATATTTATTACATAAAAAACCCTTGAGCTTTATTTAAAATCTTGATTTTCCAAAGTACAATTAAAGTAGCTTAATTTAAGTAACTTTTTTTTTAATCCACAGATAATATAGGAGCAGCTTGAGCATTGGGAATCTACTGAAACAAATTATATTTGTCAGTGATTGATCTCCAAAGGCATATTTCCTTCAGAAACTGCTCTTTGAAAATTTACTGAAAAATATATAGCACTTTAAATGAATGGAGTTAAAATAAGAGATGAGGATTATGTTTTTCAGTGGTGGCTGAACTAAACCCTAATATAGCTTACATATTCACTTTAACTGTCTCTCTGAGTGATCTAAATTATCACAGCTAAACAGACATTCAGAGAAATAAATGAATACTTAAGATACTAAAAATCAGTGTTGGCCATGTTATGACATATTCATTTTTTGCAAGTTGATATGATCAAAATTTGATTTGGAATACATGTCTGTTTATGTGGCTGTCAATAGATTCCTTATCTCTATCATTGTTCTCAGTTGTTTTTATGTCAACTTTCTCTCATTCTATAGTTTTTCCTCCCCAGAAAAAATAAATGTGCAAGTGCTTAGTGCCTTCTTCTTACTTATTCCTGTTCTACACCCCATGCCTCTTCACATGCAACAAAGCCCCATTCCATTTTACCATTCCTTAGGAAGCTAACTCTGATGGAAATAGCTACAGTAATACATGGGTAGTAGTATATTTGAAAGTCAGGACAAAAGTATAGAATCTAGGAACTAAAAGGAAGTTGCTCAAGGTCACGTCCAATGCCAGAGGTAGACCGTCTAAAGATGGAAGTTCTAAGGATGAAAGATTATTCCCTGTTTAGGATCACCACAGAAAGATGTTTTAAAGATATGTCTTTTCTTTGATGTAGTAATATCTAAAGGAGAAAAAACAGAAACAACGAACAAAACAATAAAAAGCCAACATTCAGGGAACATTTTAATAATTGTGCTCCACCAGCACAGTAAAATTTCCTGTATATACTAAAATGGTCATTATAAGTACATGCTCAATAGATACTCAGACTGAATAGCAAAATATTTCTGAAATGATGTAAATAAAAACAGCAGAGTTTAAAATAGTGTTGTTGGAGTATAAGAATGCTACTAACCTACACTGGCTAATTTAGAGAGAGAAAGAGATAACCAAAGAGAGGGAGAGGGAGAGAGAGAGGAGAAAAAGAAGAGAGAGAAAAGAAAAATATTTATTGCCCACTGGGAACAGTGCAGACAATAAGTATTTTCAATAAAGAGGTTATAAGTTAACAAATAAATGAGTATTTTCTACCTTTATGAGGCTTGAGAGGTATACCTAGAGAATTTCTTTATAGTATTATCAGCATTTTTTATTTTAATACTAGTTGTGGAAATTCATTCTTATCAGTACTCTCTTTTGGTTCAGGAGAGGGATTGATGGATATATTTTTAATTACTTTAAAAGTGTTATCTCAGATATAAACATTTTATGTCATATCTTAATAAATTTGGAATTTGAGAAGTGGCCTTTGAATCCTTTCAGATTCTATAATTGCATCTTTCAATGAAAGCCAAATCTCATGTAAGAATAGAAAATATCACAGCTATTTAAAAAGTGAGAAACTGAAAAACAAATTCCAGAAAACAAGACATTTGCTGCATTGACTTCTAAATGCCCAAAGTTGCTATCAAGCCTGTGTGAAATTACAAAGTTTAAATTTTGTCTTTGGACTTGACAAAACAAAATACTTTTGTAATTTTATAAGAACTTTGTAAAATGGGATAAAAATAAGTGGAGACAATTGAAAATAAAAATACTTTCAAGAGGAATAGAATGTTTTAGGGGTATTTTTACCACTCTTTGAATACAAATCATAGTTTCTCTTATACAAATTCATCTGGGTTACTACTATTATTGCTTATTAGGATAAACTATAAAGATAAGGAATTTTTAAGGGTTTCATTGTATTAATGCTTTTTTTTGGCATGTAGTCGTTTTACCAAAATACCAGGGGTTCAGTCTTGGTCCTGCTGCTCACCACGTAAAAAGCCAATTACTGAGACAACAAGTATTGTCAGGGAAGAAGGCTTTAATCAGCTTTTGCAGCCGAGGAGATGGGACTGAGGATTATTTTGCAGGTAGATTGGGCCTGGTATGATTTGCCTTTGGTGGAAGTGGGAGACTAGAGAGAGAAATACTGTTTCAGAAGAAAGCTATAGTATTAGATTCCTTTGATTCCTGGGTGGCCATGAAATCACCTATAGCATGGAGCTACCCAGGACTCCCCTCCTCAGCATGAAGCAGCCAGAAATATGGATGACCAGATTCTCCATGATTGAGGAATTGTTAAATAGAAAGGCAGAAGTGAAACTGAGCCAGTGGCCCCATAGATAGGTTTTTTTAAATGTATAAACATAGAAATTGATCCTTCTGTGCCTGCAATCCCAGCTACTCTGGAGTCTGTGGCACAAGAATCACTTGAACCCTGGAGGTGGCAGTTGCAGTGAGCCAAGGTTGTGCCACTGCACTTCAGCCTGGGTGACAGAGTGAGACCCTGTCTCTAAATAAATAAATAAATGAGAAATTGATATTTCTGGTCTTAAGACTTGAAACCTAATTTGTTTTATCTGAGTTCCTTCCTCAGGAAAGGACCCCAAGTTTCAAAGAACTGATATTCACCAAATCACCACATCCAGAATGTGAGATACCAGCCCCCTCATTCATCATGATTGCTTCCTTGCCCCTCCCTAGTTTGTTTTCTTATACATTGTTACATTTATTCCCTGCTATATAAACCCTAGGTTTGGTTGGTTAGGGAGCTGGATTTCAGACTGAGCTCCCATCTTCTCAGCTGCAGCATCCAAGTAAAGCCTTCTTCCTTGGCAATACGTGTTGTCTCAGTGACTGGCTTTCCGTGTGGCAAGCAGCAGGACCTAGACGGAATTCCTGGTGTTTCAGTAATAGTTGTGCAGAAGGATTTTTATTAATCATATTTATAGTGCCTGTGAATGTCAAATATTTTTAGACATTTTTAAGCAGTTAAGGAAAGAATGTGAGGGTGGCAGATACCTGATACCTTTGAAGACTTGTCTGGTTACCTTGATCTCACCTTCAGGAAGGTCATCAATGACTTACACCTTAGAGAAGACTCTCACACACCTTCCTTTTAAGGTCTTCCATTGCACCGATTTACGTATAAGTGTATGTATGTCTGGTGGAAGTAAGTTTGCCTAGTGGACTATTAGAACTTGGGGTAGTGAGAGAACAGAGTCAATTTTAGGTTGGGATCACATATAATTTTGGGATAGTGGAAGGCTTGAGGGAAGGATAAAATGGAGTTGTCTAAACTTTTTGCTGGTTCTGAGACAATAAACTTTTTTAACTTCTCATATTGTTTCTTTCCTTTCTTAGCGTTTATATTAGTCAAGGTTTTCCAGAGAAACAGAAACAATAGGAGAGAGAGATATATATATCCTCTATATATATACCCTATATATATGTATATATATATACACACACCCTAAGTATATCCTCTATATATATCCTATATATATATATCCTCTAAATATATCATCTATATATATATCCTCTATATATATCCTCTCTATATATTTATATATATATCCTCTCTATATATATCCTCTCTATATATATATCCTCTGTATATATCCTCTATATATATATCCTCTATATATATCCTATATATATCCTACCTTATCTGATAGATATATATATCCTGTGTATATATATATCCAATATATATATCCTATGTATATATCCTATATATATATCTGATATATATATATCCGATAATGTATATATCCTATATATATATATTTATATCCTGTGTGTGTGTGTATGTGTGTGTGTGTGTGTGTGTGTATATATATATATATATATATATATATATATACATATACAGAAAGAGATTTACTATGGGGCATTTCTCACAGTATTATGGAGGTAGAAAAATTGCATAATCTGCTGTGTGCAAGCTGTAGACCCAGGAAAGGGTGGTGTTAATTCCAGTCTGAGTCTGAAGGTGTGAAAACCAGGAGCATCAACAGTGTAGGTCCTAGTCAAAGGTCTATTGCTAAGTAAACACTCCACAGGTAAGCCATATTGTATACTATGATTACATTTATTTCTGGTACAACTTTTATTTCTCATTGATTTAGTAATTGTCTCTTATTTCTAATTGTTTACTTTCTCTTATACCTCTTGCCCAATGACTTCCAGGCTCTCTGTTATAACTATAAATCATCTCATTCAAACTAATGAACAAAGTGGTATTTTATTAATGCATTTTTCTTAGACACATCAATTTTGGAACCCTCTGTCCTGCTGCTCATATCAGATGTGTTGCTCGCTAGGTCAGCTACTAAACCGCCATCCTGTGATATTTCCCCATCACCTTAGATAGTCTAGTTGCCTCTTTCTTTTTTCTATACCCTGTTTTCTTGATCTCACATATTCCTTTTACTTGGTTTACTCTTTAGGTTTACAGCTGGATACAGAACAATCTAATCAGCCAAAATAAAACTGATTCAAATTTGGACATGTTTAAAATGTTTAATAATAATACAAATTGGGTGTGTTAATTGCAACAATTAAAATCAGTTTTTAAGATGATTACTACACCCACCATGCTTTAATTTGGTTAATGTGAGGGACCCGCACACCACAGATTCTTGTTTCTTATGCTTTGATTGTGGGTTCTAAGTTAATGGCAGAAATTTTCTTTTCTATTTTATATCTCTATTTTGTGGTTAAACTTGTAATTTTCCTTATCTTCTGTCAGGGATATTAGCTACAACCACACATACAATACTGAGGTTACCAGAGTTCTTATCCTTGTCTCTTAATTCCTCTGTAGAAATATAAAAATAAACCTGCCATAGACAAACAGCCCAAGATTCTTGATAGTTACATAATTTTTATATTTTGTATATTTATATATTTTTATTATATATATTTATATAATATATTTTATATTTTATATATTTGTTTTCTTCATATCTTCATGTAGCTGCCAAATGCTGGCTCTTGTTTCTTTATAACATATAAAGAGAGCTACTCCTCAGTAGTATGTGGATGAGTACATTCAGAGATGGAAACATGGTAACACATTTCTGGAAATAGCTTGATTCACATTCAGATAAAGGAGTAAATGTACTAAATTGATGGCAATTATTTACTAATTTTCATTCTCTTCAAATAGAGTCCCTTAGCTCATATAGAAGACCAGAAGAACTGATCAAACCTCAGCAATTTATTTAATCATTCTGTGGGTCATCTCTTGTTATTTGGTTGTGTTTTCCCAGACATTCAGTAAATATAAATGAATAAGCAGTTACTTGACTGAATGGGACTCATCTTAAACACACTTTCAACCACTACTCTTATTTTCAAGACATCATTATTACACTTTCCGAGGTAGCTACTGACCTCAATTCTTAATCATTAAAGGCTTAATCCACACACATCCTATTGGAAAATTCAGTGTTTTTGTGTATCTCTTGCTTGCACAAAATGATACACAGGATAGCACTTTCTTATCTCATACCTACTAGAATGGAAACTATGGAGACAGGGATTTTGTTTTGCATGCTAATGTATATTAGGTGCTTTGAACAGTGTCTGATCCAAAGTAGGCTCCAATGAATGAATAGATAAATGAATATGGTATCTTATTTAATCCTGATAGTAGCTTTTTTGTAATGCTATTAAAAAGGTATTTTTGTTTTTTGTTTGTTTGAGACAGGGTCTCACTCTGTTGCCCAGCCTGGAATGCAGTGGCATGATCTCAGCTCACTGCAGCCTTGACCTAATAATGGGCCCAAGTGATCCTCTCATATCAGCCTTCTGAGTAGCTGGGACCACAGACATGTGCCACCACACCTAGCTAATTTTTGTATATTTGTAGAGACATGGTTTTACCATGTTGCCCAGGCTGGTCTGGAACTCCTGGGCTCAAGCAATCCACCCACCTCAGCCTCCCAAAGGTAACCAGACAATCCTCAACTGGGATTACAGGTGTGAACCACTATGCCCAGTCATCAAAAAGTTTAAGTAGTTTGTTCTTATTCTCATATGTACTAGTAACAATTAGCAGGTGGGATTAAAACTTAGATCTATATGACTCCAAGTTTATACTTTTAAAAATATTAAATTGGACTTAATTGAAAGTTTTTTTTCTGTTTAGAATAGTTCCTTACACATGGTAATCACAAAACATGGTAAAATGTTGAATGTGAGCAAAACAAACAAAAATAAACAAAAGAAGGATTCCTTATGTAAGTTTAAGACTCTTTTATTCATTAGTTTAAATCTGGATTCCATCTTTTACCCTGTCTTGGCATACAGCTTAATGCTTTTTTTTTTTTTAATTTTTGCTTAACACAATCTACTCCATTGTCTTCTTGTGAGACCTAGGAGAGTTGCCAAAGGGTGTGGTTGTCAGTGGTTAGATTTTTAGAAATCACTCATGCTGTTTACTTCAGCTTTCATTATAATTAAACAATGATCTGCTTTATACATTATCACTTGCCAAGCACTAGATAAAATATTATATCTGCATCTGATAAAATATAGAAGTAAAAAAAAAACTATCAATCAATTTCAGAAATGCTTGTTTTATCATCTCGATGTAGCATGAATAAGCTCAAAGGTACATGTAACTCATTCTTTCTGGTATTTAATGTGTTAAGCAGATCCTGTTATTTATTCCCCTAAAATAAATCACAATTAAAAATCCATTCTGCTGGGCTTGGTGGCTCACGCCTGTAATCTCAACACTTAGGAAGGCCAATGTGGGAGGAACACTTATGGACAGCAGTTTAAAAACCCATTCCTGGTTTAGTTAAGTGTTTTTTTTTTTTTAATTGAACACAGAGTTACCTTTATGATGGAATCACAGTGGTATCCTATAAAGAGCAATGGACTTGGCAAAGCTGATCTATATCTGAGTTACAGCTTGACCAATTGAGTGACTGTGAAACCTTTAGAAAGTCATGCCATTTCTGAGCTACAGTTGGTTCATATGTAAAATGTGGATCAAAATTTATGCATTAATTACCTGGATGCTGTTGTCAGCATTAGATGAGAGAAGGTATATGAAACAACTTATGTTTGTAAAACATAAGACAAATGTCTTTTATTAGTAATAGCATTTATATTCATGGCAACATTCTTGGTGATCTATTCCTAAGCCTTATAAATGGTAGAGTTTCACACTTTCACTATAACCAACATTAACCAATTCCACTTTCCCTTCTCATTTTTTATTTCCTACCTCCTTCTAAAAATAGATATGAGGCATGTTGCCCTAAAATAGGCCCATTATGATTAATAAAGCATAAATGAAAGGAAGTTTGAATAGTGAAAAGTGAATACTTACTAAATACTAGAATTAAGATGGGTAACACCATGACTGAGACTATAGAACATTAAGTTCTACAATCTGAAGTTTGGTAATGGTAATGGCCTGACATCAAGTAAATTTGAGTAAGAGATACAGATGTGGACAAAACACATATATTCTTATAAAATGCAATAAATAATTTTAAGGAGAAAAGCTGGATTCTATTATATTATTTTATAAATATCATAAAAGAATAACTAGATTCTATAAAACATAAAAAGTATTTTTGTTTTTGAGAGGGTGTTTTGTTCTTGTCACTCAGGTTGCAGAATAATGGCGTGATCTTGGCTCACCGCAACCTCCGCCTCCTGGGTTCAAGTAATTCTCCTGCCTCAGCCTCCCGAGTAGCTGGGATTATAGGCGCCTGCCACCATGCCCAGCTAATTTTTATATTTTTAGTAGAGACTGGGTTTCACCCTGTTGGCCAGGCTAATCTCGAACTCTTGACTTCAGGTGATCCGCCCGCCTTGGCCTCCCAAAATGCTGGGATGACAGGCATGAGCCACCACACCCAGCCAAAACTCTATTTTAATTTGTGAAGGGGGTCAGGAACATTTTGCTGTCTGAGGAAATGTTTGGGTGTATTTTAAACATTTATAATTTTCTAAAAACGAACCATCAGGACTTTAATTCATTAGTCCACTCATTCATTCAACTAATTAATATTTGAGAGTCTTTATGGATATAGAAAGAAAAATAATAATGGTTAACTTTTATCAAGCACTTATGTATGATGCTATGATATTCCTATGTATCAATCATGCATTGTGGTAAACACTTTAATTGTATAAACTTCTTTCATCCTTGTAATTTCTCTATAGGTAGGAAATATTAGCATACCTAATTTACAGGAGATGAAACTAAGGAAAAATAAAGTAAGTGACTAGCCTAACTTAGGTCAGTGGCTTGTAAGTGGCAATGAAAGGATTTCACTCCATAGTTAAATTTCTATTTGAGAATGATCACTCTAGCAGCAGCATAAGGAATAGACTGGAAGAGGTGGAGGTTATCAGTTAAAAGGAGGCTATAGTGATACTTGAATTGCAAACTCATAGGGACCTAAGATAAGACTCTGGAAAGTAGAAGAAGATATGGATTAAAAACTGCTTTCGATCAAAAATAAAGGATCTGGAGAACCACTTGTATGTGTGTTTTGAATGAGTAAGTTGTAGTTTAGATTGTTTTTCCAGATTTCTGACCAGATAGGCTGAATATATAATGATGCCATTCACATCACGGAAATCTAGGACTAGGATAGATCTTGGAGAAAACGTGATGTATGTAATGATTCAAATTGGGACATGAAGAGTTTGAGGTTTCTGTAAAATGGCAGATATTCTGTAGGCAGATTAATATGTGGGTGTGGAGTTTAGGAGCAAGTTTTGGGCTGGAAGTCTGGACTTCTTACTTAAAGCCAAGTGAATGGGTAAAGAAAATGGTATGTAGTAATAGTAATAAGTAAAGAGAGCTACAAAGGTTAATTTAGCTAAGATCAGAAAGTGAACATTGAATTTGACAATATGGAGGCATCTTTCACTTATTCATTCAACTAATATTTAATAAGAGGTTATTATCAAGCACCGTGCAGGAAACTAGGAATACAATTTTAGCAGAAGAGATATTGCCTCTGTCTTCATGACGTTTGATCTAATGGTGAGTATTCATCAAGTAATCATTCAAGTAACCACTCTGAATTTAGAGATATCAGCCTGAATAGTGGGAATTGCAGAAGAGAAGTCCCCAGTGAAAGGCATCTTTGAAGAGCCACATAAAATCAGCTTCCATATGGGTGTGTTCAGAGAGTGCAAATCAATTTAAGATGCCTCAGGTTCAAATATGATATTTATTGTCCTTTGGTCTCTTCTTTCCTAGTAATACCTTCCTTCTCCTATTCTTTTGGAAACCTAGGGGCAAAGTAGGGAGGAAGAAGGCCTGAAACAGGCCCTAGATAGGAGAAAGAACAATTAATTCTAAAATCAAATTTGAAGTTTTGATCAGTATCTTGAAACAGGGCGTTCTAATTATTGAGTAGAGACTGAGTTTGAGACTTAAACTAAAAGCATGACTACCTATTATTTAACAGTAAGCAGAAAAGCTGAGGAATTGGGCAAGGATTTGCTTAAAGGGCAAAGGAAAATGACTCTGAATGAATTTTTGAATTATCCATGGGAGGAAAAAAAATGTTATCTTTGCTGTTATGTCAGGAGCCACGCACTAGGGAGGGCTGCAGCACACTGAAGAGCTGATGAAAAGTGAGGGGTTCCTTTTCCAAAATATACATAAAAATAGGGGAAGTATGGAATGAGAGAGAGGTAGACTATGGAGAGGTTTGTTTGTTGTTTGTTTTTTGGTTTTTTTTTTAAGGCAAAGTCTCACTCTGTCACCCAGGCTGGAATACAATGGGGCAACCACGGCTTACTGCAGCCTTGACCACTGGGGTTCAAGCAATTCTCCCACCTCAGCCTTCTGAGTAGCTGGAACTACAGGCACATGCCACCATGCCTGGCTTATTTATTTTTATTTTTTGTAGAGATGGTGTATTAGTTCGTTCTCACGCTACTATAAAGAACTGCCCAAGACTGAGCAATTTATAAAGGAATAAGGTTTAATTTACTCAGAGTTCCACATGGCTGGGGAGGCCTCAGAAAACTTATAATCATGGCAGAAGGGGAAGCAGACACATCCTTCTTCACATGGTGGCAGGAGAGAGAAGCATGAGAACTGAGCGATGGGGTAAGCCGCTTATAAAACCATCACATCTCGTGAGAGCTAACTCACTATCACAAGAACAGGATGGGGAAAACCACCTTCATGATTCAATTACCACCCACCAGGTCCCTCCCAAGATATGTGGGGGTTATGGGAACTATAATTCAAGATGAGATTTGGGTGAGGACACAGCCCCACCATATCAGACACGGTCTCACTATATTGCCAGGTCTTGTGTCAAACTCCTGGGCTCAAGCAATCCTCCTGCCTTAGCCTCCCAAAGTGCTGGAATACAGGCATGAGCCACAGCACCTGATCATTATTTTTTTAACATTGAAAACAACATCTGAGCATTTTTGTATGCTAAGAGAAAACAATAGAGAAATGCTGATTTTACAAAACAGAGAGTGAATGATTCTTGTATGCATATTTATTCTTGAGTTACTTTAAGAATTTGTGCTTAAACAAATATTTATTTTTAGGTCATGAATATTAGCAGCATAACCAAGAAATTATGTGGTTTCTTTACCTTTGAAATTACCTTTCTTTTCAGAATGTTCAAGTTTATTCTCTGTCATTTGCAAGTCAAATAATTCGTTTTTCCAGGTAAAATTATTCTATTTTAATTGCAGGAACTTCATCTATAACTTAGGTCTTACATGGGATCTTGAAGCATTTAATAAATGTGTAAGCTCCATGACAAACTTTGTTTTATTCCCTTTTACTATATAAATTATATTCACTACAGCATTCCCAGTGGCTGGAGCCAGGAGCTGATGAATAGTATATGCTAAAATATATTGGGGGAATGAAAAATAGTAGCTGAAACTTAAGATATTGGATGAATAATAGCTAAGTGATAAGTCCTATATAGAAAACAGTTAATACCAGGTAACAGTCTGCTTGAGCCAGTCAGTTTTAAAAGTCAGAGATTAAGAAGACTGAAAGAGAATTTGATCTTCAAATGAACATTACTTATGTATTTATTCAATAAACTTTAATGTGAAGATTTACTTAATTTTATTAAAAAAGAGACTGATGAATGGGTTCACTTGTATTTTGCCTTCACGCACAAAAAAAAAACCTCTGTAAAATAGTTAAGACAGACAAGAAAATAAGAGGACAAATGTGTCTAAGTTACTGACATTAAGCCAATGTGGGAACAACAAAATCCAAGATTTGAGACAGAAAGATATTATGTAATATAAGTTTCTGGAGTCACTAAATTCCTTCAAATACTTTTAAAGAGAAGGCTATCTGTGTTCCAAAAGTACTGTCTCATTGTTTAGCCTGAGCACTACTCCCTTAAATACAGGAAATGATTTGAACTCAGTCATTGTAGACCTTTGCTTATTCATTCAGCCATACCACTGTTTTTTTTTTAATGTATGCAATTTAACAAAATGAGTATTATCATGAACTATATGGATATAGAATTCTGACACTGGAAATTGTGGGTTGAATTCAGCAGATTGATCATGATTACAGCTTTTTTATTGCAGTTTTTTCCTCTGTACTTTTATCATGTGAATGGCACCCCTATTTATTGTTAAGTATTTTCAAAATGTAACCACTGGTTTTAACTACAACTATTATTATATTTATAGAAAACTGGCAAAGCAGACGTAGGTTGTTATTCACAAAGTTACAGGTTCTCTATAAATAAAAGGTGAAAATTATCATACGAAAACTTACATTTTGCATATGAATTAAAAGAGCACAAGAGTGACACTTATTTCTTAAGATTTAAGATGTGAAAAGTAGCTGTTTAGGATTTTCAACTTCCATATTAAATAAGCCTTTCAATTAGGTTATCCTAGTGCTTCCTGTATACTAAACAATGATTAAACAAGAATAGGAAAGGTAAGTCACACATTCCCATTTGGGAGATGCTATTGTTAAATTATTTTCAGTAGTATTACTTACTTCCTTGAGTGAGGTTTTAAGCAGTGATCTATCCTAAAGATAGTATTTCTGAGGAAGAGATGTACTTTTTCCTTTCAGTCATTTTATTATTTTTTAAGGTATGCCATTCATAGTCTGGATTAGTAAAACAACTTCTTGTATATACTAAAACTAATTTGAGGAATATCTCAGGGTTTGCAGATTATTTAAACTCACACGTGCTTTTGCTGACAGTTTCAAGATTCCTCCTTTTCATGTCTCTCCTCACATTTCTCATTTGTTTTAGTGTTATATGTATTAGAAACAAAATCCCCTAATTGTTAACTCATAGCAGAAACCCTCAAAAACTCTCAACCCTTCCCATACTTCCTATGTACTCACCATTCCAGTATACCTAATTTTTGTGCACGTCAGTGGAGTCCTGCTTTGGAGAGTTGGGCTGTGGCTAGAGGTGGGAACATGAGAGAGCTGGAAGTGCTTGGAAGTTCATGGTTCTGGAGTGCCCTTCAGCCAATATCAGAGAGGAATTGGAGGATAAATACTTCAGCGTCCTCACTTGTTGGGTGGATAACTCCACATGGTCTCTCAGAGTTCTGCAGAATAGACCTCAGTTGCCCATAGTAATAATCAGCTATAAAATGCACCTTTCATTGTCTTTTTCCCCACTTTGTCGCAGTTTCTCACTCTCCTAATAATGCTTCTTAAAATCATCCTCTAAATAAACTTACACTGCAATTCTTGTTCCTGGGGCTGCTTTGAAGGGACCCAAACTAAGACATAAGTATTCGCAATTAGAACTTACATGTTAATGTAAGGTAAACACTATTCAAATTGATTGAAAAGATTAATAATGATAATTTAAAAATAGTGCCATTTTATTGAATGCTTGTTATGTAATTATGTGCCAATAACCAGTCTAAATGGTTTTTTACATATTATGTAATTCGCCCAGTATCTCTATAAGGTTGTATTATATTCCCATTTTATAAATGAAGAAACTAAGGCTTAAAGATAGTAAGTCATTTTACTGAGGCTCTATAGCTAGTAAGTATTAGAGCCAGGATTTGAAACCCGTGCTCTTGTCACTCAGCAGAAAGTCCCCACAAATTGCAAATTCTTTAAACAAATTAGGTCCCCTCAGGGAATATGAATTTATGTGTGTGTGTGTGTGTGTGTGTGTGTGTGTGTGTGTATGTGTATTTCAGGATGTATTTGTTTATATTTATCCTACAATTCTTGTAATATGTGTATCATTTTTATATTTCATCTGTTTTGTACTTAATATTGGTTCATTTTGCTAAAAGTTTCATGATAAATGCAAATAAAGACATTTATTTTCTTTAAAAAGTAATTGTATTTTGACCATGGACAATAGTAACCATTATAAAGAATCCTTCAAAAGAACAAATGAAACTTGAGGCTTGGTTGTCACATGAGTCATCCACCACCAGCAAACTTACATCTCCCAAGAATTAAGGCTTAAGTCCAATTGGTTGAAGTAATAAGATAATAAATCATTTACAGAAGAATCTTATTTTTGGTTTGCTAAAAAAAGGAGGAAGTTTTATTTTCTATAGAAATGGAGACAAAACTCATACTAACAAATTCCAGATTAAACTAATACTTGTTGGATAGCAAAGAACCTGGCTTTCTTATCCATCATTGGTTTAGAAGATTGTGTAATCATTGGAATTTTGCTGTGATAGAAACAGAAATATAATTGGGTCTCTGTATCTGCAGGTTCCACAGCCAAGAATCCAACCAACAACACATTAAAAGTATTTTTTAAAATAAGTAAAAAGTGACAATACAACAATAAAAAATAATACAAATAAAAACCAATATAGTATAATAACTGTTTATTGAGGGTTTAAATTGTATTAGGTATTTAAAATAACATAGAAATGATTTAAAGTATATGGGAAGATATACAGAGGTTATATGCAAATACTATGTCATTTTGTTATAAAGGAATTGAACATCCATAGATTTTGGTATCTGTGGGGGGCCCTTGAACCAATCTCCATGGATATCATTGGACAACCGTACCTATTTCCCTAGATATATGCAAAGTCAGAGGAAAAATAAAAAACAACTTTTTCATTTTAAATTCAATATATTTAAGCAAGTTTCTGTTGTAAAATGCAAAGTCAATATTTAAAAATGCAAATTCGTAGTTCATTTTCTAAAGGAAAGAATAATAACTATTAGTAAAAAAAAAAGAGGGTACTTTAAAAAGTGGTATGCAATTACCTATATGAAATTCTGCCAACAAAAATTTTACTTAGTGATCGTAGTTCATTTGTAAAACCAATTTTATCTTCTATAAAATGATAGAACACATATATCTCTCAAGTTTTAATAAATAGTGGCTCTTTTGTCATACTTTGCCTATAGTTAGTTACATACATATCTGTCAGTTCAACTAAAGTTTGATCTTCTTGGGGAAGGTATAATTTAATTATTCAATGAATATTTATTGTAAACCTACCTTGTGACAAATCATGTGCTGAACTTTACAAATACAAAGACAAACAAGTTGAGGCCTGAGTCCTTACAGAACTTGGAAAAGCAGAATGAGAAAGAAGATAACTAAAGATTAATATAATAAATGTCATGATAGCAGCATATACAAAGTTCTCAGAGGGTGGATAGTCAATCTAATTTTATAGAAGTGATGAGAAAGAGAGAGAGAAAAAGAGAGAGATTAGTTGAAATATGAATGTATACAAACTTAAAATAATATATATCTATGATATTAAAGATGGAGAATGTTAAAAACTTGGTAATCAAATAAAGTGAGTAAAAAAGTAACTTAAAATGGAATTTGGATGTGTAGCCTGGATTCATTGTAGAAGGGTATTCCTACTTCTGTTTAGTGCTATAGACAAGAAAATAATAGAAAAAAGGCTTAACAGGAAATTTTGAAGATTTTCAACATGTTGAGGACAAAGTGCCCATGGAACAAGCATGTGGAAATGCGAGGTGACGGGAAAGATCAGCAGATTTACCAATATGGGGGAACATCAAAAATTTCTGAGAGTAAATATAATTATCCCAGGACAGAATAGATGGAAACTCATCTAGAGCAGGGATCTTGTCTTGCTCACAATGCCTAAAAAGAGCATTTTTTAAATCGTATTGACTACCCTGAGAGGATGTGACAAACATTAAGAACAAGATACTAGGTAACTTCAAAATGTTGTAAGGAAAGGAAAATTGAATTATTCAACGGAATAAATAATCACAAATAAGATCAATGTAGACTTTTTCAAATGAAACCTGATAAACAGAAGTAGCAACTATGCCTTTGTATTCTTAGGACAGATAAATGTGCACATTGAGGTGGCTGGAAGATGGCCAAATAGGAACGGCTCCGGTCTGCAGCTCCCAGTGAGATCAATGCACAGAAGGTGGGTGATTTCTGCATTTCCACCTGAGGTACCCGGCTCATCTCATTGGGACTGGTTAGACAGTGGGTGCAGCCCACAGAGGGCAAGCTGAAGCAGGGTGGGGCATCACCTCACCCAGGAAGCACAAGGGGTCGGGGAACTCCCTCCCCTAGTCAAGGGAAGCCATGAGGGACTGTGCCATAAAGAATGGTGCATTCCGTCCCAGATACTAAACTTTACCCAAAGTCTTCACAACCCACAGACCAGGAGATTCCCTCAAATGCCTATACCAAGGGCCCTGGGTTTCAAAAACAAGACTGGGCAGCCATTTGGGCAGTCACTGACCTAGCTGCAGGAGTTTTTTTTTTCATACCTCAGTGGCACCTGGAATGTCAGCGAGACAGAACCATTCACTCCCCTGGAAAGAGGGCTGAAGTCAAGGAGACAAGTGGTCTAGCTCAGTGGAACCCACCACCACAGAGCCCTGCAAGCCAAGATGCACTGGCTTGAAATTCTCGCAGCCAGCACAGCAGTCTGAAGTCAACTTGGGACACTGAAGCTTGGTGAGGGGAGGGGCGTCCACCATTACTGAAGCTTGAGTAAGCAGTTTTCCCCTCACAGTGTAAACAAAGCCGTCTGGAAGTTGAAACTAGGCAGAGCCCACCACAGCTCGACAAATTCGCTGTAGCCAGACTGCCTTTCTAGATTCCTCCTCTCTGGGCAGGGCATCTCTGAAAGAAAGGCAGCAGCCCCAGTAAGGGGCTTATAGATAAAACTCCCATCTCCCTGGAACAGAGAACCTGGGGGAAGGGGCGGCTGTGGGCACAGCTTCAGCAGACTTAAACATTCCTGCCTACAGGCTCTGAAGAGAGCAGCAAATCTCCCAGCACAGTACTCGAGCTCTGCTAAGGGATAGACTGCCTCCTCAAGTGGGTCCCTGATTCCCATGTCTCCTGACTGGGAGACACCTCTCAGCAGGGGTCAAGAGACACGTCATACAGGAGAGCTCTGGCTGACATCTGGCCGGTGACCCTCTGGGATGAAGCTTCCAGAGGAAGGAACAGGCAGCAATCTTTGCTGTTCTGCAGCCTCCACCGGTGATACCCAGGCAAACAAGATCTGGAGCATACCTCCAGCAAACTCCAGCAGACCTGCAGCAGAGGAGCCTGACTGTTAGAAGGAAAACTAACAAACAGAAAGGAATAGCAATAACATCAATAAAAAGCACGTCCACACAAAAACCCCATCTGAAGGTCATCAATATCAAAGAACAAAGGTAGATAAATCCACGAAGATAAGCAAAATCCAGTGCAAAAAGACTGAAAATTCCAAAAGCTAGAATGCCTCTTCTCCTCCAAAGGATTGCAACTTGCCAGAAAGGGAGCAAAACTGGAGGGAGAATGAGTTTGACGAATTGACAGAAGTAGTCTTCAGAAGGTGGGTAATAACAGACTCCTAGTTAAAGGAACATGTTATAACCCAATGCAAAGAAGCTAAAAACCTTGAAAAAAAGTTAGAGGAATTGCTAACTAGAATAACCAATTTAGAGAAGAACATAAATGACCTGATGGAGCTGAAAAACACAGCACAATAACTTCTTGAAGCAAACACAAGTATCAATAGCTGAAATGATCAAGCAGAAGAAAGGATATCAGAGATTGAAGATCAACTTAATGAAATAAAGTGTGAAGACAAGATTAGAGAAAAAAGAATGAAAAGAAATGAACAAAGCCTCCAAGAAATATAGGACTATGCGAAAAGACCAAACCTACATTTGATTGGTTTACCTGAAAGTGACAGGGAGAATGGAACCAAGTTGGAAAACACTCTTCAGGATATTATACAGGAGAACTTCCCCAACCTAGCAAGACAGGCCAACATTCAAGTTCAGGAAATAGAGAGAACATCAGAAAGACTCCTCGAGAAGAGCTACCCCAAGACACATCATTGTCAGATTCACCAAGGTTGAAATGAAAGAAAAAAGTGTTAAGAGCAGCCAGAGAGAAAGATTGGGTTACCCACAAAAGGAAGCCCCTCAGACTAACAGCGGATTTCCCTGCAGAAACACTACAAGCCAGAAGAGAGTGGGGGCCAATATTCAACAATCTTAAAGAAAAGAATTTTCAACCCAGAATTTCATATCCAGCCAAAATAAGCCTTATAAGTGAAATAGAAATAAAATCCTTCACAGACAAGCAAATGCTGAGCGATTTTATCATCACCAGGCCTGCCTTATAAGAGCTCCTGAAGGAAGCACTAAATATGGAAAGGAAAAACTGGTACCAGTCACTGCAAAAACATAACAAATTATAACGACCATCAACACTATGAAGAAATTGCCTCAACTAACAGGCAAAATAACCAGCTAGCATCATAATGACAGGATAAAATTCATGTATCACAATATTAACCTTAAATGTAAATGGGATAAATGCCCCAATTAAAAGACACACACTGGCAAATTGGATAAAGAGTCAAGACCCATTGGTGTGCTGTATTCAGGAGACACATCTCATATGCAAAGACACACATAGGCTCAAAATAAAGGGATGGAGGAATATTTACCAAGCAAATGGGAAGCAAAAAAAAAGCAGGGGTTGCAAACTTAGTCTCTGATAAAACAGACTTTAAACCAATAAAGATCAAAAAAGACAAAGAAGGGCATTACATAATGGTAAAGATTTCAATGCAACAAGAAGAGCTAACTATCCTAAATATATATGCACCCAATACAGGAGCACCCAGATTCATAAAGCAAGTTCTTAGAGACCTACAAAGAGACTTAGACTCCCACACAATAATAGTGGGAGACTTTAACACCCACTGTCAATATTAGACAGATCAATGAGACAGAAAATTAACAAGGATATTCAAGACTTGAACTCAGCTCTGGACCAAGCAGACCTAATAGACATCTACAGAACTCTCCACCCCAATCAACAGAGTATACATTCTTCTCAGCATCACATCACACTTATTCTAAAATTGACCACATAATTGGATGTAAAACACTCCTCAGCAAATGCAAAAGAATGAAAATCATAACAAACAGTCTCTCAGACCACAGTGCAATCAAATTAGAACTCAGGATTAAGAAGCTCACTTAAAACCACACAACTACATGGAAACTAAACAACCTGCTCCTAAATAACTACTGGGTAAATAACGAAATTAAGGCAGAAATAAATAAGTTATTTGAAACCAATGAGAACAAAGACACAATGTACCAGAATGTCTGGGACACGGTTAAGCAGTGTTCAGAGGGAAATTTACACACTAAATGCCCAAAGGAGAAAGTGCGAAAGATCTAAAAATGACATTCTAACATCACAACTAAAAGAACTAGAGAAGCAAGAGCAAACAAATGCAAAAGCTAGCAGAAGGCAAGAAATAACTAAAATCAGAGCAGAACTGAAGGAGATAGAGACACAAAAAAACCTTCAAAAAAATCAATGAATTCAGGAGCTGGTTTTTTGAAAAAATTAACAAAATAGATAGACCGCTAGCCAGACTAATAAAGAAGAAAACAGAGAGAAGAATCAAATAGACACAATAAAAAAAGAGAAAGGGGTTATCAGCACTGATCCCACAGAAATACAAACTACCGTCAGATAATACTATAAACACCTCTATGCAAATAAACAAAAAATCTAGAAGAAATCTATCAATTTCTAGACACATACACCCTCCCGAGACTAAACGGGAAGAAGTTGAATCCCTGAATAGATCAATAACAAGTTCTCAAATTGAGGTGGTAATTAATAGCCTACCAACTAAAAAAAGTCCAGGACGTGACTGATTCACAGCGGAATTCTACCAGAGTTACAAAGAGGAGTTGGGGCCATTCCTTCTGAAACTATTCAAAACGACAGAAAAAGAGGGACTCCTCCCTAACTCATTTTATGAGGCCAGCATCACCCTGATACCAAAACCTGGCAGAGCCACAACAAAAAAACAAAGCTTCAGGTCAATATCCCTGATGAATATCAATGGGGAAATCCTCAATAAAATACTGGCAAACCAAATCCACCAGCACATCAAAAAGCTTATCCACCACGATCAAGACGGCTTCATCCCTAAGAAGCAAGGCTGGTTCAAATGACGCAATCAATAAATGTATTCCGTCACATAAACAGAACCAATGACAAAAACCACGTGATTATCTCAATAGATGCAGAAAAGGCCTTCAATAAAATTCAACACCTGTTCATGCTAAAAACTCTCAATAAACTAGGTATTGATGGAACATATCTCAAAACAATAATAGTTATTTATGACAAACCCACAGCCAATATCATAATGGGCAATAGCTGGAAGCATTCCCTTTGAAAACCAGCACTAGACAGGGATGCCCTCTCTTACCACTCCTATTCAACATAGTATTGGAAGTTCTAGCCAGGGCAATAAGGCAAGGCAAAGAAATAAAGGGTATTCAGATAGGAAGAGAGGAAGTCAAATTGTCTCAGTTTGCAGATGACATGATTGTATATTTAGAAAACCCCATCATCTCAGCCCCAAATCTCCTTAAGCCGATAAGCAACTTCAGCAAAGTCTCAGGATACAAAATCAATGTGCAAAAATCACAAGCATTCCTACACAACAATAATAGACAAACAGAGAGCCAAATCATGAGTGAATTCCCATTCACCATTGCTACAAAAGGGAATTAATTACCTAGGAATAAAACTTACAAGAGATGTGAAGGACCTCTTCAAGGAGAACTACAAACCACTGCTCAAGAAATAAGAGAGGACAAAAACAAATGGAAAAACATTTTATGCTCATGGATAGGAAGAATCAGTATCTTGAAAATGGCCATAGCGCCCAAAGTAATTTATAGATTCAATGCTATTCCCATCAAGCTACTGTTGACTTTCTTCACAGAATTAGAAAAAAAATACTTTAAATTTTATATGGAACCAAAAAAGAGCCTGTATAGACAAGACAATTCTAAGCAAAAAGAACAAAGCTGGAGGTATCACACTACCTGACTTCAAACTATACTACAAGGCTACAGTAACCAAAATAGCATGGTACTGCTACCAAAACAAATATATAGGCCAATGGCACAGAAGAGAGGGCTCAGAAATAATGCCACACATCTACAACCATCTGATCTTTGACAAACATGACAAAAACAAGCAATGGGGAAAGGATTTTCTGTTTAATTAATGGTGTTGGGAAAACTGGCTAGCCATATGCAGAAAACTGAAACTGGACCCCTTCCTTACAGTTTATACAAAAATTAACTCAAGATGGACTAAAGACTTAAACGTAACACCTAAAATCATAAAAACTCAAGAAGAAAACCTAGGCAGTACCATTCAGGACATAGGCATGGGCAAAGACTTCATGACTAAAACACCAAAAGCAATGGCAACAAAAGCCAAAATCGACAAATGGGATCTAATTAAACTAAAGAGCTTCTGCACAGCAAAATAACCTATCGTTAGAGTGAACAGGCAACCTACAGAATGGGAGAAAATTTTTCCAATCTATCCATCTGACAAAGAGCTAATATTCAGAATCTACAAGGAACTTAAAAAATTGACAAGAAAAAAACAACCCCATCAAAAAGTGGGCAAAGGATATGAACATACACTTTTCAAAAGAAGACATTTATGTGGCCAACAAACATATGAAAAAAGCTCATTATCACTGGTTGTTAGAGAAATGCAAATCAAAACCACAATGAGATACCATCTCATGCCAGTTAGAATAGCAATCATTAAAAAGTCAGGAAGCAACAGATGCTGGATAGGATGTGGGGAAATAGGAACGCTTTTACACTGTTGGTGGGAGTGTAAATTAGTTCAACCATTGTGGAAGACAGTGTGGCGATTCCTCAAGGATCTAGAACCAGGAATACCATTTGACCCAGCAATCCCATTGCTGGGTATATGCCCAAAGGATTATAAGTTATTCTACTATAAAGACACATGCACACATATGTTTATTGTAGCACTTCACAATAGCAAAGACTTGGAACCAACCCAAATGCCCATCAGTGATAGACTGGATAAAGAAAATGTGGCACATATCCACCATGGAATACTATGCAGCCATAGAAAAGGATGAGTTCATGTCCTTTGCAGGGACCTGGATGAAGCTGGAAACCATCATTCTCAGCAAACTAATACAGGAACAGAAAACCAAACACCACATGTTCTCACTCATAAGTGGGAGTTGAACAATGAGAACCCATGGACACAGGGAGGGGAACATCATGCACCAGGGCCTGTCAGGTGCTGGGGGGCTAGGGGAGGGATAGCATTAGTAGAAATACCTAATGTAAATGACGAGTTGATGGGTGCAGCAAACCACCATGGCACGTGTATACTTATGTAACAAACCTGCACATTCTGCACATGTATCCCAGAACTTAAAGTATAATAATAAAAAAACAGTGCAAATGATTTAGTGTGGTGAAAATTAAAGAGGCTGTTTTCTTAGGAAATAACATGGATTAAAAATGCAAATCTATTTAAGAATAATTTAGATAAGTTAATGAAAGTTAAGTTCACAGGTTATGGAGGGAAGCTTTGTATAGTAGCAGGAAAATTTTTAACCTTGTAAATGTACAACATAGTGAGCAGCCATCTTTCACAAAACAACTTCGTACTACTGGAAGAGAAAGAATATTGTAAGAGAACTTCGTTTGGGTATTATAATTATTTCATATTTATATAATTTTTAATAAAAGTGAATCAATAAGTGATTAATAAAAGTATACCTTGACTATCAGTTTTTAAAAGGTGACACAAATTTAGTCAATTATGAGTTTTATGAAAAGTAACTTGGATATTTATACAATAAAATAAAATATTGATCATCAACAGGAAGATTTTATTGAATTTGTATGTACACAGCAAAGTTAGTGAAACTTCTCTGGCAAATTTTATCAGAACATTACATGAACTAAGGCCAAAAAAATATTCAGCATGGTTTATCCAATTTTCCTGATATAATAAATTAAATCTCAAATCTACATCTGGTGATATGTTTTTCAGAGACTATCTTTAACTATAATTTTATATTTCCTAAAAAAGGTGTTTGAAGAAGCCAAAATTCAGTTGGTCTATTTCCTAGCATTCTTACTAGTGAATAAATTTTTGATTATTTGTGAAGTGAATTCAGAACAGACAAGCCACAGGGACTCAGATGAAGTCTCTGAATGCATTCGTGAGACTGAATTCTTACGGAGTGCCTAAACAACTCATTGAAGTTAAGTTCTCACCAAGAAGAAAGATAACTATCCATGGAATGATACAAGAAATAACACGTTATCACAATTCCTTCCTTAGATCAAAATTCCTTGAAGACAGGCATCATATTTTATGCTTCTTATGTAACCATCTCCACAATATTTAACACAGCACTGATTGTATTAGGTGCTCAATGAATACTCATTGAATGACTGATCAGAAACAATATTTTACTTAATAGATTTGGAAGGTACTCTTAAATTTATTTTACACCTGGTCATTTACTCTTTGCTCTTCCACTATTGATATTTATGTTGTACTAGCAATTTTTACTGTTATAAGCTACTGCCTACCCCTGTCCTTTTACCATTTCAGTCCCTTTAAGTCATTTTAAGTGATAACGAGAACAGATATTTTCATGTGTCAGAATTTTAAAAGTTTTGTAAATAACACCATACCTTTTGGAATTGTGGGATTATGGCTTTGGGGATCTCTAAAATCAGCTCAGGGAAAGATATTTGATGGAACTTTTTAAGCTACATATTTTTTCTCTAATTGCAACATTCCATAGACTCTAGTAGGTTTCAGTAAGTCTTCACCTTCAGCAGCATAACAGACATTAGCAGGAGAGATGGGAAGAGCAGGTCACCAATGTTACCTTTACCTTCAATTTGGCCTAGGAACACTCACATTTTTCTGTAATTATCTAATTCTTATGACATAAAATATCTTTTCTTGAGCAGTGCTAGGGTTTCAGGTAGCCTGGAGCTTTCTTTAACATCTTAGCACCAAAGGATTTGTTTCAATTTTTCCCTATAACCAGTGCAATTAGATTAGACAAGTACCTATCTATGTAAACCCTATATGTCAAGTTTAGGGTGAATTTGACTGCCAATTATTTTAAGATAATAGAAAATGCAGGTGATTGCTATGTGTTCAATATAATAAGTAAGAAAATTCAGGATGATAGAGTCCAGAAATGGTGCCTGGTTTAACAGAGGAGGTAATAAATAATATCAACCAAAGCAGGTTTGAAAATCTTTGCCAATCCCTATTGGCATCCCTTCAAAAAGCTTATTTATTTCCTACAACACTAATTTTAACCACCAAAGCTTGAATACTTGATATCTAATTAAGTGCTTAACCTATAAATTAGGTAGTAATTTTATTTAGACTGTGTAAGAAAAACATTAACAGCATTCAGTACTGTATTATATGGCCCTCCCATTTGGATTCAAGCCTCAACACCTCTTTTCCTTCTCTTATAGCACTTGCCGTCTATACCAAATCAGGACATTTTATAAAATAGTTTTGCAGTGAATGCACTTTCTTTTGTAACAAATAGAAATTAGTTTGCCTCCTTTTGGTCTTGCATCATAGTTCTACAGAGATCTGATTTGAGTATTACTTTTCTTAGCTGAGTTCAAAAAAACAAAGAGGAATACAAGAAGATTGTATAAAGTCCACTAGTGATGATGACAACGGCCTGGATGAGAAAGTAGTAGACCGATATCCAGCTTTTTAATAAAACTAGTGGTTGAATTGTTCTGGAAGAACAAAGTCTTGCTTGAAGCCATCTGTTTATAAAGACCTTTTCCTTGCTTTTTAGCCTGTCAGGTTCACTGAGGCCAGCCAGGGTTCAAGAGGCAGGGAAAGCCCATTTATAATGCTCAGGCAATCTCTGGTCACAGGTGAAAAATCAGGCAAAAGACAGAAAAGATGTAAAAAGTGCTCAATCAAATTATTTTAAAGTATTTTTTCATTCATTCATTAATTTTCATGGAAAGTTAAAAAAATAAAAAGAAACTACCTTTAGGCTTATACAGGATCCAAGTTCTTAGTGTTCCTTAAAATAGAAATGCTTATTATATTACAAATCATTTGATCCATGGAAATAAAGGTAGCTACTCATTTATTTCAGTTCCTGCCTCTTCCCAACTTGGTTTAGAAGAAACTACCTTTGCCCTCTTTGAACTAAAGTAAGGCAGCACGACTCTGACATGGGATAACTTCTCTAAAAGGACTGATTAAATCTCTCTTTTTTCTCAAGATGAAAAAGATCTTTAAAAAACAAACTGAGGTTTTAAATCTGCAGGTATTACATTCTCCCTTTGCATTTTCTTTAGTTCAATGTAGCATTTATGTGGTTTATTACAACATCTTTCATGTAGCAGATCTAAAAACCCCTTTGTGAAGTTGAAGATAATGGCTTAGTGTGCTATAGGTTTTAAAAGATCCTGTTTTTTAAGCCAGCAAGCAGCCCTTTGCAGAGAGAAGCTGCCATGCCAATGTGAAAAGTTTCTTTTTCTGGCTGTGATTGAATTCTCCATTCATTTTAGGAATTGCTTTCTACAAATACATTGTTTAATGGCCATTTTTTCCTCTCTGTCTAGGCCTAAAGCAGAAGTTGCCAAATTTAGGGGTAAATTAGAATCACCTGGAGTATTTACTAAACTATTTATTCCTGGGTCCCTCAGCTAATACACTGACCCAGTATCCTGGGGAGTGGGGCCCAGGAACCTACTTTTTAAATTATTATTATTTTTTTTTTTTTTGTGAGACAGAGTCTCACTCTTGTCGCCCAGGCTGGAGTGCAGTGGTGCGATCTTGGCTCATTGCAACCTCCACCTCCCAGGTTCAAGCAATTATCCTTCCTCAGCCCCCTGAATAGCTGGGATTACAGGCACCTGTCACCCTGCCTGGCTAATTTTTGTACTTTTAGTAGAGACAGGGTTTTCCCATGTTGGCCAGGCTGGTCTTGAACTTCTAACCTCAGGTGACCCACCTGCCTTGGCCTCCCAAAGTTCTGGGATTAGAGGCATGAGCCACCAGGCCCGGCCCAGGGACTTACTTTTTAAGTGAGCACTCAGTTGAGTTTGATGCAGGGGGGTCATTTAGAGAAACACTGGCCAAAACTAATTCTAGAAAAACGTGAACATGAAAGTATTAAGGAGTTTTCTTTGTAAGATATTTTCTAAGCCTGACTATTGAAATCTCTTTTACTCCAAATGTCATAAATAAAGCAGTAAATTATTTTTTAAAGGAAAAAAAAAGACTTAAGAGAATGTGCCACTAATTGGCTTGCAAATGAGTATTATGAAAATTATGCACAAACATGAAATGAAAAAGCAAATTAATTTACTTGTTGATTACAAGGCACTACAGAGACTTCATGAAACCTAATTATATGTCATGAAATTCAATTCTTGCAAAGAGTCTTGGTAAAGATAAAACTACAGATTATAGTGTAGATTAATAAGATTCTTTTGTGTGTTCCAACTTGTTGGCTGTCAAGTCAGCATTATGCTACATGCAGAGATGCCAAAATGCCTACCATTCTATTATAAATGTTGGCATGCTCTCCACTCAGAAACCTAACACAGACCTACATCATTCCCTACTTGAGTTCAGTTCATGGCCTGTTGAAGGGAAAAATGATAGTAGGCCCTTGCTGGCAGCACCTGGAGACCAGGCACACCTGGAGACCCTTCAGTGAAACTCAGGAATGGGAAAGAGAATAGAAAACATCTCAAGTATTCTGGTGAACCACACAGTGATGCTGCTCAAACCTGATTGGCCAGCTGCTGGTAATGTTGCCAGCTATGGAGAATTGGCAGGCTATCTACACACCTTGAGAAATGACAAACTATACCTGCTGTAGTTCCACGTTACATAAACAGACCCCTAAAGAAGTTAATTTGCATATACACATGCTTGCTTAGCTGGTTTTAGTGTCAAAGTCTTCAGAAGTTTTCAACTCTGTGAAATCTAATATTGCTAAGGAAAATGAACTATCTTTGAGTCAATCAATTATAACAATAGTGAAGAAATTAGAAGAAGTATAGTGAGGTGAATAAGAAAACAGGCTCTGCATTTAGAATGCTTAAATTAATAGACTAGCTCCACCAGTTTCTACCTGTGAGCCACTGAGCATATTAACGCAATATTCTGTGTTTCAACTTCCTTATGTATAAAATGGAGAGAGGAGACATCATACTTATGATATGAAGTATCATAAAATTCTTAAGAGGATCAAATTAGTTAACATGTATAAAGCACTTATCATAGTGCCTGGCACAGAATAGGTGGCTCAATAAATGTGAGCTTTTAAAAAAACTGTTGTTGTTGCTGTTGCTATTGTTAGAGGAAATAGGTGGAAAATGTATCATTCTTAACTTGAAAATGTTTTAAACCAACTATATTGAGGTACACTTTGCATATAACAAAATGTACAAGTTTTAAGTGTATAATTCATTGATGAATGTATACAGCTATATAACCAGTATTCCAATCAATACATAATTTCCACCAGGCATGGCTTATGCCTGTAATCATAGCGATTTGGGAGGCCAAGATGAGGATTGTGTCAGGCCAGGAGTTCAAGACCAGCCTGGGCAACATAGTGAGACCTTGTCTCTAAAAAAAAAGAAAAAAAAAATTAGCCAGGCAAGATAAGTCACATGATGTAGGAGTTCCAGCTACTCAGGAGGCTGAGGCAGGAGGATTGCTTGAGCCCAGGAGTTTAAGGCTGCAGTAAGCTATGATTGTGCTGCTGCACTACAGCCTGGGTGAGAGAAGAGAGCAAGACCTTATCTCTAAAGTAAGATATATATATATATTCCATTATCCCAGAACATCCCCTAATGTGCTTTGCAATTTTTCACACACCCCACCTACACCCAGGGAAACAGTCTGATTTCTAAAACCATAGCTTTACTTTTGACTATTTTAGAACTTTATATAAATGGAATCATATAGGATTCACTCTTTTGTGTCTGGCTTTTTTTAGTCACCATGATAATTTTGAAATTCATCTTCAATAGTGAGGTAAATAAGAAAACAGGCTCTGCATTTAGAATGCCTAAATTAATAGAGTAGCTTTATTGGCACTGGGAGTGGGGCATTGCTGTAAAGATATTATGTAAATCATAGTTCCTTTGTAACAGAATATTGCTAAATATTCTATTTTTTAAATATACAACAGTTTGTCCAATAACGTGCTGATGAACATGGAGGTTGTTTTATATAGATTATTCAGGTTTTTGTTATTATGAATAAAACTGCTGAAACACTCTTGTATATCTCTTTTTGTGAATATATGTTTTCATTTATTTGGTATAAATGACTAGAAAGGGAATTGCTGGGATATAGGTTATATGTATGTTTAAGTTTATAAGAAACTGCAAAGTATTTTCCAAGGTAGCCCCATTTTACACTCCCACCAGTAATGTATGAGAGACCTTTAATCCAGATCCTCAATAATCGGTGTTGTTATTTTAATTTTAGTCTCGTAATAGTACAATGTGATATCTAATATGGTTTTAATTTGTATTTTCCTAAAAACTAATAATGTTGAGTACCTTGTTATGTATATTTTAGAAACTCCTATATTTTCTTTTTTAGATTTCTCTACAAATCTCTTGCACATTTTTTATTGGCTTGTACTTTAATTACAGAGTTGGATGGGTTATTTATGTACTCTGAATATATAAAGTGAATTATTAACACAGCCTCTTTATTGTCTCAGTGATGTCTCCTTAGAGTTTAATTTCGATAGAATATAATTTATATATATATTTTTGTTTTACGGTTAGAGCTTTTTACGTCCTAGGAAATTTTACCTATTGCAACATTGTAAAGATATTCTCCTCTATTTCTTATAGAAACTTTAGTGTTAGCTTTATATTAGGTCTATGATTGATACAATTTGAATTTGTAACTCCATCCAAATCTCATGTTAAATTGTAATCCCCAATGTTAGAGGTGATTGGACCATGGGGGTGGACTTTCCCCTTTGGCACTGTTCATGATAGAGTTCTCAAGAGATCTGGTTGTTTAAAAGTGTGTAGTACCCCCCACAACCCCCCTTGCTCTGGCCATGTAAGATGTGCGTGCTTCTCTTTTGCCTTTTGCCGTAATTGAAAGTTTCTTGAGGCCTCCCCAGAAGCCATCAGGCTTACTGTACAGCCTGCAGAACCATGAGCCAATTAAACCTCTTTTCTTTATAAATTACCTAGTCTCAAGTATTTCTTCATAGCAGACGAGAACTGACTAATACAGAAGATTGGTACTGGGAGTGGGGCATTGCTGTAAAGATACCTGAAAATGTGGAAGCTATTTGGAACTGGGTAATGGTCAGAGGTTGGAAGTGTGGAGGGCTCAGAAGAAGATAGGAAGATAAGGAAAAGTTTGGAACCTCCTAGAGATTCGTTGTATGGTTGTGACCAAAGTGCAGATGGTGATATGCACAGTAAAGTCTAGGCTGAGGAGGTCTCAGATGGAAATGAGGAACTTATTGGGAACTGAATCAAATGTCACTGTTGTTATGCTTTAGCAAGAACTTGGAGGCATTGTGCTCCTGCCCTAGGGATCTGTGAAACTTTGAACTTGTGAGTGATGATTTAGGGCTTCTTTTTTTCTTTCTTTTTTTTTTTTTTTCTTCAAGACAGAGTCTTACTCTGTTGCCCAGGCTGGAGTGCAGTGGCATGATCTCAACTCACTACAACCTCTGCCTTCCAGGTTCAAGTGATTCTCATGCTTCAGCCACCTGAATAGCTGGGATTACAGGCATGCTCTACCATGCCCAGCTAATTTTTTAAAAAGATTTTAGTAGAGATGGGGTTTTGCCATGTTGGACAGGCTGGTCTGATTTAGGATTTCTGGCAGAAGAAACTTCTAAGGAGCAAAGCATTCAAGGTATGGCCTTGATGCTTCTAACAGCCTATGCCTATAAGCATGAGCAAATAAAGGATGTAGGACTGGAACTTATATTTAAAAAGGGAGCAGAGCATAGAAATTTGAAGAATTAGCAGCCTAGCCACGTGGTAGAAAAGGAAAGCCTGTTTTTAGGGGAGGAATTTGAAAAGGCTGCAGAAATATGCATAGCTGAAAGGAAGGCAAATGCTGATAGCCAAGACAATAGGGAAAATACCTTGAAGTCATTTCAGAGACCTTCATGGCAGCCTCTCCTATCAGAGGCCTGGTGGCCTAGGATAGAAGAGTGGTTTCATGGGCCAGCCCCAGGACCTTGCCACACTGCACAGCCTAGGGAAACTGGTCCCCACATCCAGCTTCAGCCATGGCTCAAAGAGGCCAGGTACGGCTTGGGCCACTGCCCCAGAGGGTGGAAGCTGTAAGCCTTGGTTAAGCATGCAGGTGTGCAGAGTGCAAGACTTGAGGTTTGGGAGCTTCTGCCTGTATTTCAGAGAATGTATGGAAAAGCCTGGATGTCCAGACAGAAGCCTGATACAGGGGTGGAGCCTTCACAGAGAACCTCTATTAGAGCAGTGTGGAGTGGAAATGTGGGATTGGGGAGCTCCACACACAGAGTCCCTACTGGGGCACTGCCTAGTGGAGCTGTGAGAAGACAGCCACTGTCCTCCAGATCCCAGAATGATAGATCCACCAGCAGCTTGCACCCTGTGCCTGGAAAAGCTGCAGGCACTCAATGCCAGCACTTGAGAGTAGCCTCAGGGTCTGAGACCTGCAGAGCCATAAGGGCAGAGCTGCCCAAGGCCTTGGGAGCCCACTTGTTACATCAGTGTGCCCTGACTGTAGAACATATAGTTGAAAGAGATTATTTTGGAGCTTTAGGTTTAATGACTGCCATACTGGGTTTCAGACTTGCATGGGGCCTATAGGTCCTTTCTGTTGGCTGATTTATCCCTTTTGCAACAGAAGTATTTACCCAATGCTTATACCTCCATTGTATCTTGAAAGTAACTAACTTGTTTTTGATTTTACAGGCTCATAGACCGAAGGGACTAGCTTTGTTTCAGATGAGACTTTGGACTGTGGACTTTTGAGTTAATTCTGGAATGAGTTAAAATTTTGAGGGACTGTTGGGAAGACATGATTGTATTTTGCAATGTGAGAGGGACATGAGATTAGGGAGGGGCCAAGAGCAGAATAATATGGTTTGGATATATGTCCCCACCCAAATCTCATGTTAAATTGTAATAACCAATGTTGGAGGTGAGGCCTGGTGGGGGGTGATAGGATCATGGGGGCAGATTTTCCCCTTTGGTGCTGTTCTTGTGGGATAGTTCTCATGAGATCTGGTTCTTTAAAAGTTTGTAGCACTCCTCCCTTCTTCCTGCTCTGGCAATGTAAGCTGTGCCTGCTTCCCCTTCACCTTCCACCATGATTGAAAATTTCCTGAGACCTCCCCAGAAGCTGTCAGCCTTTCTGTACAGCCTGCATAACCAAACCATGAGCCAATTAAACCTCTTTTCTTTATACCAGTCTCAGATATTTCTTCATAGCAGCATGAGAACTAATGCAATGTTACATCTTGAATTAATTTTTAGCTGTAGTAGAAATTGAGTTTTGTTGTATTTTTCTATGTAGTCAGTTTCCCCAACATAATTTGCTGAAAAAATTATTCTGCTTTTGATTACATTGCTACTTTATAGGAAAGATCAGTTGACCATGTAGGTGTGTGTCTATTTTTAAACTTGTTATTCCTCTATTTACCTACTTTTCTCTTTGCTACCACATTCTCTTGACAAATGTAGCTTTATATTATGCATTGAAAAGAGGGAGCAGTTGTTTTGGCCATTCTATCAATTATTTTGAAGGGGCGGGTTAAAAATCTCCACCTATGATTGTGGAGTTTCCTGTTTCTCCCATTAGTTCTGTTCATTTTGCCTCATATATTTTTAAGCTCTGTAATTAGATGAGTACACACTTAGAATTATGTCTTTCTGACTAGCCAATTATTTTGTCATTACAAAATAACTTTCTATCTCTGATAATGTTTGTTGTATTGAAACATTCTAGTTGTATTAAATTTTTCAGTCTTAGTGACTGGATGATGTATTTACATTTTTATCCTTTTATATCTGACTTGTTTCTGTCTTTATATTTAAAGTATATCTTTTTCAAATAGCATCTGATTGAGCTTAAGATTTTTTTTTTTTTCTGAGACAGAGTCTTGCTCTGTTGCCCAGGCTGGAATGCAGTGGCACAATCTCAGCTCACTGCAACCTCCGCCTCCCAGGTTCAAGTGATTCTTGTGCCTCAGCCTCCCAAAGAGCTGGACTACAGACATTCACCACCATACCTGGCTCATTTTTTGTATTTTTAGTAGAGACAGGCTTTCGCTATGTTGGCCAGGCTGGTCTCAAATTCCTGGCCTCATGTGATCTGCTTGCTTCAGCCTCCTAAAGTGCGAGGATTACAGGTGTGAGCCACCATGCCCAGCCAAGCTTAGGATTTTTAAATAGTTTGACAATCACTCAACTACCTTCGAGGATTTTATTCTAACTCTTCTGATAGGTTTTTTTTTGCTATACCTATGATATCATTTTTAGTGGTTGCTGTAGAGATTATGATATATGTATTTAACTTATCAAAGTCTATTTTAATTAACATTACACCACCACATATAAGAACCTCACAACAATATAATTCCAATTATTTTTCTGCTGTCCTTTGTAATGATGTCATATGTTTATTTCTACATATGTTATAAACCCCATAATACATTGATGTTAAATTTTTCCTTAAATAATTAACTGACTTTCAAATATTTCTTAAAAGATAAAACTGTTTTATATTTACCCACATATTTACTATTTCCTTTGCTCTTCATGGAATGGTGCACTTCAGGTAGTGGTCTGACCTTTTAAAGACATATAGAAGTATACATAGAAATGACGCTCTGCAATAATAAAATGCTATGCAGTTCCCCAAAGTTAAAGCCTCAAACAAAGACTCCAGCTCAAGCAATTTGTTAGGGAAGTGTTCTCAGGAGAAGGGACGTGATTGAAGCAGGACAGGGTGGGGTGGGGAGAAGCTAAATGAGACTCTGGTTTGAGCTGGAGACTAATTTTAAATCTGATCTCACGGGGAACATCTGCAGCACAAATTGTATCACATAGTTCTATACTGAGCAAGGGTGCTTATCTTTTGTACATTGCATGGGTCAATCATTGGTTAAAGACAACTCCCCTGCCCCTGGAACAGAGGTGTGCATAGCCTCCTGGGCTAAGTGGTTCCTGTTAGCTGAAGGCTATTCTCTAGTGAAAGGTAGATGTGGTTTGTTATCAGTCAGAATCTGACTGGGGCACCAAGACATGCGCTATAGGGCTATCCTTTAGGTGTATTACATACCTTAAAATTCACTCACTGTTTATTGATGTGTCCCCAGTAGGTAGAATATATAAGTTCAGAAATAAAGGGGTGAAAATAGGACTGTCCCCCTTTTATCCTCTCTCCCAGTGAACTACATGGGGAAGTTGTGTTTCTTGTCCGCAGAAGTTTAGGCTCTGTGTGTCTTGACATCTTGATTAGGAGTGGGAGTGAGGTGCTTCCACCAAGGGATAAAATAAAAGTCTGTATAAATTCAAAGCCACACCTGCCATCTGGTCACTTTGTTCCTTGTTCCTGTAAAACAGCAGGCACAGAAAGGACACAAACTGGCAGGTGAAATTGATCCTTATCTTCCTGAGGTAGCATGACTGCTGCTGTGCGTGGAGGCTGGGTAGAATGTGCCTAATTCAAAGGTGATCCAATGGGGCATTTTTTGATGGCTTTTTGCACTGTTTTAGTTCCATAATGGCATGTAAAGCAATCATGGTTTGATAAGACCATGATAACCAGAAGTTCAGCCCCCTCAGGGATGAGGATATGGGTCACCTCACTAAGCAAACCATTAGAAAATAGAATTGCTATCTTAGGGTGATGGAAAGATAGAAGATGAGTATTAATTATGTCATTAAATCAACTGCAGTCATGGAGACACTATTAATCCCAATAATATTCCCTTTATAGGTTTTGCCAGGAATTGAAATCATGTTCCCCTGGAGATGCTGTAATTAGTTGGAATGAACTTAATGTGAAAAACAGGTGAATTTGAGTGGTGAAAGGGGTGGATCATAACAGTCTCTAGGGTGACTCAGGGAGTCACCCTCTCAGACTACTTTACTTGGCTGGTGCTTGCATCCCCCAGCTGATGTGTTTGGCTGTCTCTCTTTTCCAAAGAATTGCCCTAGTTTGGTGGGCTGATGGGAGTTGACTCAGAAAGTAGCCTCCACTGGCCCATAGACAATAACTGACTTAAATAGGGTTCAAAAATCTGATACTTTTGTTTCAAGAGGAAACAACACTGCAGTGAAATTTATGTTTTAGCTCCCTTTTTCTTTCTGCTCCCTGCATCAGACTAAGACTAGAATTTATAATAACTGAGCCTATATCCACGCATATGAATTCCTACCTCAGGTTCTGCTTCTAGGAAATCTGAGGTAAGACAGGGTGAAAATCAGCTTCTGTGCTCCACTTATTTCTTTGAGTTTTTGCTTTTGCTTCATTTTTGGCCTCTAGAGATTCTTTAATTTCTCGCCAGCTGACAAAATATGTTTTGAAAGATTTAAAAATATTTTATTCAGCAGAAGGGTTAGTTTGGGTATCTATTATAGTTCTATAGTTTCCCCATGGAAAATGGGTCACTTTATCTCTGCTGCTGTTTTATCCAGATCATTTTCTCAGTTATAATCTTTATCAAGCACTTACAATATACCAGGCACTTACTATATATGTTGCTTTACAGATAAAGACAATAGGACATAGAGAGTTTAAACAACTAGCCCTGGGTCATGTAGCTAGTAAGTGGTCAAGCTAGTAAGTGGTTAAACCAGGATTCCACTTAGCAGTGGGGCTTCCAGATTCATGAAACTCTACTGTCTCTAAGTAGGAGATCCCTAGCTAAATTCTTCCATGATTGTTTTACATGGCAGTTTTGTGACTACAAAAGGGTTTAGAAAGTGGTTTCCTGTCACCCAACACATGTTTTATAACATGCAGGTCTACATTGAGTTGTATATGGAGGGAGAAAGTTCTGTGAACTATCTGGATTTTTTGCTATCCAAATTGTGCCTAACCCAAGGGTTTTCTGCAGCTACTGTGTGGCAATAAATTATACTTTTAGCAGTTTAGATCTGCAATAGGAGTAAATACTGCATCAGGACAATAATACCACCAAAACAATAATAACTGAAGTTAAAGATTTGTGTTATTTTTTGTACCATTTTGTATTATATTATTATGAATAAGTTTTTCTTGAAAAACTACTATCTGCCAGTAATTTTCAAATATTATCTGTAAAATATATTACAACTTTTTAAGAAAACATTTTTCAGGCATTGAATAAGTATTTGTTAAATGAATGATGAATAAAATGTAAAATCACATTAGTCAATGGGCAATAAACAAATAAATAAATAAATAAAAACAAGGAGTTTAAGCAAAGTCAGAGCTGCACAAATACATTGGAGAAAGTTCCTCTTACAAGAAAGAAAGATACCCAAGTATTATAGAATTCAGTAATGGAGAAGAGACTGTCTTCTCCTCATTGTGTATTCTTGACACTCTTATCAAAAATCAGATGACCATACATGCATAGTTTACTTACTAGAACAGAGAGCTCAGAAATAAACTATGCATGTACAGTCATCTGATTTTATCTGTCTGTTTTTATGTCAGTACCACACTGTTTTGATTACTGTAGCTTCATAATGTAATTTGAAATCAGGAACTATGATGCCTTTGGCTTTGTTATTGCTAAAAATTATTTTAGCTATTCATATCTTTTGTGGTTTCATATAAATTTTAGGATTGTTGTTTTCTATTTCTGAAAAGAATTCAATTGAGATTTTTATAGAGATTGCATCAAATCTATATATCACTTTGTGTAGTATATACATTTTAACAATATTAATTCTTTTCATCCATAAACATGGTATGTATTTCCATTTGTTTGTGTTTGCTTTAATTTCTTTCATCATTGTTTTATACCTTTCAATGCACAAGTTTTTTATCTCTTTGTTTAAGTTTGTTGCTAAGTATTTTATTATTTTTCATGCTAGTGTAAATGAAAGTGTCTTCTTATTTTCTGTTTTGGAAAATTCAGTTAGCATATAGAAATATAACTGATTTTTGTACATTGATTTTTTGTCTTGCAACTTTGCCAAATTTATTAGTTCTAATATTATTAATGAAATCTTCAGGGTTTTCTTGATATAAGATTATACTAACTGCAAACAGAGATAATTTTACTTCTTCCTTTCCAATTTAGATGCCTTTTATTTCTTCTTATTGCCTAGTTGGTCTGGCCAGAGCTTCCAGTATTATACTGAATAGAAATAGTGAGAGTGGGCATTCTCACCTTGTTCCAGATCTTTACAGAAAAGCTCTCAGTTTTTACTATTAAGTATGATGTTGCTGTAAGCTTTTTATACATGGACTTTATTGTTTGAGGTAAGTTCCTTCTATACCCAATTTATTGAGATAAATGGTGTTGGAAAAGAATAAAATTAGACCCTTATCTCACATCATACACAAAAATCAACTCAAAACGGATTTAAGACCTAAATATTAGACTTGAAACTGTAAAAATCCTAGAAGAAAACATAGAGAAAAAGTTTCTGGTTATTGACCTTGGCAATTATTTTTTGGATATAATACCAAAAGCATAGACAAGAAAAGCCAAAATAAAGAAGTTACATTGCATCAAACTAAAAACTTTCTGCACAGCAAAGGAAACAATCAATAAAATAAAAAGACAACCTGTGGAATAAGAGAAAATATTTGTAAACCATGTATCTGATAAAGGGCAAATATACAATTTATTAAGGGACCCTTACAACTCAATAGCAGTAATACAAACAAACCAATTTAATAATTGGAGAATGAACTGAATAGACCTTTCCCCAAAGAAGATATACAAATAGCCAACAGATTTAGAAAAGAAAATGTTCAACATCATTAATTACCAGGGAAATGCAAATAAAATCCCAATGTGATATAACCTCACACTTTTTAAGATGAATTTTATTTAAAAAAACAAAGAAAACATATATTTTAAGAGAGCAAAACAAAAGATAACAAAGCCAACAAGGCTGTGGAGAAAAGGGAACTCTAGTACACTGATGGTGAGAATGTAAATTGGTACAGCTAATATAGAAAACAGCATGGAAGTCTTGAAAAACTAAAAATAGTACTGCCATATAATCTAACAATTCAATTTCTGGGTATATATCCAAAAAGAATCTAGAAAAAAGTCAGAATTTCAAGGAGAAATCTGCAATCTCATGTTCATTGCCACATTATTGATAATAGCCAAGACATGGAAGTAACCTAAATGTTCATTGACACATGAATGGACAAAGGAAATGTGGTATAGTCCTACAATGTAATTATTGTCTAGCCTTGAAGAGGAAGGAAATTCTGGTATATGCTACACCATGGAAGAACCTTGAAGACATTAAGTGAAATACGTTAGACAGGAAAACAAATACTACATGATATTAACTACATGATATTACTTATGTGATAAATTTAAACTAGTCAAGCTTAGAGAAGCAGAGGGTAGAATTGTGGTTTGCAGAGGTTGCAGAGAGGGAAACAGAGAGGTATTACTCAAAAGTATATAGTTTAAGTTATACAAGATAAATAAGTCAGAGATCTGCTGTACAGCATAGTGTCTATAGTTAATAATTCTGTATTGTATACTTAAAAATTTGCTAAGGATGTACATCTTATGTTAAAAGTTCATATCACAAATGACAACAGTAATAAATAACAAAGAAGGAGGAAACTTTTGGAGATAATGGATAGATTTATGGCATACATTGTGGTGATAATTTCACAGAGGTATACTATCTCTGAACTCATCAGATTGTATACATTAAATGTGTACAAGCTTCACGGTTCAAAAATTAAATTAAAAAAGAATGTTGAGTATGAAAAAGAAAAAGAATTCAGCAATGGGGAAACAGATTTCTGCAAAGTTTCCTAGTATAATCAGACTTTTATTCTCAACATTCTCTTGAAACTGTTCCTTTGAAGGTTTTTAGTGGGGCCTATGTTACATTATTTAATGTTCCACGTTAAGGCCTCATATTCATCAGTATTATTTCACACAATTGATGATTCCCTCTTTTTGGAAATGCTTTTTCTACTTGGTCTCTAGGACACTGCTCTGTTGGTTTATTTCCCACCACCCTCGTCATTCCTCCACAGTTTCCTTTGCTGGGTCTTTCTCAACTTCCCACCTATATACGTTGAAGTTCCCAGTGCTCATCCTTGCATCCATTCTCTTCTCCTCTTCACTCATTTGATTAGCAATCTTATTCCAGCCCACATACATATGCCCAGCCTGGCTCCCCACTTGCAATTAAGACTCATATAATCAACTACCTACTTAATGTTTCCTCTGGGGTCTCATTGCTACACTTCAGCTCAAGTCTAGGATATTACAATAGCTTTCTACTTCTACTCTTGTGTCTATTCCCACATGGCAGCCAGAGTGACCATTTAAAATACAAATCAGATCATGTCTCTATTCTGCTCAAAACTTCCAATTGCTTTACTTATTACTCAGAATAAAAAAAAGAAACCCTTCCCATAGCCATTAAGGTTCTGTGTAATTTGGGTGTTACTCCATCCTATGTCCCCACCTCTTTGATCTTAATTCTTTTTTTCACCTGGCTTGCTTTTCTTCAACCATGCTAGCCTTATTGCTAATCTTGGAATATGCTAAACACACTATTTCCTCAAAGTCTTTGTTCTTTCTGCTCTCTTTGCTGCAACAGTCTCCCATTATATAGCCATTGACTGCCTGCTGCCTTCCTCTAAGCCTTTGTTGGCATCTATATAAAATAGCATGGCCTCTCTATCCCTCTCTGTCTCCCTACCGTGTTTTATTTTTTCTTCTAAGCTTTCCCTACCACATATGTGGTTCCTTGTTTATTGTCTCTTCCCACTTTCACTCCCTTTGAAAAATGAGCTTTATGAGATCAATGACCTTGTCTTTTTCATTGATGTATCTTCATTGCCTTGACATGGTAGATGCTTAATAAATATGTATTGAGTCAACAAACACATGAAAGCATTTTCATTATTAAAAAATAACATATTACTAAGATAACATGTTACTTTACAAAGAGCTTTCATGTAAACTATGTCTAAAAAGCTGCTCAAAATCTATGAACATCTCTTTTATTTTTCCAATTGACTCTGGAAGGTCTGCATTCCTAAGATGCAAAGAGATGAGGAGGCTCCTCCACTTCTCTCCCTTAGTACCCAGAAGAAGGAGAGAATGAGTGGGAATCACAATATTTTCTTCTGCCCTGCCTGAGGACAATATAAGTTTTTTATGGTACATAACTATTGGGCATTCAGGGGAGGCCCTTTGAGTGGGTAAGGTGTCTTTTAGGACAAAGCTTAGACAAGGCTGCTTTTGCATTTGCTCTGCCTTTGCCCTGACTGAAATCTGTCCCTCAGTCTGTAACCCAGCGACCTCTTGTTTTTCAATCCATTAAATAGAGCCAATAATACCGTTCCTATATTATGATGGTGCTGGGAGGCTTGAGCAATTAGTAAAGGCTTATGAAAAACTCTGACATTCTCAGATGAAAGGCACAAAAGGACCACAGAGTGTTATTATATGTTTCACAATTGGAAAACCTAACATTAAAGTAATGGCATTTTAAACTATTATAAGATCAAAAGCTTTTATACAAAAATACCATTTTATACTCTTTTGCTTTATTTTGTTGTTGTTTGATACGGAAACTGAAATGGGGGTGATGCCCATTTCTAGAAGTGATTCTCCAGATCAATTAAATAGTCACAAATGAATGTTATATGAACACATGTACACAGAAATTACTGTTCATTTAACCACCTTGACCATGAGGACAACAGCAGGGCATCAAGAAGAAATAGCGTGTAGTAGGAAGGCCACTCGACCAAGAGCAGGGAGAACAAGGTCATTTGTCCGGGTTCTCAGATCAACTCATGTGATATTAAGTAACTCATTTAACAAATGTTTATAATATGCCTATGCAGGTACAGGGATTACTTCTCTTGTTGGAGAGATTGATGGCAGTGGAAAAGCTTGAGGCAGTGGAGAAACATAAGGCCTGGCTTTCCTGGATTCTGACAGTGTCACTAAAGGGACACTTACTTACCCCTCCTCAGGTAACTTCCACTTCCTGTGTGTTTTCTGGGAAGGACCTACAAAAACCTGGGGATCCTGATGACCTTGGAGGTTAACTGCACCATAAGCTGAATTACTTCTGGCTCTGGGATGCAGACAGGACTGTTGCCTACACTGGGAGGAAATGAGAAGCCAAATAGCTCCTTTGCACCTCATCAAAGTGTTAATAATTCTCAATACTTTCATAAACAGCCATCAAATAGAAAATGTGCTTCCTGACACTTTCAGGACAGTGCTCTAATCTGGTAAAGAGTGATGATAAAGATATTATGACTGCTTAAACTGTACAAGTGCTATGGGGACATAAATTCATAAGCAGACAAAGAACAACCTAGTTAAGGAGATCCAGTTACCTAAGAGAGGAAGAGCAAGCGGCTCTCACTCTGAATTAAATGGAGGAGTCAGAAGTCATTTTGACAAATTAGTAGTTACCATCAGATCACCTACCAAAAATACATTTTCAGAAACATTTAAGTGGAGAATCAGTGAAGAGAAACTAGTTTCTTTTCTGAAGATCAAGTGTTAGAAAATTTAACAAAACAGAGCAAAAATACAATGTGTTTAATATTGCTAAACAAAAGATGAGTCATAGGGAACATATTCTAAAAACATGCAAAAATAATAGGAGTTCCATGGGAAGAAAAATGAAGAAACAGAGTGGTAATAACTTAAGTAATTCAAGATAATTAGCTGGGCTGAAAATTGACTTGAATCTGCCAACTGGAAAACCCTACTGAGTTGCAGGAAGAATTAATTTTCAAAGCCATAAACCAAGGCCTATCTTGATGACTTTTCAGAATTTCAAGAATAAAAAGGAAATCTTAGGCCAGGCATGGTGGCTCACACCTATAATCCCAGCAATTTGGGAGACTGAGGCAGGCGGATCACTTGAGGTCAGGAGTTCAAGAACAGCCTGGCCAACACAGTGAAACCCCGTCTCTACTAAAAATACAAAAATTAACCAGGTGTGTTGGTGCATGCTTGTAATCCCAGCTACTTGGGAGGCTGAGACATGAGAATTGCTTGAACCCAGGAGGCAAAGATTGCAGTGAGCCCAGATTGCACCACTGCACTCCAGCCTGGGCAACAGAGCAAGACTCCGTCAAAAAAAAAAAAAAAAAAAAAGGAAGGAAAGAACGAAGAAAGGAAGAAAGGAAGGAGGGAGGAATGGAGGAAGGGAGGAAGGGGAGGAAGGAAGGAAGGAAGCAAGGAAATAGGAAATCTTACATGTTTTCAGGGGTAGTAGATAACATAGAAAGGAAATAGCCCCATCCCAGTGTTAAAAATGTCATTTACAACATTGGCTGCCAGAAAACAGAGGGATTACTTTAATAGATGATTAAGAGAAAAAGACTACAGTCCAAGAATAATATACCCAGCCAAGATATTGTTAGTCTAACTGGATGAAGGAAAGAAAAGACATCTTCAAAAAGTCAAGGGTTCAGAGTATATGACTCTATATTTTGTCTGGAAAATATCCTCAAATCTGTGTTCTAACTAAATGAAAAATCAAACATGAGCTCAAGATCTCAAAATGGGACAGAATAAAAAGTGATAGTAAACTGAAGACAAATCGAAGGTGATGCTGTGACTATACATTTTAAGTATTAACTTTGAAATAGCTGATAGATGCCTTCTGCAATAGAAATATCCAAGAGTTGCCTAAAACTATTTGTGTTCGTGTGTGCAGAAGGGGGAGGGAAGGACGGAGGGAGGGAGAGAGAGAAACAGAGAAACAGAGAGAGAGAGAGATTGATTTAAATACTGTTAACAATTTTACACATTTCGCTCACAATCAGCAGACACCCCAGAATGAATGTGAAATGGAAGACATGACTATTCTTTTTTCCATCAGTGACATCTTCCACATGCCTCTGACAGTGTATCTCACCGTGTTGAATGCTTCTAGTGTTTGAAGACATAGTCATAGTCTTTAGACTATGTCTAAAAGACATAGTCACTGAATAGAGACATTTCAGTCAATTATAGACCACATATACTATGGTGGTCCCATAAGATGATACTGAAGCTAGAAATTCCTATAGCCTAGTAGGTATTATACTGTACTTTTTATTGTTATTTTAAAGTTTACTCCATCCACTTATTTTTTTTAAGTTTACCCTACAACAGCCACAGGTGGATCCTTCAGAAAGCATCCTAGAAGAAGACATTATCACAGATGACAGCTTCATACATGTTATTGCCTCTGAAGTCCTTCAGAGGCAAGATGTAAAGGCAGAAGGCAGTGGTATTGGTAATCCTAACTCTGTGTAGGCCTAGGCTAGTGTGTGTGTTTGTGTCTTAGTTTTAACTAAAATATTTAAAAAGTAGGAACAAACTTGAAAATAGAAAATTGCATATAGAATAAGGATATAAGGAAAGAAAATACTTTTGTACAGCTGTAAATTGTGTTTGTGTTTTAAATTAACTGTTATTATAAAAGAGTCTAAAAGCTAAAAAGAATTAAAAACTTTATAAAGTAAAAAATTACAGTAAGCCAAGGATAATTTGTTATTGAGAAAAACATTACTTTATAAATGTAGTATAGCCTAAGTGTACAGTGTTTATAAAGTCTACAGTCATGTATGATGTCCTAGGTCTTGATATTTACTCACCACTCACTCACTGACTCACCCACAGCAACTTTCAGTCCTGCAAGCTTCAGTTATGGTAATTACCCTATTCACATGTACCTTATTATTTTTATGTTGTATTTTTACCAAACCTTGTCTATGTTTAGATATGTTTAGATACACAAATATTCACTCTTGTATTACAATGGCCTACAGTATTCAATACAATAACCTGTTATACAGGTTTCTAGCCTCAGAGCAATAAGCTATAACATATAGTCTAGATATGTAGCAGGCTTTACCTTATGGGTTTGTGTAAGTACACTCTATGATATCCACATAACAACAAAACTGCCTAATGATATATTTCTCAGATCTTGCCCCATTGTTAAGTGAGGCATGACTGTACGTTTATTTGAACATTATGGCTTGATAAAGTCTTCATCTTGTGGTCAAGAATAATTAATGCTAATTTTGCCTATGTGCAATATTATGACTTAAAAATCTAAACTAAATAAACTGCACCTCTACTGTTGCATTTGCCCATTCTTACACTACTATGAAGAAATACCCAAGACTGGATAATTTATAAAGAAAAGAGGTTTAATTGACTCACAGTTCTGCATGGCTGGTAAGCCCTCAGGAAACTTACAATCATGGCAAAAGGCACCTTTTCATAGGGCAGTAGAGGAGAGAATGAGTGCCTACCGAAGTGGGAAGCCCTTTATAAAACCATCAGATCTCATGAGAACTAACTCATTATCATGAGAACAGGATGGAGGAAACCACCCCCATGTTTTAATTATCTCCATCTGGTCTCTCCCACGACATGTGGGGATTATGGGAACTACAATTCAAGAGAGATTTGGGTGGGGACACAGCCAAACCATATCATTCTACCCCTGGATCCTCCCAAATCTCATGTCCTCACATTTCAAAACACAATCATGCCCTTCCAACAGTATCTCAAAGTCTTAACTCATTCCAGTATTAACTCAAAAGTCCAAGTACAAAGCCTCATTTGAGACATAGAAAGTCTCTTCTTCCTATGAGCCTGTAAAAATCAAAAGAAAGTTAGTTACTTCCTAGATACAATTGAAGTACAGGCACTGGGTAAACACACCCTTTCCAAATAGAGAAATTGGCCAAAACAAAGGGGCTACAGGCCCTGTGCAAGTCCAAAATCCAATAGGGCAGTCACTAAACCTTAAAGTTTCCAAATGATCTCACATCCAGGGCATGTCGATGTAAGGGGTGGGCTCCCATGGCCTTGAGCAGCTCCTTTCATGGCTGGTATTGAGTGTATGTGGCTTTTCCATGAGCACAGGGAAAGCTGTCCATGGATCTACCATTCTAGGGGCTAGAGGACAGTGGCCCTCTTCTCACAGCTCCACTAGGCAGTGCCTGAGTGGGGACTCTGTGTGGGGGCTCCAACCCCACATTTCCCTTCCACACAGCTCTAGCAGATGTTTGCCATGAGGTCTTGTCCCCTGCAGCAAACTTCTGCCTGGACGTCCATGCATTTCCATACATCCTCAGAAATCTAGGTGGAGGTTCTCAAACCTCAATTCTTAACTTCTGCACACTGCAGGCTCAACACTATGTAGAAGTCATCAAAGCTTGGGGCATGTATTCTCTGAAGCAACAGTCGGAACCATATATTGGCCTCTTTTAGACATGGCTGGGGTGACTAGGATGCAGGGCACCAAGTCCCAAGGTTGCCTACAGCAGGGGTCCCTGGACCCGGACAAGGCAACCATTTTTTTCTCCTAGGCCTCTGGGCCTATGATGGAAGGGGCTGCCTTGAAGGTCTCTGACATGCCCTAGAGACATTTTCCCCATTGTCTTGGTGGTTAACATTCAGCTCCTCTTTACTTATGCAAATTTTTGAAGCAGGCTTGAATTTCTCCCCAGAAAATGGAGTTTTCTTTTCTATTGCATGGCCAGGCTGTAGATTTTCTAAACTTTTATGCTCTGCTTCCTCCTGAATGCTTTGTCGCTTAGAAATTTCTTCTGCAAGAAACTCTAAATTATCTCTCTCAAGTTCAAAGTTCCACAGATCCCTAAGGCACGGGCAAAATGCCACCAGTATTTTTGCATGGCAAGAGTGACCTTTTCCTCAATTCTCAACAAGCTCCTCATCTCCATCTGAGACTATCTCAGCCTGGGCTTCACTGTCCATATCACTATCATCATTTTTGTAAAAGCCATTCAACAAGTCACCAGGAAGTTCCAAACTTTCCCACATTTTCCTGTCGTCTTCTGAGCCCTCCAAACTGTTCCAACCTCTGCCTGTTATCCAGTTCCAAAGTCAATTTCACATTTTTGGGTATCTTTGTAGCAGGACCCCACTCTCTGTGGTACCAATTTACTGTATTAGTCCTTTCTCATTCTGTTATGAAGAAATATCTGAGACTGGGTATTTTATAAAGGAAAGAAGTTTAATTGACTCACAGTTCTGCATGACTGGGGAGGCCTCAGGGAACTTAAAATCATGGCGGAAGGTACCTCTTCACAGGGCTGCAGTGGAGAGATTGAGTGCCCAGCAAAGGGGGAAGCCCCTTATAAAACCATTAGAACTTGTGAGAACTAACTCACTATCATGAGAACGGATGATGGAAACAGCCCCCATGATTCAATTATCTCCACCTGATCGATCCCATGACACATGGGAATTATGGGAACTGCAATTCAAGATGAGATTTGGGTGGGGACACAGCCAAACCATGTCAATTATAGTTTGGCAAAACCAAGAATTTAGGTATAAAAGCATTTTAGAGAACTTGTACTTGGCTATGAAGTGGTGCAGTAAAAAAATTCTAAAGATTTCATCTTGATGTGTTGGAATGGAATGGAGGAAAGGAAATACAACAAAGGTTTTTGAAGATATTAGGAGAGCTGTAAGAGAATATTTCTTGCCATTCTGCAGCAATAAATTTGAAATTCAAAAGGACCCATGTGAGTTTCTAGCTAAAAGGAACTGGGTGATTTTCTAGGAAAATATCCAAACTAACTTAAGTAAAAATGGAAAGCCATAGCAGACAGGAATTATATTTGGAATATATTTGGAAGATAACTAATACCATAAAAATGCAACTGTTTAAAAAATAGATAATTACACAGTTATTCAAAACATTTTTAATGTTAGTGAAAAGAAAAATTTCTAGTTAGGTTTATGAGGCTATTATTTGCTTCACAATATAGTATAATACCACAAAAACCATATGTATTTAAAAATATAAATATAAAAATTCTAAATAATTATTAACCAATAGAATTGAACAGTCTATCAAAGGTGAATACATTATGATCCAAGTTGGATTTATTTAACAAATGAGAAGACAGCTCAATATCAAGAAACCTATTAAGGCAATTAATTATATTAACAAATTAAATAGAAAATAATGTATTACATCATTGCATGCTTAAAACACATATGCTAATTTGAGATATCATTTCTAATTTTTAAAAATCAATTATATGGTAATGCAAACAATCTAGTGAAATATAATATTTACTCAAAGCTAATAAAACACATCACACCAAATAAAATTCTATTAACACTTCCATTAAAATGAAGTAACTCTCTCTTTCCTTCTTCTTCCTAGATACGTGTTCATTGTTGCAAAACAATGACAAAAAAACATGTAGAAATATGAAATGCGGGCCAGGCATGGTGGCTCATGCCTGTAATCCCAGCACTTTGGGAGGCCGAGGTGGGAAAGTTGCCTAAGGTCAGGAGTTCGAGACCAGCCTGGCTAACATGGTGAAACCCTGTCTCTACTAAAAATACAAAAATTAACTGGGTGTGGTGGTGGGTGCCTGTAATCCCAGCTACTCCAGAGGCTAAGGCAGGAGAATTGCTGGAACCTGGGAGGCAGAGGTTGCAGTGAGCTGAGATCGCACCACTACACTCCAGCCTGGGTGACAGAGCAAGACTTCAACTCCAAAAAAAAAAAATATATATATATATATATATATATGTGTGTGTGTATATATATATTACATATATATGTGTGTATATATATTATATATATGTGTGTGTGTATATATATATGTACATATATAGTGCAAAAGAAAAAGGAATAACCAAAATCCCCAAATCCCATTAATCATCCTCATCAATATTTGATGAATATAGTTCTAGACATATCTTTATTCATATCTAGATGACAAAAGATAGATTACATGGTTAAAAAATAAAATTATACTATAATGAGAGTATAAACAAAAATATTATGATCAGTTTCCTTGAATTTAACAGAAGAAATTGAAATGGAAGCAAACTGAATGAATTGTTAAAATTCAGATAAATATTTCATTCTAATAAATATTAATTTCTCTTAAAATTTGCTGGTTAAGGGAAAACTATATAAAATACACTTAGAGATTCTATCTCCTTATTTAAACTCTAAGATGCAACTACCGTTACAGCTATAATTCATTGATTTTTCCTATTAAGAAAACAAGGAAATTACCACCTTCCCTTCTCCTGTCCACCAATTGTTGAAGTATTATTTTATTAACTCTACATTGTTAAAGTTTATAACATTTGAATTCTGCCTGAAACCGTAATTATTATGTTGAGTTCTACAGCACAATAGATTCAGTGTTCTACATTAGTTCTGTGACTGTGACTTCTCCCCTGAGGACATTATTTTGAGCCATCCATCAGTTGGCTGGTTTTCATTACCAGCAATTTTACAAGAAGGGCTTATGAGTGCTGTGCTCTCTCTGGATGTTACACATTTTGCTGGGCATAAAACTGTTGCATCACTTACTTTCCTTCAGCACTTTATAGACAGCTTTTCACTGTCTTCAGACATGGAGTGTTACCATAGGAAAGTCTGAAGGCAATCTGAGTATTTGTGATTTTCGTTTTACGTATTCACTTGACTAAGCTAAGAGATGTCTAGATCGGGGGTAAAATTTTATTTCTGGATGTGTCTATAAGGGTGTTTTCAGAAAAGATTAGCATTTGAATTAGTAGACTTATTAAATAATACTTGTCTTACTAGTGTGGATAGGCACCATCCAATTTGTTGAGGGTCTGAATAGAACAAAAAGGCAGAGAGAGGGTGAATTACCTCTTTCTGTCCCTGAGCTGGGATATCTATCTACTTATGCATCTGGACATCAGAGCTCCTGGTTCTCAAGCCTTCAGACTCCGGGATTTACACCAGAATTCTGCACCTGCCTTCTTTGTTTTTTGAAATCAGACTGAATTACACCACCAGCTTTCCTGGTTCTTGGTTCCCTAGCTTTCAGAAAGCAGATGGTAGGATTTTGATTTCCTGACTCCATAATCAAAAGTCAATTCACATAATCATCTCTCTCTCTCTCCCTCTCTCTCTCTCTATATATACACATATATATATACACATACATATATATATACATACATATATATACACATACATATATATATATACATACATATATATACACACACATATATATATGTGCCCAGCCTGCATTTTATATTTCTTAATTTCTTAATTTTTTGTCATTGTTTTTTAACAATGAACATATACCTAGGAATATATATATATATATATATATATATATATATATATATATATTCTATTGGTAGTTTCTCTGGAAAACCCCAATGCAGAATTTCTCATTGTACATTATCTTTCCCTCTTTGTAGGGTTATCTTTTTCTCTTTTATCATTACATCTAGTAATTTTACTAAGATATGCTTTTTTATTCATATTTATTTATGTCAATATTTCCTGGGTTTAGAAGCATGTTTTGTTTATTAAATACATTTTTCTTCTAAGTGTTAAATAATTTTGTACTCTATAAATTCTGTTCTTTTACAGAAATGTCAATTATATATTTTTCATCAATCCTATTATCTTTTTAATATACCAATATTTCATATATTTATTTTGATTCATGTTGGTGATTACTTTTCGCCTACCCATAATGTCTCTTCCTCTAATTTTAGCCATGTTTATTCTCTCTTTTATTTAATTCTACTGTAAATTTTATCTTTATAATATTTTGAATTTCTCATAAATTTCTCTCCTCATTTCCAGGTTGCTTTTCACTTCCTTCTACCTAATAACAACTTTTTAAAAATATTTCTATCCTTTTTCTTAAATAATTTTCAAGACATAACATGTTATTTGGGATTTCTTTGAACCTAGCTGAAGTATTAACTTTTCTGAGGGAATGCATGGGAGGAGCATGCATAGAATATATAGCACAGCTGGGCACAATGGCTCATGCCTGTAATCCAGCACTTTGGGAGGCTGAGGCAGGAGGTCGCTTGAACCTAGGAGTTTAAGTCCAGCCTGGGCAACATAGTGATTCCTCATTTTTACAAAAAATAAACAAAATTAGCTGGGCATGGTGGCTTAGGCCTGTAGTCTCAGCTGCTTGAAAGGCTGAGGTGGGCATATCCCTCGAACCCAAGAGGAAGAGGTTGCAGTGAACTGAAATCATGTCACTGCACTCCAGCCTAGGCAACAAAGTGAGAACTTGTCTCAATAAATAAATAAATGAATATATATTATATATATAAAATATATATATAATATATACATATACACATATATACACATATATACATATATAATATGTATACATATTATATATAATATATATACATATTATATATAATATATATACATGTTATATATGTATATATAATATACATGTAATATATGTACATATTATATGTGTATATATCATATACATGTCATATATGTACATATTATAAGTGTATATATCATATACATGTCATATATGTACATATTATATGTGTATATATCATATACATGTCATATATGTACATATTATATGTGTATATATCATATACATGTCATATATGTACATATTATATGTGTATATATCATTTACATGTCATATATGTACATATTATATGTGTATATATCATATACATGTCATATATGTACATATTATATGTGTATATATCATTTACATGTCATATATGTACATATTATATGTGTATATATCATATACATGTCATATATGTACATATTATAAGTGTATATATCATATACATGTCATATATGTACATATTATATGTGTATATCATATACATATCATATATGTACATATTATATGTGTATATATCATATACATATCATATATGTACATATTATATGTGTATATATCATATACATATCATATATGTACATATTATATGTGTACATATCATATACATATCATATATGTACATATTATATGTGTACATATCATATACATATCATATATGTACATATTATATGTATATATCATATATGTACATATTATATATGTATATACAATATATGTACATATTATACATGTATATATAATATACGTATATTATATACATATAATATATAATATAAAATATATATATACCATATATAATATATGTTATATACTATACATAATATATAGTATATGTTATATACTATACATAATATATAGTATATGTTATATACTATACATAATATATAGTATATGTTATATACTATACATAATATATAGTATATGTTATATACTATACATAATATATAGTATATGTTATATACTATACATAATATATAGTATATGTTATATACTATACATAATATATAGTATATGTTATATACTATACATAATATATAGTATATGTTATATACTATATATAATATATAGTATATGTTATATACTATATATAATATATAGTAAATGTTATATACTATATATAATATATAGTAAATGTTATATACTATATATAATATAGTATATATTATTGTATAATATAATATATAATTATATACAAATTATATATATTTATATATTATATATATAATTTATATATATAATATATATTATGTATAATATATGAATATATACTATATCATTATTTATATATATAAATATATAATATATATAATAATATATAATATTATATATAATTACACATAGTATTATATTATATATAATATATTATGTATATATTATATATTGTATATAATATATTGTTATGTATATATTATATATAATATATAATATATTTATTATATATATTATATTATATTACATATATCATATATAATATATGATATATACACATATTATAATGTAATATATGTATATATCATATATAATATGTATAATATATTATATACATATAATAAAATATATAATATATATTATGTATATACTATAATATATAATATATATTATATTTATATAATGTATAATATATAATATATTATGTCATATACATATAATATATAATATATATTATATGCATATAATATATATTATAGTATATAACATAATATATGTAATATATATTATAGTATATAACATAATATATGTAATATATATTATAGTATATAATTTAATATATGTAATGTATATTATAGTATATAATTTAATATATGTAACGTATATTATAGTGTATAATATATTATATATAATATATTATACGTATATAATGTAATATATCTAATATATTATATATATAATATAATATATAATATATTATATGCATAATATATATTATATAACATGATATATGCATAATATGTATTATATAACATATAATATATGCATAATATGTATTATATAACATATAATATATATTATATGCATATGATTTAATATAATATATATTATAGTATATGATATAATATATATTTTATGTATATAATATAATATATATTTTATGTATATAATATTATATATTATATGTATATGACATAATATATTATATATTATATGTATATAACATAATATATATTATATGTATATAACATAATATATATTATATGTATATAACATAATATATTATATATTATATGTATATAACATAATATATTATATATTATATGTATGTAACATAATATATTATATATTATTTGTATGTAACAATATATTACATATTATATGTATATAACATAATATATTATATGTATATAACAATATATAATATATATTATATTTATATAGCATAATATATAATATATTATATGTATATAACAAAATATATTATATGTATATAACATAAAATATATTATATGTATATAACATAAAATATATTATATGTATATAACATAAAATATATTATATGTATATAACATAAAATATATTATATGTATATATCATAAAATATATTATATGTATATAACATAATATATATGTTATATGTATATAACATAATGTATAATATGTTATATGTATATAACATAATGTATAATATGTTATATGTATATAACATAATGTATAATATGTTATATGTATATAACATAATGTATAATATATTATATGTATATAACATAATATATAATATATGTATATAACATAATATATAATATATGTATGTAACATAATATATAATATATGTATATAACAATATATTACATATTATATGTATATAACTTGATATATTACATATTATATGTATATAACTTGATATATTACATATTATATGTATATAACTTAATATATTACATAGTATATGTATATAATATAATATATTATATTATATGTATATAATATAATATGTTATATATTATATGTATATAATATATGTATATAATATTATATATATTATATATTATATATGTGTATATATGTACATATTATATATAATATACATATATAATAGATATATAATATTCCACAGTGTGTATGTGTGTGTGTGTGTGTGTGTGTGTGTATATATATATATATAATTATTAAATTGTTTTGTTTTGTTTTCAATTCAGAGTGGTATGTGTGCATGTTTGTTACATGGGTATTTTGTGTACTGGTGAGGATTGGCTTCTAGTGTACCAATTATCCAAGTAATAAACATTGTCCCTGATGGTTTTTTTCAACACTCACTCCCTTCCTACCCACCGCTGTTCTTGGAGTCCCCGGGATCTATTTCCATCTTTATGTCCATGTGTACCCATTGTTTAGCTCTCACTTTTAGGTGAGAGTATTTGGTATTTGGCTTTCCATTTCTGAGTTAGATGACTCAGGATAATGGCCTTCAGCTTTGCCCACATTGCTGCAAAGGACATGATTTTATCTTATGCGTAGTATTTCATGATGTATATATACCACATTTTTTTAAATCCAGTAAACAGTTGATGGGCACTTAACTTTGTTCCATGGCTTTGCTGTTGTGAATAGTGCTACAGTGAACATACAAGTGAAGGTGTCTTTCTTTTGTAATGTTTTCTTTTCCTTTGGGTGGATACCCAAGAGTGGGATTGCAGGGTCATATAGTGTTACTATTTTTAGTTATTTGAGAAATCCCCATACTATTTTCCATAGAGGTTGAACTAACTTACCTTCCCATTAGCAATGTATAAGAATTTCCTTTTCTCTGCATCCATGTCAATATCTGATATTTTTTATTTTTAATGATAGCCGTTGTGATTCATGTAAGATGATATTTTAGGGTGATTTTAATTTGCATCTCTCTGAGGATCAGTGATGTTCAAAATTTTTTCATGTTTGTTGGCCACTTGTATTTCATCTTTTAAAATATCTGTTCATGTCTTTTGCCCACTTTTAAATGAAGTGTTTGTTTTTTTCTTGTTGAGTTGTTTGAGTTTCTTGCAGCTTCTGGATATTAGTCCTTTGTATAAGGCATAATTTGCAAATATTTTCTCCAATTCTGTATGTTATCTGTTTCTCTGTTGATTACTTCTTTTGCTGGCCATAAGCTTTTTAGTTTAATCAAGTCTCATTTGTGTATTTTTGTTTTTGTTGCATTTGCTTTAGGGTCTTCCTCATACATTCTTTGCCAAGGCCCATTGGTAAGAAGAATTTTTCCTAGGTTTTATTCTAGGATTTTTACACTTTCTGTTCTTATGTGTAAGGCTTTACTCCAGGCCAGGCACAGTGGCTCATGCCTGTAATCCCAGCACTTTGGTAGGCTGAGGTGGGCAGGTTACTTGAGGTCAGGAGTTTAAGACCAACCTGGCCAACATGGTGAAATCCTATTTTAGTACACCAAAAATACAAAACTTAGCCAGGCATGGTGATGGACACCTGTAATCCCAGCTACTCAGGGGGCTGAGGCAGGAGAATTACTTGAATCCAGGAGGCAGTGTTTATGGTAACCAGAGATCATGCCACTTCACTCTAGCCTGGGTGACAGAATAAGACTCTTTCTAAATAATAACAATAATAACAATAAAAAGACTTTAATTCACCTTGAGTTAATTTTTGTATATGGTAAGAGGTAGGGGTCCAATTTCATTCTTCTGCATATGGCTAGCCAAAATTCATGGCACTATTTATTGAATGGGATATCATTTCCCCATTGTTTGGATCCAGTTCGGTAAAAAATGACACAGGTAATTTGATAAGAATTGCATTAAAGCTGTAGATTGCTCTGTGCCATATGGTCATTTTATTGACATTGATTCTTCCAATTCATATGCATGAAATTTGAAATGTTTTTCCATTTTTTGTGTTATCTACAATTTCTTTTTATTTATTTACTAAAAAATTTTTTTCTACTAAGCCATTTTATATAATACAATTTCTTTCAGCAATGTTTTAAAGATCTCCTTGTAGAGATCTTTTACCTCCTTGATTAAATATATTCCTAGGTATTTCAATTTTTTGTGGCTATTGTAAATGGTATTGAGTTCTTGATTTGGTTCTCAGCTTGAACATTATTGGTGTATAGAAATGCTACTGATTTTTGTACATTGATTTTGTATCTTGAAACTTTTCTGAGGTAACTTATCAAGTCTAGGAGTCTTTTGGAGGAGACTTTAGGATATTCTTGGTGTATAATCATGTAATCAGTAGACATAGATGATTTGACTTCCTCTTTTCTGCTTTAGATGCATTTTATTTCTTTCTTTCACCTGAATTTTCTGGCTAGAACTTCCAGCACTATGTTGAGTAGGAGTAGTGAGAGTGGTCATCTTTGTCTTATTACAGTTTGTATAGGGAATGTTTTCAACTTTTCCCCATTAAGTATAACGCTGGCTGTAGGTTTGTTATAGATGGCTCTTATTTTTGTGAGGTGTCTTACTTTAATGCCTAATTTGTTGAGATTTGTTGAGAGATTTTATTATAAAAGAATGTTAGCTTTTATTGAATGCTTTTTCTGCATCTATTGAGATGATCATGTTTTTGTTTTTAGTTCTGTTTATGTGATGTATCACATTTATTGATTTGTGGATGCTGAACTATCCTTGCGTCCCTGGAATATAATCCACTTGATGATAATAAATTAACTTTTTGATGTGTTATTGGATTTGGTTTGCTAATATTTTCTAGAGGAATTTTACATCTATGTTCATTAGAACCATTAACCTGTAGTTTTCTTTTTGCAGGTGTCCTTGCCTGATTTTGGTATCAGGGAGATACTGGTTTCATAGAATGAGTTAGGTAAGAATGCCTCTTCCTCATTTTTTTTTTTTTTTTTTTGGAATAGTTTCAACAAGATTGGCACCAGCTTTTCTTTGTACATCTGGTAAAATTTGGCTGTGAATCCATCTGGTCCTGGGCTTTGTCATTGTTGTTGGAAGGTTTGTTATTGCAGACTCAATACCATTACTCATTATTGCTCCATTCAGGATTTCTATTTCTTTCTGATTCAATCTTGGGAAGTTGTATGTTTCCAAGAATTTATCCATTTCCCCTAGGTTTGATAGTTTTTGCACATGTAGGTGTTCATAATGGCCTCTTGTGATCTTTTACATTTCTGTGGTATTAGTTGTAATGCCACCCTTATCATTTCTGATTGTACTTATTTGAATCTTTTCTTTTTTCCTTGGTGATAATCTAACTAGCAGTATGTCAATTTTGTTTCTCCTTTCAAAGAACCAACTTTTTGTTTCATTCATCCTTTGTATCTTTATTCCTTATTTCAATATTATTTAGTTCTGCTCTGATTGTTGTTATATCTTTTCTTCTGCTAGCTTTGGGTTTGGTTTGTTCCCTGAGGTGTGACATTCGGTTGTTAACTTGAGATCTGCCTTTTTTATGTAGGCATTTAATGTTATAAACTTTTCTTTTAGCACTGCTTTTGCTGTATTCCAGAGTTTTGGGTATGTTGTATGTGTATTTTCATATGTTTTGGATTTTTTTCCTGCGTTAGTATCATTGTTTACCCAAAGTAATTCAGGAACAAGTTGTTTAGTTTCTATGTACTTGTGTAGTTGGGAGAGCTTGGTATTGATTTCTAAGTTTTATTCCAGTGTGGTCCAAGAAGACACTTCATATGATTTTGATTTTTTTTCACATTTGTTGAAACCTGCTTTATGGACAAGCATATGTTTGATTTTGGAGAATGCTCCATGCACAGATGAGAAGAATGTGTATTCTGCAGTTGTTGGATAGAGTGTTCTGTAAATGTCTGTTAGGTTTATTTGATTTATAGTCCATTTTAAGTAGAAATTCTTTGTTGATTTTCTGCATTGATGACCTGTCTAGTGTTGTCAATAGGGTGTTGAATTCCTCCACTATTATTTTATTGCTATTGATATGTTTCCTTAGGTCTAGTAGTTTTTGTTTTATAAATCTCTATGCTCCAATGTTGGGTGCACATATATTTAAGATAGTTCAATCTTTTTCTATTGAATCCTTTATCATTATATAATTCCCTTCCTTGTCTTTCTCTAGTGTGTTTGTTTAAAATCTGTTTAAATCTGATAAAATGATGGGTACTCCTGCTTGCTTTCGTTTTCCATTGGTGTCATATATTTTTTTCCACCTCTTTGAGTCTGCAGCTGTCTTTAGCCATTAGGTGGGTCCCTTGTATGCAGCAGATAATTGAGTCTTGTTTTTAAATCCAATTTGTCTGTCTGTATCTTTTAAGTGGAGCATTTAGGCTATTTGCATTCAATATTAATATTGATATGTGAGGTTTTGTTTCGATCATAATTTTGTTCCCTAGTTGCCTTGAGGTTTCAGTTATGTAATTGCTTTATAGGATCTGTGAGCTTTGTACTTATGTGTCCTTTTTTGAAAGTGAGTATTGTCCTTTTCTTTCCATGTTTAGAACTCCTTTATGCATTTCTTGTAGAACCAGTCTAGTAGTGGCAAATTCCATTAGTGTTTGTTTGTCTGGGAAATACTTTATTTCTCCTTGGTTTATTAAGTTTAGTTTGGGAGAATATAGAATTCTTGGCTCACAATTTTTTCTTTATGTAACCTAAAAATACCCCTTTAATCTCCTCTGGCTTGTAGAGTTTCTGCTGCGAAGTCCATTGTTAGTCTGATAAAATATCCTTTATAGGTGATTAAACACTTCTCTCTTGCTGCTCTTAGGATTTTTTCTTTCATGTTGACTTTGCATAGTCTGATGACTATATGCCTTGATGAGATTCTTCTTGCAATATATCTTACAAGGATTTTCTGAGCTTCTTATATCTGGATACCTAGATCCTCACACAACCAAGGAAGTTTTCTGAATTATATCCCAAATATATTTTCCATATTTTTAACTTTTTCTTCTTTTCCCTGTGAAATACCTATAACTTGTAGGTGTTGAAATTTCACATAACCGCATAGTTCTCAAAGGCTTTGTTTATTTTATAAAATTATTTTCCCTTTATTTTTGTGTGACTGGGTTAATTTGAAAGACCTGTTTTTCAGCTCTGAAATTTCATCTTCCACTTGGTGTAGCCTATTGTTAAAGCTTTCAACTGTATTTTTAAATCTTTGAATGAATATTTTATTTTCAGAAGTTCATGTTTTATTCTAAATGATATCTATCGCTTCTTCTTTTTTTTTTATTGGAATTATCTTCATTCCACATTACAGCAGGTAAAAATTAGAACACTTTCTTTTTTTTAATTGCAAAATAAATTTATTTTTTAACTTAAAAATCTGTTGACATTATATCCCCTGTAGCTATCTCCTAGTTTCTCAGTTTCTTTTTTTTAATTAATTAATTAATTTATTTTTTATTATACTTTAAGTTTTAGGGTACATGTGCACATTGTGCAGGTTAGTTACATATGTATACATGTGCCATGCTGGTGCGCTGCACCCACTAACTCATCATCTAGCATTAGGTATATCTCCCAATGCTATCCCTCCCACCTTCCCCCACCCCACCACAGTCCCCAGAGTGTGATATTCCCCTTCCTGTGTCCCTGTGATCTCATTGTTCAATTCCCACCTATGAGTGAGAATATGCGGTGTTTGGTTTTCTGTACTTGCTATAGTTTACTGAGAATGATGATTTCCAATTTCATCCATGTCCATACAAAGGACATGAACTCATCATTTTTTATGGCTGCATAGTATTCCATGGTGTATATGTGCCACATTTTCTTAATCCAGTCTATCATTGTTGGACATTTGAGTTGGTTCCAAGTCTTTGCTATTATGAATAATGCCGCAATAAACATACGTGTGCATGTGTCTTTATAGCAGCATGATTTATAGTCCTTTGAGTATATACCCAGTAATGGGATGGCTGGGTCAAATGGTATTTCTAGTTCTAGATCCCTGAGGAATCGCCACACTGACTTCCACAATGGTTGAACTAGTTTACAGTCCCACCAACAGTGTGAAAGTGTTCCTATTTCTCCACATCCTCTCCAGCACCTGTTGTTTCCTGACTTTTTAATGATTGCCATTCTAACTGGTGTGAGATGGTATCTCATTGTGGTTTTGATTTGCATTTCTCTGATGGCCAGTGATGATGAGCAGTTTTTCAAGTGTTTTTTGGCTGCATAAATGTCTTCTTTTGAGAAGTGTCTGTTAATGTCCTTCGCCCACTTTTTGATGGGGTTGTTTGTTTTTTTCTTGTAAATTTGTTGGAGTTCATTGTAGATTCTGGATATTAGCCCTATGTCAGATGAGTAGGTTGCAAAAATTTTCTCCCATTTTGTAGGTTGCCTGTTCACTCTGATGGTAGTTTCTTTTGCTGTGCAGAAGCTCTTTAATTTAATTAGATCCCATTTGTCAATTTTGGCTTTTGTTGCCATTGCTTTTGGTGTTTTAGACATGAAGTCCTTGCCCATGCCTATGTCCTGAATGGTAATGCCTAGATTTTCTTCTAGGGTTTTTATGGTTTTAGGTCTAACGTTTAAGTCTTTAATCCATCTTGAATTAATTTTTGTATAAGGTGTAAGGAAGGGATCCAGTTTCAGCTTTCTACATATGGCTAGCCAGTTTTCCAGCAGCATTTATTAAATAGGGAATCCTTTCCCCATTGC